>NC_000007.14:65234051-65537082 GCF_000001405.40 Homo sapiens
AAATTTCTGCCCCTTTCCTGAAAAACTCATGAATAATCTACCCTTTGTTTAGCATATAATCAAGAAACAACTATAAGTATAGTCAATCGAGCAGCCAATCTCACCGCTCTGTCTATGGAGTAGTCATTCTTTTATTTACATCTCTAATAAAATTGCTTTCACTTTACTGTATGAACTCATTCTGAATTATTTCTTATGGGAGGTGCAAGAACCCTCTTTTGGGATATGGATTCAGACCCTTTTCCAGTAACGTTAAGACAAGTTTGGCTAGGCACGGTGGCTAACGCCACGGTGGCTAACCCCAGCACTTTGGGAGGCCGTTGGCAGGTGGATCACCTGAGGTCAGGAGTTCAAGACCAGCCCGGTTAACATGGCAAAACCCCATCTCTACTAAAAATATAAAAATTAGCTGGGCGTGGTGGCGTGTGCCTGTAATCTTAGCTACTCAGAAGGCTGAGGCAGGAGAATCATCTGAACTCGGGAGGTGGAGGTTGCAGTGAGCCGAGATTGCACCATTGCACTCCAGCCTGGGCAACAAGAGTGAAACTCTGTCACACACACACACACACACACACACACACAAAAGAGAAGATTATGTGTGGGATTCTTTACTCAAGGAATTCTTTACTCAGTGAGTGAATTCAGAGAGTACAAAGTTGCAGAGGGAGAAAGAAATGTCTTTGAAAGGATTATGAGGAACAAAAGTCACAGAAATGCTTCCCATTGTTATTTACTGGCACATATATTCTCACTTTGGGAGGAAATGCATCTAATTTCAGACCGTGGTTTATAGAAGGTGCTATGAACCAGCAGCAAGTTCATATCCAGAACTGCTCACTACAGAGGGTTTTGTCTCCTGGCTGGTATCATAAATTTGTCTTTCACTGGCTCCTTTAAAACTTCTATAATGGTGGTAGATTTCAGTAAAGTGGAGCCCCCACAATCCAGCCTGTTATAGGTAGATAGATAGACATGATAGGGGCAGGAGAGGGCTCTCCCCTACCTCACCCACTAAAAATGTTAGGTGATGGTTTGGCAATTATGGCATTGCCTCACTAAAAGTGATAAATTGGCAGTGAAAGCCAGGGAGAGGCCAGTTCCCAATGGTCCACACCTGTTAACATTTAAGTGTTAATTAATGGCAGGCCCCAGGGAAAAGCAACTTCCTGGGCATGCACACTGACAGACAAAAAAGGCAAAGTATGGTCTTCTGGGTACACTCCACCAGAGAAAAGAAAGCCTCAGATGGGCATGCGTTTAAGTTCCTAAACTTACATACATACATACTGCATGTACTCAATTCCCAAGGGTAAGGAGGGCATCACATCTGCAGAAAGCCCACCCTAGGGGAAAGAGGTGAGTCTATAAAGTCCCGGGATCAAAGTTAAAGACCCCCTTTTTTTCCCTCTTTTTAACCTTCAGGCACCCACTTGGATCTCTTCCAAGCGTTCTTTCCTGCTCTAAAGCCTTTTAAATAAACTTCCATTCCTGCTTTGAAACTTGCCTTGGTCTCTTTTTCTGCTCCTTCAGTCGAATTCTTTCTTCTGGGGAGGCAAAAATTGAAGTTGCTGGAGACCCACACAAACTCGCCCCCCAGTAACTCGGATCTCTTCCGTTGGTAACAAGCCTGCCCACCCCTTGCATCCATCCAGCAGCGACATCCACCTTGAGCATGCTGAGGTACGGCATGCCGTCGGTGCCCACCTTCCTGCTGTTCACCTCCCCATGCTAAGCCACTTCACACCGCACAGTGGAGCTCCACCTCACTGCCCAGCACCACCATCTGGTTGAGCAGCAGCCATGTATGTAGGATGGGCCAGTGAGGACAGCAATGTGTAGGGGCACACAATAGCTGGACAGATTCCTCACTGCCTGACTCTGCCTGCAGCCCTCGCCCAGCACGTCCAGGCCATATGCCTGAAGGTTGCTGCCTGATACTGTTTTGCTCTGTGTCTCCATCCAAATCTCATATCAAATCGTGATCCCCACGTGTTGGAGAAGGAGCTTGATGGGCAGTGATTGAATCATGGGTGTGAACTTCACTTCCCCCTTGCTGTTCTTGTGATAGTGAGTTCTCATGAGATCCGGTTGTTTAAAAGTGTGTGGCACTTCCCTCTTTACTCTCTCTTCCTCCTGCTCCATCCATGTAGGATAGGTCGGCTTCCTCTTCACCTTCCGCCACGATTGTAAGTTTCCTGAGCCTCCCCAGCCATGCTTCCTGTATAGCCTGTAGAACTGTGAGTCAATTAAACCTCTTTTCTTCGTAAATTACTTAGTCTCAGGTAGTTCTTTATAGCAGTGTCAGAATGAGCTAACACAATGGGGAGCTTATTCTCCACTAGGCTCTCCATGACCAGGCTCCACAGCTGGTGCCACTACTGTGGGTGGATCCTCAGGTGAGAGGACTGGATCACAGGCCCTGCCCTGCAGAGTCCTCCACCCTGGACCCCACACTCACACTCGCCCAGGTCCAAAGGTCATGTCTCCACCACCAGGCTGACCTTGATGCCCTGATGTGATGCACTTCATGGACTTCCTTGTGGTTCTCCAGCCAGGAAATGGAGAGTGTTGGATTGCTGGTGGCCACACAGCAAAAGTGAATGGGTTCAACAGCTGGCGTGGCCAGCAGCTTTTTGTCCATCTGCTGGGGCCGAGTCCAGTAGGGGAACCCTGGCACATGAAGGCCACAACAGAGGTGAGGAACAGAGGCCCATCTGACCTGACCCCTTCAATGGGTCCTTCTGGCTAACTCCAGACTCAGTTTCCTCTTCTGCGGAGGGAGAATGTTGGCCTTTTGAGGACTCCTGCCTGGGCTGGACTAGACTCCCATGAGCATCACCACGATGTCCCACAAACCCTGGACATTCTCAGGGCCGGGCTGTGTGTCTCCTCTCTTCTCTGTCTGCTTCCTCCAAGCTGCCACTCCTGTTGAGAGGCCCAGTGTGCTCCAATCTGAACTGGAGAACTTCAAGGCATGAGGGCATCTTCCAGGGAAGCCCCTACCCTCCAAAGGAGGCACACAGAGGCAGGCCCACAGGGGCATGGTCCAGAACCCAGCGGGCATCCCAGCTGGGTGGATGAGCCAGGACAGGCATTTGTAGCAGTTTTCCAGGAGGGTGAACTCAGATGCCCACAGTGTGGAGAACCTAGAAGGCAGTGGGGTGGTGTCTGCCCACTAGAATCTGAGGCCTTAGGCCACCCTATGCAGTGTTTCAGGACCTGGTGGGCACCTAATAAGGATAGAGTTCTAGAGGCTTGGCCTCCTGCCTATCTTGGTGTCTAGGGCTGCTGCCACCCCCTCCCGCACAGCCCAGTTGGCTTTCCTTTTTCTTGGGGGCTGTGGTGGGAGCTGCCTTCCTGTGAAGATTCATGGGGTGTCTGGGCCAGCATCTGTCAGAGGGAGGCACCAGGGGCCCAGGACAGAGGAGGGAGGGAGCCCCTCCCCATGGTAACCTCACTGTCATCTACTTGCAGAGACACATCCATCCCTCAGAGGAGGACACTGAGGCACGGGTGGGAGCAATGTGGGCAGAAGGTGGGAAAAGGCACCTCCCAGAGCTCTGAGCTGCCCTCCCAGGCCTCCCAGGGTGGGTGGTGGCCCACAGGGTGATGGAGAGAGCCCAGCAGGCTGTGGCAGAGACTATTTCTGGACCTGAGAGACCACAATGACAGTCTGCCCACTGCCAGACGGTGCCTTCTGAAAGGTGGCCTGCCAGTGACCCTCACAGCCCAACCAGACATGGGGCAGAAACCCAATCACCTGCCTGGGATAGCCAGATGGGCAGGAGCAAGAAGGGACTCAGGGCGAGAAAACCAAAGTGTGTGTTCCAGGGTAGTGGCCGAGGGCTCAGCTGAGCTGAGAAATTTAGATCCTCTTTCAGGATCTGCTCCTCTCCTGGGATCTGGGAAGGGACATGGAGCAGCCCAGAGGCCAGCCATGACTGGAGCCTCCACCACTGTAGGGTGTTGAGTGAGGAAGCACCCTGCAGCATGTGAAAGTGGGTGGGGGAGGGGGTGGTGAGAGTCTCTCCCTGCCCTGAGTCTCTTGACCCAAGACTGATGTCCATGAGGCTATGCCAGGCCAGCCTCCTGGGGAGGATCACATTTTCTGCTGGGGAACCTTGTTCCCAATTCCAGGTCACTACAGTTAAGGTCCTCCAATGCATTGGGGGAGGCATGGGGTAGTATGGAGGGGGAGCAACACTCCATCATAAGGGCTTTGGGTCGGCCCCAGAGAACAAAAATCAAATTTAGACTGCTGTCTGAAGCTGACCACCCTAAGGGATTTTAATTTGGAGGTGAGATGAGGCCCTGGGGTCAGGAAAGGAACCCATCTTGTTTTGGACTCTTCAGCTGTCATGGGTAGGAGATTTGTTGCCAGCTATGTGCTTTAATTGAGCCTAAGGGGAGGGGGCACCCAGAAGGGACTCTGAAGCCAAAGGTGAGAGTCCTGTCTTCCTGCCTCCCCACCTCACTCCCCAAGAGTACACATTGGGCAGTAGAGTTTCCTTACAAAGTCAGGAAAGAAAAAATCCAGAGACCAGGCAGGCTAATAAATGCTCACCAGAAATATCTGGCCTAATAATCAAAACAGCTCTGCCATATTCATTGTCTGGGACAAGGAAGAAAACTGAGGTTCAAGGTGGACACCAAGAGTCTAGCCAGGCAACTGGCAGCCTAGAGCCCTAGAGGTCCCCGCAGACATCGCCCTCCAAGCCCACCCACACGCAACGTTTCCGCCAACGGGATGGCTCCACTCCCAGCTTAATCACCTTTAAATCACTCAGGGACCCCCTGGGCCACCTGCTCCACTCCAATCCACCTCGCTCACCCGTGAAGGGCCTCCCTATGCATGGTCGCCAGGCTGGGGGTGGGGGTGTCCGTGCCCCCCTTGCCCAGGATGGGGGTTGCCTGTTTCCAGGGGAACAGGCTCTTGGCAGTCGCCCTCCAGGCCACCCCTCTCTAGTTGGTAGCCGGGAGTATGGTAGCGCGTGTGCAGGGCAGATAGCACACAGAGCGCTTGGCGATTTGGTTGGGAGTCGCCAGCGCCACACCTCGGGGACAGCGTCAACTTTCCAAGGCGGGCCTGGGGCACCCTCTCCTTCTCTGGCCTCGGGGCGCCTCCTAGAAGGCCCTCCTTTTCTCGCAGGCCCCTGACTGTCGGCGGTCCCACACTTCTGGGACATCTCCCCCATTACCTCTCCCTAGTGATGGGTGTGCACCCCATGGGGCAGACAAATCTCTTAGCCCACCAGGCTTGAGAGTAGGGTAGGGGCAGTGGTGGCACTAAAGTGTCACCGCATCACGCTGGCCACTTGCGGGCAGGGGCTGGGCTTCAGTTGACTCCTGCACATCCACCCTCCAAATTCCAGCCTCTGGCTTTGGGGCCTAGGGGCAGGGTCTGTGGACACCACGGGCCAGGCTCCCCGCCAGGGCGTCGCACTTGGGTGGTGGCCCTGCAGCTCCTGGCGCCACACAACCGCTGTCCCGGCTCAAGCAGTGATCTTCTGAAGGAGTGGCAACAGAAGCCGGGACTAACCTGGCAGTGCCACTTACACGCGGCGCCTTTTCCCCATCCAGTCCCCTGTGTCCAGTTCCCCAGCGTCCCCTGCAGGGCCCCGAACCCTCCTCGGTGCCCGCGGCCTCCTTCCCCGCCTGCTGCTCACCACACACCGCGCTGCCCTTGCTCAGGGCTCCAAGGCGGTGCTGGCCACCACGGTCACCGCCAGGCTGAGCGCGAGGGCGGGGCGGGGCGGGGCGTCCATGGCAGGGGCGGGTGTCCTGGCGTCCTCAGTCTCCCAGAGGGTGGCGACCCCCGCGTCCCGCTCCGGCACCGGCGGGAAGAGAGCGCCTCCCGGAATCTGGTGGACAAAGAGGGCGGCTCCTTACGTAGGCGGGCAGAGACAGAAGCTGGCGTGGCCGGGCTCCTGCTCCCCTATTCTCCGACCCCCGCCACCTAGCCCGCGCCACCCAGGGCTCCTGGATCGTCTGGCTCGGGGCCTCCTCCCCGCTGTGTTCCCTCCCTGGCGGCTGCAGAGCCCTCCTGGGCAGCGGAAACAAACTTCCCCGAGCAGGAAGCCCGTGCCCCAGCCTCCTCTCGGCAAGGACCAGCCCGCGGAACACCCCGGCCCCTCGGCGCCTGCCCTGTCCTTCTGGCTACGGGTCCAGGAGGGCTGGCATGAGACCAATCGCGACCCTGCGGTTCCAGAGCCTGCGTCCCGCACTGCCGAGACCACACAGTCTCCTCTCTTAGGAGCCTTGACATGGCCCTCTTGACGGGTGGTTGGGGGACCAGGGTGTGTGTATATGGGGGACAGTTGGTCAAAAGTGGCTTTTTGTTTCCCCAAAAATAAAGACCCCTTTGAAATTTAAGGTATTTTCTTTTTTACTTAAAACCAGTAGGGTCTAATTATTTAAATGTACCCATGATCCTGTCAGTAAATTTGAGCACACTTTTATTCGTTTTTGTCAGTTAGTCCTTTTGCTTGTTTCTGTCTTTAAGGAGAATTTAAAATTCCACCTGAAATCAGTAAAGTATCTTCAGAAAAATTGTATTGAGAAAAGAGGCTTTTTCAGGAGGAACTGATATCTCTGGCGAATTTTCTGTCCCCTTGTTAGAGTTTATAAGTCAGTTATTTTATTAAAACTTAATTTCAGTAAAAATTTCCTATAGTCGGTGGAGCAATATAAAAAAATCTGGTGCAGTGGCAGTAGAGCAGTCTTTAGAATTCTTAGACATTCTGATGTGTCGAATTGAAGCCATGCCTGAAAAATTCATGTCACAACTATTGTTATTTTTCAGTGCCACTCTTTGCCCTTGAGGGAAGCAATGCATTCCTTATAACTCTAGCAGCCCAAAGAGCTGTCTATGGCTACAACACCCTTCAAAGATTACATTTTAATGAAGTAGACCATGAATACAAAAAAGCCTTAGCTTTTTTTTTTTTTTTTTTGATGGAGTTTCCCTCTGTCCCCCAAGCTGGAGTGCAGTGGCTTGGTCTCAGCTCACTGCAACTTCCACCTCTCAGGTTCAAGCGATTCTCCTGCCTCAGCCTCCCGAGTGTCTGGGGTTACAGGTGCCTGCCACTACATCCAGCTAATTTTTGTATTTTTAGTAGAGACAGGGTTTTGCTAAGTTGGTCAGGCTGGTCTTGAACTCCTCACCTCAGGTGATCCACCCCCCTTGGCCTCCCAAAGTATTGGGATTACAGGCATCAGCCACCACACCTGGCCTCTTTTAGCATTTCTTGTGCCTTTACATATGTTACTTAAAGAGCGTTCAGAAATTATAATTTGGGTATGTTAGGATTTCATTCTGTTGGGGATTCTAAAAAGTAATACATGTGGCCGGGAGCAGTGGCTCATGCTTGTAATCGGTGGTTTACAATCTGTGGCTTGTAATCTGAGGCTCAGCACTTTGGAAGGCCGAGGTGGGCAGATCACTTGAGGTCAGGAGTTTGAGACCAGCCTGGCCAAGATGGTGACACCCCGTCTCTACTAAGAATACAAAAAAATTAGACTGGCGTGGTGGCAGCTGCCTGTAATCCCAGCTACTCAAGAGGCTGAGGCAGGAGAATCACTTGAACCTGGGAGGTGGAGGTTACAGTGAGCATGGAGATCGTGCCATTGCACTGCAGCCTGGGCCACAGAGTGAGACTCCGTGTCAAAAAAATGAAAAATAAATAACATATGTAATATAAAATATATGTAAACCATGGCAGTTCTTCATTTCTTGTTGTTGACTTCTAAGTGTTTGTTATATATCTAGATAATATTTCTTTTTCTTTTTTCTTTTTTTTTTTTTTTTTTTTTTTTGAGACAGAGTCTCGCTCTGTCGCCAGGCTGGAGAGTGCAGTGGTGCAATCTTGGCTCACCGCAACCTCCGCCTCCTGGGTTCAAGCAATTCTCCCACCTCAGCCTCCCAAGTAGCTGGAATTACCGGCACCTGCCACCACACTCAGCTAATTTTTTTGTTATTTAGTAGAGATGGGTTTTCACCATGTTGGCCACGATGGTCTCGATCTCTTGATCTCATGATCAGTCTGCCTCGGCCTCCCAAAGTGCTGGGATTACAGGTGTGAGCCACCGCGTCTGGCCATTAGATAATATTTCTTTCCAGACAGATATTTTGAAAATATTTTTCTTCCAGTCTGTGTCTTGTCTTCTTATTTAAATGAGAAGCAATGTCTTTCACAGTTTTTGTTTCTTTGTTTTAAAATTTCAATGAAGGGTGGCATATCATTGCTGTATTCGGAGATCCAGATCTTTTCCTGTTTTCTTCTAATTTTATAGTTTTATGTTTACATTAAGGTCTATGATGCATTCTGAGTTAATTTTTGAGAGGGGTGTAATGACTATATCTATATATTTTTTTTTTTGCATGTGGATGTCTAGTTGTTACAGTACCATTTGTTGAAGACTATTTTTTCTCCATTGTATTGTCTTTGATTCTTTGTGAAAAATCACTTAACTATATTCGTGTGGATCTATATCTGAGCTCTGCATTTGTTCCTCTGATCAATTTGTCGATGATTTTGCCAATACAACGTCTCATGATTACTATAAATTTATAATAAGTATTGAAGTTGAGTAATAACAGTCCTCTTACTTTGTTCTTTTTCAATACTGTGTGGGTTGCTTGGTTTTTTCTTTATATAATTGTTAGAAAGTGTTCTCAATATCCATAAAATAATGTTTTTTGTTTAGATTAGGATTCTGTTGAATCTATAGGTGAAGTTAGACAGAAATGACATCTTGACAATACTGACTCTTCCTATATATGAGAAGGAACTATTTCTCCATTTATTTAGTTACTAATTTATTATCAGAATTATGTAGTTTTCATCAAATAGATCTTGAATGTATTTTGTTAGATTTATACGTGTTTCATTTTGAAAAGTGCTAATTTAAATGTTAACGCATTTAAAATTTCAAATTTGACTTGTTCATTGCTTCTATATAGAGAAGAATTTACTTCTGCACTGAAGGGGTGGGTTGCCCCTCCACACCTGTGGGTGTTTCTCCTAAGGTGGAACGAGAGACTTAGGAAAGAAAAAGACACAGAGACAAAGTATAGAGAAAGAAATAAGGGGACCTGGGGGACCAGCGTTCAGCATATGGAGGATCCCGCCAGCCTCTGAGTTCCCTTAGTATTTATTGATCATTCGTGGGTGTTTCTCCGAGAGGGGGATGTGTCAGGGTCACAAGACAATAGTGGGGAGAGGGTCAGCAGACAAACATGTGAACAAAGGTCTTTGCATCACAGACAAGGTAAAGGATTAAGTGCCATGCTTTTAGATATGCATACACATAAACATCTCAATGCTTTACAAAGCAGTATTGCTGCCCGCATGTCCCACCTCCAGCCCTAAGGCGGTTTTTCCCTATCTCAGTAGATGGAACGTACAATCGGGTTTTATACCGAGACATTCCATTGCCCAGGGACGGGCAGGAGACAGATGCCTTCCTCTTGTCTCAACTGCAAGAGGCATGCCTTCCTCTTATACTAATCCTCCTCAGCACAGACCCTTACGGGTGTCGGGCTGGGGGACGGTCAGGTCTTTCCCTTCCCACGAGGCCATATTTCAGACTATCACATGGGGAGAAACCTTGGACAATACCTGGCTTTCCTAGGCAGAGGTCCCTGCGGCCTTCCGCAGTTTTTGTGTCCCTGGGTACTTGAGATTAGGGAGTGGTGATGACTCTTAAGGAGCGTGCTGCCTTCAAGCATCTCTTTAACAAAGCACATCTTGCACGGCCCTTAATCCATTTAACCCTGAGTTTGACACAGCACATGTTTCAGAGAGCACGGGGTTGGGGGTAAGGTCACAGAATCTCAAGGCAGAAGAATTTTTCTTAGTACATAACAAAATGGAGTCTCCCATGTCTATTTCTTTCTACACAGACACAGTGACAATCTGATCTCTCTTGCTTTTCCCCACACTGCACCCTTATTATAATCACTTATTAGTTCTAGATTTTTTTACGTTGACTATTTTGGATTTACTACATAGACAATTCAATCGTGAGCTCCAGGAGCTCCACCTCCTGTCAGATCAGCAGCAGCATTAGATTCTCATAGGAGTCCAAACCCTATTGTGAACTGCACATTCAAGGTACCTAGGTTACACACTCTTTATGAAAATCTAACTAATGCCTGATGATCCGAAGTGGAACAGTTTCTTTTCTTTTTTTTTTTTTTTAGACGGAGTTTCTCTCTTATTGCCCAGGCTGGAGTGCAATGGTGCGATCTCGGCTCACTGCAACCTCCACTTCCCGGTTTCAAGCAATTCTTCTGCCTTAGCCTCCCGAGTAGCTAGGATTACAGGCGCGTGCCACCACGCCAGACTAATTTTTTATTTTTAGTAGAGACGGGATTTCACCATCTTGGCCAGGCTGGTCTTGAACTCCTAACCTTGTGATCCACCTGCCTCGGCCTCCCAAAGTGCTGGGATTACAGGCGTGAGCCACCGCGCCTGGCTGTGGAACAGTTTCATTTCCCTCAGCCCTAGTCCATGGAAAAAATTGTCTTCCGTAAAACTGGTCCATGGTGCCGTAAAGCTTGGGGACTACTGCCTTAGTGAACATCAGAGAACTTATACTACAGAAGCTCTATACACATCTATATACTACGGAAGCTATATACTACATTCTATATACTACAGAAGCTCTATAATGAATGTGGAAAGAGTTTTATTCAAAATGTACACCTTGGAAATTACCAGTATTCACAGAAAAAAAAAGCTTTATAGATGCAATAAATTTGAGAAAGTAATAAAAAAAAATCAAGCTCAGTGTCTCATGCCTCTAATTCTAGCACTTTGGGAGGCTGAGACAGAAGGGTAACTTAAGGTTAGAAGTTTGAGACCAGCGTAGGCAACATAGCAAGACCCCCATCTCTACAAAAGGGAAAAAAAGCATTATAAAAAATTAAGTCTAAATAAACATCAGAGGATTACACAAAAAAGTACTAACACTTTAAAGTTTTCTGTTAAACAGGAGTACTTAAAATAGGGAACTCAAAGTCTAAACAGTAAAATAATTTAGTTGTATGTTTTAAAGAATCAAGACAGATCAGGCTTGGTGGCTCACGCCTGTAATCCCAGCACTTTGGGAGGCCAAGGTAGGTGGATCACCTGAGGTCAGGAGTTCAAGGACCAGCCTGACCAACATGGTGAAACCACGTCTCTACTAAAAATACAAAAATTAGCTGGGTGTGGTGGTGGGCGCCAATAATCCCAGCTACTTGGGAGGTTGAGGCAGGAGAATCGCTCAAACCCAGGAGGCAGAGGTTGCAGTGAGCAGAGACCGAGCCACTGCACTCCAGCCTGGGCACCAGAGCAAGACTCTGTATCAAAAAAAAAAAAAAAAAAGTAAATAAATAAATAAAGAAGCAAGACTTTGATGTTTAGACAGATGTATTTATATTCAATGAATACTGGTTTTGTATTGACAGTATTGGAAATTTTCAATTATTATGTAATTAAACTCTCAAAAATTGGTTGGTGAAATGCCTAAATTCCTTGTGTTTATAAGAAAACATGTGGCCCACTGTTGCTGCCTCAGGATATGAGAGGCCATTCTGTATTAGGTGGGCATCATTAGCATCAGTTTTTTTATGGAAGCTTAGTGGGAAATGGAGGATGCTCTTTGTTGTTGACTTAACAGTGATGTGCTGGGTGCAGTGACTCAAGCCTGTAATCCCAGCACTTTGGGAGGCCAAGGCGGGAGGATCACCTGAGGTCAGGAGTTCGAGATCAGCCTAGCCAACTTGGTGAAACCCCATCTCTACTAAAAATACAAAAATTAGCTGGGCATGGTGGTGGGCGCCTGTAATCCCAGCTACTAGAGGGGCTGAGGCAGGAGAATCGCTTGAACCTGGGAGGCGGAGGTTGCAGTGAGCCGAGACTGTACCATTACACTCCAGCCTGGGCAACAAGAGTGAAACTCCGTCTCAAAAAAAAGAAAAAAAAAAAAAGAAAAGAAAACAAAATCTCTAAGATCACTAAATCAGAAAAAACCTAATGCTTCTTGTGTGCTTGACCAAGTAGCATATAGTGAATTTTAAAATGTCTTATTTAGACAATGTGTGAGCTTAATTTAACTATGAAAACTAAATGGTTTCTCATGTTTTAACACTGAAGTGCAATGAATCAAATGTTATCTTTTCCATGGTAACCTATTCTACTTTACTTAACATTGGAGGTAACAGATAATAACAATATACTATTAGGTAACACAATGGAATTACTTCTTTAGTAATTTTCTTTTTAAAAGAGAATTGAAACCCTAAATCATTTGGAGACTAATGTTCTCAAGAGATATATTTTATATTGTTTTCTCCCTGCTACAACTACTGGGACATTATGATAGTTACAATAAAGATTATGTAGAAGTAGAATTAGAAGCCATGGTTTCTGAATTCTGAATCATTAGTTATAAAATTGTATCCAATACTTTTCTTTGCATATTTTTTATTCCTGAGCCAATTGAACACATAATTTTTTTTGGTTTGATTTACATTACATGAAATATACCAATATATTAAGCTAAAGATAAACTTTAGTTATAAGAGATATATAGAAGAAAAAATGTATTTATGCGTGCCTATGTGTGTGTGTGTGTGTGTGTGTGTGTGTGTGTGTACACCTTTTCAAACTGGAAATGAAATAGTGGACCCAAACAGATACTTTCAGAAGAGTTGATGATTTACTAGCAAACAAAATCCTTACAAATTCTTAAAGCAGAGGCCAGGCACAGTGGTTCACACCTGTAATCCCAGCACTTTGGGAGGCTGAGGCGGGTGGATCACCTGAGGTCAGGAGTTCGAGACCAGCCTGGCCAACACGATAAATCCCTGTCTCTATTTAAAATACAAAAGTTAGCTGGGGGTGGCGGTGGGCACCTGTAAAAGTAGATGAAGAGGGGTTGGGCGCCCCCACAGATTCACCACATTTAATGAGTCCTCTATGATTGGGTATAGAAATTTTGTCAATTAGAAGTAAAACTGTGATGCAATCTCTCTAGCTGTTTGGTATCTTTAATTATATTGAAACCTATTTCCCTTTTCCTTAAGTCAAGTTCCAAGAAGTAGAATTACTACATGGGTCTAAGAGTATGCACATTTCTAAGGCTATTAAAACGTGGGTCTCCAGGAAGCTTGTAGCAAGACCATGCCATCTGTTCCTTTAATTAGCCCATGTTCCACCTGAACACTTCCTTACCACGAAGGGATAAATAAGTTCCCTTTTATCTCTTATTTTAGTCCATGATTTCCCCATTCCTGACTTCCTGTGGAAATACAGACAATGGAAGGGTCCCTCTGAGCTCTTAGTTTGCCAGCCTGTGAGATGAGCTTATGACCCATCTCTCTCCTTGGTAGCTGTGAGGCATGAGGACAGCAGTAGTGGGCAGAGCCTTCCATGAGGACATGGGCCTTGGTCCAGTCCACTCTGGGATGCCCTTGGCTAAAATCAGCTCCCTGCGAGCCTCATGCACCAGAGGCAGTGCACTACCTGCTCCCACAACTAGGGAACAGTGCTATTCTCCCCCGTTTGTTGGCGTCCACCTCTAGAATGCCCATCGGGTTGATTATGATGTTTCTGGACATCTTCTTGTACTTCCCAACCCACAGTGAGATGGTGAGCTGGCTGGGGCACCGTGTGTACATGAAGGTCTCACTGTCCCACTTTTTCCATTCCAAACACCTACAATCACAGGACAGAGGCTAAGCTGGCCCCACAAGGGATCCCAAGAGCAGCTCACAGCCCTGCTTTCAGAAAGAGGGAGCTGGGAAACAAACCCAAATCCAGGCACTGGGAGAAACAAAACAAGGAAGAGTCCCCCTGTTACTTCCTTGGCTAATGAGGCCTGCAGAAAAGCTAACAAGTTGCTACACCACAAGGCAGAATGAAGAAAGAACTAGAATATAAGAGCAAGGTGTTTTGAAAACATTAATTCCTTTTTTTTTTTTTTTTTTTTTGAGACAGAGTTTTGCTCTTGTTGCCCAGGCTGAAGTGGAATGGCGTGACCTCGGCTCACTGCAACCTCTACCTCCGGGATTCAAGTGATTCTCCTGCCTTAGCTCCCTGAGAAGCTGGGACTACAGGCATGTGCCACCAAGCCCGGCTAATTTTTTGTATTTTTAGTAGAGACGGGGTTTCACCATGTTGGCCAGGTTGGTCTTGAACTCCTGACCTCAGGTGATCCACCTGCCTCGGCTTCCCAAATTGCTGGGATTACAGGTGTGAGCCAAGGTGCCCAGCCTGAAAACATAAATCCTAACTGGGAAGTTTGAAAAAGGTTTTGTAATGATAGTAGTGATTGTAAAAAAACATTACCACTACTGGGTATCCTCACTGTGCTATGTGTCTACTGCACACTGTCTTGTTTGATTCTCACAACAATCCCAGGAAGTTAGGATGACACCATTTTGTAGATGAGGAAACTCAGTGGCAAAATAACTTGATCAAGGTCACATAACTAGTAAATGGCAAAGCCCAGATTCATAGCCAGGATTGTTGAATTTCAGGTCTGGAAGAATCGATGGGCTCACGGTAATAGTCCATAGGATAATAGCTAACACTTATTGAGGCTTGTTACATGCCAAGCCCTGTTCTAAACATTTGTATGTGCTAACTCATTTATCACCTTGAGGGAAAGAAAAGGGGCAAGGAAGGACCACCAAGCCAATGAAAGAAAGAGCTTTTGCAAAACCTCTAATGTAAGTGACTAGAGCTCAAACACAGAGAACAAATGTCCCAGGATGACAAGCCCATTAGGAACACGGAAGGAAGTGTTCCCTTCCTACTGAGATGAACAAGAGCAGGAAAAGTGGAGATCTGTTGTTTTGACCTGTGACCACCCATTTTTTTTTGAGACAGGGTCTCACTCTGTCATTCAGGCTGGAGTGCAGTAGGGTGATATCAGCTCACTGAAACCTCCGCCTTCCAGGTTCAAGAGGTTCTCTTTCCTCAGCTTCCCGAGTATCTGGGATTACAGGTGTTTGCCACCACGCCTGGTGAATTTTTGTATTTTTAGTAGAGACAGGGTTTCTCCATGTTGGCCACACTGGTCTTGAGCTCCTGACCTCAAGTGATTTGCCCGCCTCAGCCTCCCAAAGTGCTGGGATTACAGGTATGAGCCACTGTGCCCAGCCCCTCTTCATCTACTTCTAACAATCCCTGTCTTCCTTTGGCTCAGGTAAGGCTAATTCTACTCACTGTGCCCCAGAAGGCACATGACTAAAGGATGATTTTATCCTCCTGGCCACAGAGACAGGTTTAGAGACAGGCCTATGACCCAAATCAAGCCAACAAGACTGGTTCTAGGAAAGGCACTCTGCCTTTGTGGGAGTTGCTAAGCTGGTTGACTGTAAGCCAGGAAACTTCTGGGGCCTCTACAGGAAGACAGGCTGCAAAGAATGAAGTCAACCTAGAGAAAAGCAGAGACAAGAAATGGCAGATGTATGAAAAGATGGAAATGGGGAAGAGAAGGATCCTGGATCCAGCCATGCCTGATCCAGTTTTACTCCTGGACTTTAAAATCCCTTCTTGCTCAAGCAAGTATGATTTTAGCTTCTTTTACTTGCAACCAAAAGTCTGGTCAAATACTGGTCAGGCCTCCTAGAGAAAATTGCACTGGAGCTGGCCAGGCAAACAGCTCCACATGGAAAAGGGCTTTCCTACTATAAGAGGCCAGGGAGCTGAGAGGGGGCAGGTGTTGATGAAGGGATTCTTGTGAGTAAGGGGTGAAGGAACAAGTGGTCGAATTCCATGGCCAAACATGCCTCCCTTCCCATCTCTGCAGTCCCAGGACTTGATACAACCCCAGAGGTGGGAGGGACTGAGTTGGGGCACTGTATTTAAGCTGGAGAGTCACATGAAGTGAATGCAGAAGTCAGAAAGCCTGAGGCACTGGGTGGATTGGATCCTGACTAGAGCCAGCCAAGATTTTAGGCAGGGAGCCAATGCCATGAAAGCCCACTCTTGGGACTATGTGTAGGTCAAAGAGAGGTGAGAGGTACCTGGAAAAAGGGCAACTGGTCAGACAGCTATTACAACAGGCCAGGGATGAGGCAACAGGACCAGAACTACAGGAGGGAAGGGAATGGATGGGAAAAAATCGTCAAGAATTTTGGCTCTGAAATCAGGGTAATCTGGATTCCAGCCCCATTGACTAGCTAGGCCATCCTGGACACACGACTCACAGCCAGAAACTCAATTTTCCCCATTTGTAAAACCGGCACAAGACCTACCAGGGTTGCTGTGAGCATTAGAAATAATGGACATCAATGGCTCATGGCAGGTCCAGGGCAGTGGCTAGTCCAGCTGGGACTCTTGTCTTCCTGCCCACAGTGAACCCTGCAGTTTAGTTGAGGTTAAGAAGTGCTGACTAGGCTGCTTGGAGCCAGGCCTCATTGGCCAGAGGTGAGTCAGATAAGTGTCCCTGATTTCCAAGAGCTCATACTCTGATGGAGGAGACAGGAAGAAAAATGGAGAATCTAAACTCGTGGAAATAGCTGGGAAAGAGGATGCAATTGAGGAGAAAGGGTAGGCAGGGCACTGGGGCTAAGACTGTGACCGGCAGAACCAAGGGCAGCAGGCAAAGCGCTTCGAGACTCTGCCTTCCCCCAACCAGATCCGAGGTCTCATCCCTCATAGAAGCGGCTCTCCCCATCCATGTTCAGGCTCTTGCTGCAGCACCCGAAGCGGAGCTCACAGAATACAGAGGCTGCTATGCCTATGGAAGGGTGGCAGCAGGAAACAGAAGCTCTCTGCAACCTGATGCCAGCAAGAAAGGAACAGAAGGAGGGGCAGCGGGAGCCAAGAAACAGCCCAGGACCCAAAACCAGGCCAGCCCTGGACGCAGAATAGGCTCCAGCTGGGACATGGAACAACTGCACCTGTCAAGGAGTGAACCCTCCATCACCAGAGACGGTGAGGCTCTTCCCTCCGGATCCTGGGCTGAGTTCCACCTTTTAACTTTAGTCCTCTCCTCTAAACCCGACAGAAGCACCTTGCTCAAAACTCAAACCTGGCAGCAAGGCCCCTCTCCAACCTAGCTCCAAGCTGGCTTTCGAATCTTCTCCTCCTCCTGCCCTACGCTTTCTCCTTTCCCGGCCTTTGCTCATACCATTCCTTCCACCCACACACCTTCGCCCAATCATTTCCTCCATTTCCCAATCGCTAGGCCCAGTTCCGCCTCCCGGAAGCCTTTCCTCCTTCTGAGACGCTGGGGCCTGGTGAGTTACCTGACTGTTGGGCACCTTTCTGTTAAGATTCTTGTTTTTGTTTTTTGTGTTTTTTTTTGAGAAGGAGTCTCGCTCTGTCGCACAGGCTGGAGTGCAATGGCGTGATCTCGGCTCACTGCAACCTCTGCCTCCCGGGTTCAAGCGATTCTCCTGCCTCAGCCTACCGAGTAGCTGAGATTACAGGCGCCCGCTACCACTCCCAGCTAATTTTTGTATTTTTAGTAGAGACGGGGTTTCACCATGTTGGCCAGGCTGCTCTCGAACTCCTGACCTCGTGATCTGCCCGCCTCGGCCTCCCAAAGTGCTGGGATTACAGGCGTGAGCCACTGCACCCGGCCTATCTTAGCATTCTTTATATCCGCCCCAGGTACCCGCACATGCCCTGCACACAGCTAACATCGGGGCAATGTTGTGCTCCTCTGTTGCCTTTGCCTGTTCTGTTCCCCCCGCACCTTTTTTTTTTTTTTTAATTTATTTGGTTCCAATCGCCCTCCAATGCCAGCTCTCCATGAAGTCCTGACTCCCTCCTGCACCGCACCTCCCTTGCTGCCTTAAGTCCCGCTGTCCCTGTCACCCGTGTTCCCGTGGCTCTGGGCCCCTGCCACGCCAGGCGTGCTCTTCTGTTTCTGGCTGTCCCACCGGCGATGCTGCGCTTCCACACCACCCGGCGCACAGGCGTTGGTAGATGTGGAAGGTACCAAGAGCGGCAGGAGGAAGGGGCGCGCGGACACCCAGCCCCTTCCCGCGCACCCAGAGCAGGAAGAGCAGCGCGCACCCGGTCAGCGACGCGGCGGGCTCCACTGTGGCGCGCGCACTCCGAGCACGGAGGGCTGCAGGCTCACGCCACCTGGCTCCGCGCCCATCCCAATCCGCACCCGCCGCCCAGGAACCGGGGCTCACCCTCCGCCTGACAATTGTCTCGGGGTGCCGAGGGTCCGTGGCCCGTTGCCCGGGAGGTGACCACTGAGGAGTCGCGCTGGGGATCGGACCAGGAACTCACTGCTTTCATTGGCTGCGGAGGTCAGACCGTCCCACCCTCTTCTCCCCGCCGCCGCGGCAAGGCCAGGGCGAAAGGGACAAGTGCGCTGCTGGGGTCCTCTGCGCTGTGCGGGTCCGGGACTCAGGGTTCCCGGCTGCTATCAAGGCTGCGTAGCTTCCCCCTCCCCTCCTCCTTAGGTGGCAACTTGTGGACACACCCATTAAGCGGTCAGGCGTCAGGTTTCCTCCCGAGAGGTGGGAGGCGCCCTGGCCTTGATTCATCGTGAAGCTAGGCAGGAGATTTCCCAGCCACGGAGGGTGGAAAGCTTGCCTTGACCTCAGCAGGTCATGTCACTCCGTGTGCACAAGGCCTCGAGAGGCACTTTTTAAAAATTTTTTGAGGCGGTTTTCTTTTTTGTCTTTGTCTTTTCTTTTTTTTCTGAGACAGAGACAGAGTCTCGCTCTGTCGCCCAGTCTGGAGTGCAGAGGTGCTTTTCAAAAATTTATTTGAGCTGCGCGGCAGTCCTGGGCGGTAGGTAGTGGTGAATCTCATGTATTCCCGTTGCAATGCCCTACTCCCAAATAAACATCTTTTCTTTGAGAGAGCCTTTCTCTGTTTGTTGTTTAGGTTGAGAGTTTAAAAACAGATAATAAAGCCGGGCGCGGTGGCTCACGCCTGTAATCCCAGCACTTTGGGAGGCGGGCGGATCACTTGAGGTCAGGAGTTCGAGACCAGCCTGGGCAACATGGCGAAAACCTGTCTGTACTAAAAATACAAAAATTAGCTGGGCGTGGTGGCAGGCGCCTGTAAACCCAGCTACTCAAGGAGGCTGAGGCAGGAGAATCGCTTGAATCCGGGAGGCAGAGGTTGCAGTGAGCTGAGATTGCACCATTGCACTCCAGCCTGGGCAGCAAAGGGAGACTCTGCCTCAAAAAAAAAAAAAAAAAAAAGAAAGAAAGAAAAAACAAAGAAAAGAAAACCGATAATAAGGAAAATTCACTGAAACCTTGCTCATTGTAATGAATGTTTGGAGGTAATTTAAATGTCTTTTAATAATAGACTAATTGAATGAATTAAGCTACACACAGATTAATGTGCATACACACACATTTATACACAACTAGTGTGTGTGTGTGTGTGTGTGTGTATATATATATATATATATTTTTTTTTTTTTTTTTTTTGAGACGGAGTCTCGCTCTGTCGCCCAGGCTGAAGTGCAGTGGCACCATCTTTGCTCACTATAACCTCGGTCTCCCGAGTTCAAGCAGTTCTCCTGCCTCAGCCTCCTGAGTAGTTGGAATCACAGGCATGTACCACCACATCCGGCTACTTTTTGTATTTTTAGTAGAGACGGGGTTTCACCATGTTGGCCAGGCTAGTCTTGAACACCAGATCTCAAATGATCCACCCACCTCAGCCTCCCAAAGTGCTAGGATTACAGGCATAAGCTACCACACCTGGCTTAATCCTATCTATCTGTCTATCTATCTATCTACCTATCTACCTACCTCTCCATCCATCCATCTTTTTAGAAGAGATGTGATCTTGCAGTGTTGTCCAGGCTCTGGGCATATATATTTCTTTTTTAACTTTATTATATTATTTTTTAATAGAGTTGTCATCTAAGATGTTGCCCAGGATAGTCTCAAACTCCTGTCACTTCATGTGTATTGAGTTTTAGTTTTGCAAGAGAAAAAAATTTTACAGATATGTTGCATAACAATGTAAATACACTTAACATGACTGAACTGTATAATAAAATATAAGATTCTAAATTTTATGTTATGTATTTTTACCACAATCACAATTTAAAATGACAACTAAAAGAGTTATAAACTTGTTCAAAATTTACCTACGAACCACAAAAGTATTTCTCTCACACTAAAATAATATAAACAATAAATAGATTTTAAAATTAAGACAATTTCCATGACTACTCACCTAGACAGAATCAAACATTATTGGCCACCAGCCAAGAATAAAAATATACAAATCATAAACAAAATGGGGTAATATTTATACAAGCAAACAAACACATAGATAATTATATTGACAATAGACATAGGGCTGATTCATATTTGACTTTTGTCCCACACTGTCTTAAGGTGTACAGAGTTGAATATTGTCATACAAAATTATAATATATAAATTAAAGCTAAAAACACAATAAGCTGATGTGAAGTGGACCACCCTAAAACACAAAATACAGAAATACAAAATTGCAAAACAGAGTTAAAACAAACATTAATCCAAAAAATTCTGATTTGTATACTGTAATTTGTAGAAACCAGAAACACAATGAACTCATGTGAGGCAGCCTACTCTAAAAAAAATACAGAAATATAAAATTACAAAACATAATTAAGATAAACTTTAACCCATAAAATCCTGAGTAAACATAGTGTTTATTCTAGATAACTACTTGTTTTTTTTTTTAGACGGAGTCTTGCTCTGTCACCTAGGCTGGAGTGTGGTGGCAGGATGGCAGCTCACTGCAACCTCCACCTCCTGGGTTGAAGCGATTCTCCTGCCTCAGCCTCCTGACTAGCTGGGATTACAGGCACCCACCACCACGCCCAACTAATTTTTGTATTTTTAGTAGAGACGGAGTTTCGCCATGTTGGCCAAGCCGGTCTCGAACTCCTGACCTAAAGTGATCCACCCGCCTCGGCCTCTCAAAGTGCTGGGATTACAGGCGTGAGCTGTCGCCCTGGCCAGATGACTACAATTTTCAATTTTGCCTGTGCAGCCATGAAGAGCATGAATTTTGAATCATTAGCCGACAGTTAGGGCAACAACATTTCAGAGAAAACACATTATAATTATTCATAAAGAGCTTTGATGAGAAAGTTTTAAGGAATAAAAATGTAAATAATACTAGAGAAACTTAAATTATACTGTTGATACATTGCTGCTCTTCTTACATAAAATAGTAAGGCTGTAATCTAGCCTTTAGAAGAAAAGTCTTACATTTCTAAATACAAGGACAATATAAATATAGTATGTAGGGTATAAAACATCGATATATAAAAAATAAGGAATAAGTTGTACTAACATTCAGATAAAGGTTTAGGAACATGGATGGAAATGCTAATAATAATATTCTGCCTATAATTAATTACACATACAGCCAAATATCTTAATAAATTATTAATTATATGTTACTTCATTTTAACATATACATTCAAGCATGTTATTTTAGCACTTTTGAAACCAAAATTACAGACAAATGTGACATATGACAATTCAGAAAGTGAAAACACAGCCATGGTAATCTTCATATTAAAGAAGACAGAAGTATAAAATAATAATTGAGAAATAAGGTAACAATTGGGAATTTACTATATGTATAACAATGTTCTAAGTTTTCTTATGACAAAAGTTTTTGCAGGAAATCTATGAAATGAGTACATGTAGTAAACTCCCTATAGTACAGGCTGTTGGCATATAGAGTTTAAATTTCCAAGATTAGGTCCTACTAGGAAAGAGAAAAATTTTAAGTAAATAATTTAATAAGACACTTTGTGCACATAAAATTTTTTAGTCTAATTTTTTTGTAGATTTATGTTTTAAACCTCCATAGGACTTGAAATTATATAGCAGAAAATGTGTCATCTGTCCCTGGTGTCCTGGAATTTCTTTGTTTCTTTTTTTGGACGGAGTTTTGCTCTTGTTGCCCAGGCTAGAGTGCAGTGGCACAATCTTGGCTCGCTACAATCTCGGGCTCCCGGGTTCAAGTGATTCTCTTGCCTTGCCTCCTGAGTAGCTGGGATTACAGGCGCCCGCCACCACACCTAGCTAATTTTTGTATTTTTAGTAGAGGGGGGTTTCACCATGTTGGCCAGGCTGGTCTTGAACTCCTGACTTCAGGTGATCCACCCCCTTCGGCATCCCAAAGTGCTGGGATTACACGTGTGAGCCACAGCACTTTCTTATGTTATTAAATCACCAGATTTCATTTAAAAAAAAATCACAGGGCATATAGAGAAGGCAGAAAATAGGCCCCACTTGAAGGAACAAAATAAATCTCCAGAAATTGAATCTTAAGAAGTAAAGATTTTTGCATATCTGATAAAGAATTCAGAATTATCATCTTAAGCATGCTCAATGAACAAAAAATAAAACACAAATAGACAACTAAATGAAATTTTAAAATAATGAGCAAAATGAGATATCAATAAAGAGATAAAAATTATTTTCAAAAAGCCAACAGATATTGTGGAGTTGAAAGATGCAATAACTGAGTTTTATAAATTCACTGCAGACACAACAGCAAACTTAATGAAGCAGAAGAAGGAATCAGGAAATTGAACATTATTCACAAGTATTGAGTCCTGGAAGCCAATTTTAAAAAATGATGAAAAAAATAAGGATGAAATATGAGACTTACTGGATACCATCAAGTAGACCAATATATTTATAAAAAGAGTCTTATGGCCGGGTGCGGTGGCTCACGCCTGTAATCCCAACACTTTGAGAGGCCAAGGTGGGCAGATCGCGAAGTCAAGAGATCGAGATCATCCTGGCCAACATGGTGAAACCCCATCTCTACTAAAAATACAAAAAGTGGCAGGCGTGGTGGCTCATGCCTGTAATCCCAGCACTTTGGGAGGCCAAGGCGGGTGGATCACGAGGTCAGGAGATCGAGACCATCCTGGCTAACACAGTGAAACCCCGTCTCTACTAAAAATACCAAAAAAATTAGCCAGGCATGGTGGTGGGCACCTGTAGTCCCAGCTACTCGGGAGGCTGAGGCAGGAGAATGGTGTGAACCCGGGAGGTGGAGGTTGTGGTGAGCCGAGATCGTGCCACTGCACTCCAGCCTGGGCAACAGAGTGAGACTCTGTCTCAAAAAAAAAAAAAAGAAAAAATACAAAAAGTGGCTGGGCATGGTGGTGTGCGCCTGTAGTCCCAGCTACTGGCGAGACTGAAGCAGGAGAATCGCTTGAACCTGGGAGGTGGAGGTTGCACTGAGCTGAGATCATGCCACTGCACTCCAGCCTGGCGACTGACTAAAAGTCTGTCTCAAAAAAAAAAAAAGTCTTATAAAAAGAATAAAAGAGCCTCTCCCTCTCCCTCTCCCCCCCTCCCCCTCCCCTCCCCCTCCCCCTCCCCCTCTCCCTCGTCTCCCTCTCCCCACGGTCTCCCTCTGATGCCGAGCTGAAGCTGGACTGTACTGCTGCCATCTCGGCTCACTGCAACCTCCCTGCCTGATTCTCCCACCTCAGCCTGCCGAGTGCCTGCGATTGCAGGCGCGCGCCGCCACGCCTGACTGGTTTTCGTATTTTTTTGGTGGAGACGGTGTTTCGCTGTGTTGGCCGGGCTGGTCTCCAGCTCCTAACCGCGAGTGATCTGCCAGCCTCGGCCTCCCGAGGTGCCGGGATTGCAGATGGAGTCTCGTTCACTCAGTGCTCAATGTTGCCCAGGCTGGAGTGCAGTGGCTGATCTCGGCTAGCTACAACCTCCACCTCCCAGCCGCCTGCCTTGGCCTCCCAAAGTGCCGAGATTGCAGCCTCTGTCCGGCCGCCACCCCGTCTGGGATGTGAGGAGCCCCTCTGCCCGGCCGCCCAGTCTGGGAAGTGAGGAGCACCTCTTCCCGGCCGCCATCCCGTCTAGGAAGTGAGGAGCATCTCTGCTTGGCCACCCATCGTCTGGGATATGAGGAGCCCCTCTGCCTGGCTGCCCAGTCTGGAAAGTGAGGAGCGCCTCTGCCCGGCCGCCATCCCATCTAGGAAGTGAGGAGCGTCTCTGCCCGCCCGCCCATCGTCTGAGATGTGGGGAGCACCTCTGCCCCACCGCCCTGTCTGGGATGTGAGGAGCGCCTCTGCTGGGCCGCAACCCTGTCTGGGAGGTGAGGAGCGTCTCTGCCCCGCCGCTCCGTCTGAGAAGTGAGGAAACCCTCTGCCTGGCAACCGCCCCGTCTGAGAAGTGAGGAGCCCCTCCGTCCGGCAACCACCCCGTCTGGGAAGTGAGGAGCGTCTCCGCCCGGCAGCCACCCCGTCCGGGAGGGAGGTGGGGGGGGTCAGCCCCCCGCCCGGCCAGCCGCCCCGTCCGGGAGGTGAGGGGCTCCTCTGCCCGGCCGCCCCTACTGGGAAGTGAGGAGCCCCTCTGCCCGGCCAGCCGCCCCGTCCGGGAGGGAGGCGGGGGGGGGGGGTCGGCCAGCCGCCCCGGCCGCCCCTACTGGGAAGTGAGGACCCCTCTGCCCGGCCAGCCGCCCCGTCCGGGAGGGAGGTGGGGGGGTCAGCCCCCCGCCCGGCCGGCTGCCCCGTCCGGGAGGTGAGGGGCGCCTCTGCCCGGCCGCCCCTACTGGGAAGTGAGGAGCCCCTCTGCCCGGCCAGCTGCCCCGCCCGGGAGGGAGGTGGGGGGGTCAGCCCCCCGCCTGGCCAGCCGCCCCATCCGGGAGGGAGGTGGGGGGGTCAGCCCCCCGCCCGGCCAGCCGCCCCGTCCGGGAGGGGGGAGGGGGGGTCAGCCCCCTGCCCGGCCAGCCGCCCCGTCCGGGAGGGAGGTGGGGGGGGTCAGCCCCCCGCCCGGCCAGCCGCCCCGTCCGGGAGGTGAGGGGCGCCTCTGCCCGGCCGCCCCTACTGGGAAGTGAGGACCCCTCTGCCCGGCCAGCCGCCCCGTCCGGGAGGGAGGTGGGGGGGTCAGCCCCCCGCCCGGCCGGCTGCCCCGTCCGGGAGGTGAGGGGCGCCTCTGCCCGGCCGCCCCTACTGGGAAGTGAGGAGCCCCTCTGCCCGGCCAGCTGCCCCGCCCGGGAGGGAGGTGGGGGGGTCAGCCCCCCGCCTGGCCAGCCGCCCCATCCGGGAGGGAGGTGGGGGGGTCAGCCCCCCGCCCGGCCAGCCGCCCCGTCCGGGAGGGGGGAGGGGGGGTCAGCCCCCTGCCCGGCCAGCCGCCCCGTCCGGGAGGGAGGTGGGGGGGGTCAGCCCCCCGCCCGGCCAGCCGCCCCGTCCGGGAGGTGAGGGGCGCCTCTGCCCGGCCACCCCTACTGGGAAGTGAGGAGCCCCTTTGCCCGGCCAGCGCCCCGTCCGGGAGGGAGGCGGGGGGGGGGGGGTCGGCCACCCGCCCCATCCGGGAGGGAGGTGGGGGGGTCAGCCCCCCTTCCGGCCGGCCGCCCTGTCCGGGAGGTGAGGGGCGCCTCTGCCTGGCCGCCCCTACTGGGAAGTGAGGACCCCTCTGCCCGGCCAGCCGCCCCGTCCGGGAGGGAGGTGGGGGGGACAGCCCCCCGCCCGGCCAGCCGCCCTATCCAGGAGGTGAGGGGCGCCTCTGCCCGGCCGCCCCTACTGGGAAGTGAGGAGCCCCTCTGCCTGGCCAGCCGCCCCGTCCGGGAGGGTAGTGGGGGGGTCAGCCCCCCGCCCGGCCAGCCGCCCCATCCGGGAGGTGAGGGGCGCTTCTGCCCGGCCGCCCCTACTGGGAAGTGAGGAGCCCCTCTGCCCGGCCACGACCCCGTCTGGGAGGTGTGCCCAGCGGCTCATTGGGGATGGGCCATGATGACAATGGCGGTTTTGTGGAATAGAAAGGCGGGAAGGGTGGGGAAAAAATTGAGAAATCGGATGGTTGCCGGGTCTGTGTGGATAGAAGTAGACATGGGAGACTTTTCATTTTGTTCTGTACTAAGAAAAATTCTTCTGCCTTGGGATCCTGTTGATCTGTGACCTTATCCCCAACCCTGTGCTCTCTGAAACATGTGCTGTGTCCACTCAGGGTTAAATGGATTAAGGGCGGTGCAAGATGTGCTTTGTTAAACAGATGCTTGAAGGCAGCATGCTAGTTAAGAGTCATCACCACTCCCTAATCTTAAGTACCCAGGGACACAAACACTGCGGAAGGCCGCAGGGTCCTCTGCCTAGGAAAACCAGAGACCTTTGTTCACTTGTTTATCTGCTGACCTTCCCTCCACTATTGTCCTATGACCCTGCCAAATCCCCCTCTGCGAGAAACACCCAAGAATGATCAATAAAAAAAAAAAAAAAAAAAAAAAAAAAAGAAAAAGGGGCCCAGGGGACAGGCATTCAGCATATGGAGGATCCACGCCAGCCCCGGCTGCTGCGTTCCCTTAGTATTTATTGCTCATGATCGGGCGTGACAGGATAATAGGATAATAGTGGAGAGGTCAGAAGGTAAACACGTGAACAAATGTCTCTGCACCATAAACAAGGTAAAGAAAAAAGTGCTGTGCTTTTGATGTGCATATACATAAACATCTCATTGCCTTAAGGAACAGTATTGCTGCCAGCATGTCCCACCTCCAGCCCTAAGGCGGTTTTCTCCTATCTCAGTAGATGGAATATACAATCAGCTTTACACCCAGACATTCCATTGCCCAGGGATGAGCAGGAGACAGAAGCCTTCCTCTTATCTCAACTGCAAAAAGGCGTTCCTTCCTCTTTTACTAATCCTCCTCAGCACAGACCTTTTACGGGTGTCGGGTGTCGGGCTGGGGGACGGTCAGGTCTTTCCCTTCCCACGAGGCCATATTTCAGACTCTCACATGGGGAGAAACCTTGGACAGTACCTGGCTTTCCTAGGCAGAGGTCCCTGCGGCCTTCTGCAGTGTTTTGTGTCTCTGGGTACTTGAGATTAGGGAGTGGTTTGAGATTAGGGAGTGGTGATGACTCTTAACAAGCATGCTGCCTTCAAGCATTTGTTTAACAAAGCACACCCTGCACAGCCCTTAATCCATTTAACCCTGAGTTGACACAGCACATGTTTCAGGGAGCACAGGGTTGGGGGAAGGGTTACAGATTAACAGCATCTCAAGGCAGAAGAATTTTTCTTAGTAGGGAACAAAATGGAGTCTCCTATGTCTACTTCTTTCTACACAGACACAGTAACAATCTGATCTCTCTTTCTTTTCCCCACAATGTGGTTTTGGGCGCCTGTAATCCCAGCTACTTGGGAGACTGAGGCAGGAGAATTGCTTGAACTTGGGAGGCAGAGGTTGCTGTGAGCCGAGATTGTGCCACTGCACTACAGCCTGGGCGAAAAAAGCAAAACTCCGTCTCAAAAAAAAAAACAAAACACTTGTGATTTGGGGGTTTTGTGGAAATTTAATTACGATGAAAAATCTGTATCTTTTTTGTAATGTTGGCATACTTGGGTAATTTTGTGGCAAATATATTTCCCAGTGGACCTTTTGTTGGTGGCACTAACTGCAAGGTTGCTGGGAAAGTGGAGTCTGTTTGGTGGATGAGCTCTGACTGCCGTTTTGGAACCTCACCTCTACTCATGCTGTCTCAAGTCCTTGTCTCATTCTCCAGCTCTCAGTTCAAATAAAGTTATTTCTCCTGGGAAAAAAAATTCCGTGAAACGCACACTGGATGACAGTGCTGAAGTTGGGTGCCCTGGGAAGTCCTCAGGACACCCCTGCATGAAGGCTGCCCCAGGAGAGCAGCGCAAGGTTGTGGAGGTCTCAAAGCTCTGAAGAACCTGCCTACCGAAGACAGGAGTGCCCACAAAACAGTTGGCCCATGGGCTCCCCAAGACCTACGTGTACCTCGGAGGCATTTGGCAGAAGATTCTTTGTGAACAAAAATCTCTGCCCACTAGGAGGCAGGAGTGTGTGTGTGTGTGTGTGTGTGTGTGTGTGTGTGTGTGTTGAAACCAGAACTCCACCTTATGTGTTCATTGTGGAATTTGAAAATGGAAGCCTAAAGTTGAAAATTAAAATCACCCGTGATAGCTGTAAACTATTTTCTGTGCTAGATGGGTTGTTCCAGGGTGCGGGGTCCTGGTAACACCCTTCTTTCTCCCTTCCTGAAAGAGTTACACATACTGCTCAAGGCCTGAATCCACAGGTACCATGTCCAAGCCCTGCTCAAGAGCCTGGGCCCATCTGCCACCTTCAGCAGAGTTGACTGAAGCTGCTTGTCCTTCTTGAGCATTTTCTCCAATGGTGACCTGAGAGGGGTGGGAGGTATTGGTGTCAGGACTGAACGGAGGGAAAAGGAGCATGGAGGCCAGGGGCTGAAGACCAGGCCTTCCAACCTGGAGGGGCCTGGCCCTGAGACACCCAGACCAGGGTCACATTTAGGTAGAAAGACAACTGGCCCTGGGTGGCCCTGTGCTGACCACCAGCCCCGGGTTCCTCACAGATATACAGTTATCATAGATATTCAAACAGTGGGAATTGGAAGAATGGCTTGGAGATGGGCCCTGTCAACTGTGGGTCACTGAGCACATCCTGCCAGGGACCCAGGAGGGGCCATTGTGTCTCTAGAACCATGACTGGAAGGTGGAACTCCCACGGTGAGCAAGGAAGAGGGTCCTCGTTGGGTTGGAGGGCCACACACCAACAAGCCTGGCTTATTCAAGCTTGGCCATTCCTGAAGCACTTCCAGTGCCTACCATGAGCAGTAGGAACCCACCCACTGGGAACTGCAAGATGCATGGAGACCTCATGTATCCGTTTGTAATTACAGCCAAGGGCCAGTGAGGCAGCATCACTGCATCCACATGGGGCTTTTACTGCAACCAGTAAGTCTCTGCCAGCCCCCCACAGGCTCCTGGGATGCCACTTGTTCTGGGTCTGTGGACAGACAACCAGGGCACTTACTTAGTGCCCACCCACTCCTTGTAGGCCCATAGCCTATCACTCAAACCCGAGCCCACCAGCCCCGGCTTCCCAAGCCATTCCCACTGGAGCTGCTCAACCACATCAGCCTGAACTTTACAAAACCCTTTGTCATGCCATAGAAAAAAAGGTGATGGCTTTGTCCCACTGCCCCTGCCTTGTGTCATGTCATGTGGGGGTATGTGATGAACTGGCCAGCCTAACTCCAGTGCTTCTGCCCAAAAAACTGCCCCCACTGCCTGAGTCCCCTTCTAGGGAGCTGTCAGTCAATGTGGGAGAGAGCAGCCCTGGGAGGGACCCCATCTGCTTCTGACTTCAGTGCCAAGAAGAACCTAGAGCAGGTAGAGGTGTCAGAGAAGAAGCCTGCGGCAGGGCTCTGAGCTTGGTGGGCTGTGTATCTCCCTCTCCACTGCCTGCCATGGGGCCTAGCACCACACATTCAAGAGGAAAACCATCCCATTCCAGGTGTGCAGCTGGACTGCTCCCCGGGCAAGGGCTCCCATGACACTGCGTGCTCACAGAGGATGTCTACACCTTGAGGCTGAGCTATGAGGAGAACATTCCTGAACAGGTGCATGCAGACTGGCCCTGCCCTCACTGGGAACCCCCTTCCTCCTGGGTGCCAGACAGAATTCTGTGCCCTTTTATGGAGGCTCCATGCTGGTCAGTTCATTTGGAAGTCTAAGGCTATCAATGAAGAGGTTAAAAAAAAAAAGAGAGAGACAGACTTCTCAGAGCAGGTTGTGGGGCACAGCCTGAGCCCTTGTCTTCCTGGTCCTTCTGCAGACCTGGGATTGGAAGAAGGAGCTGCAGATAATGAGGGAACTGCTCTGCCAGAACTGGCCTAAGCAGCTGCTTCAAGAAAGAGCCATAATCAAGGTGCTTATATCCCCTGGTGACTGACTGGCAGCCTCAGGCCCACCTGCCATCTGCGGGCAGGCTTTCTTGTGGACAGGATGAAAGCAAGGAAAGCTGGAATGAGCCCAGCCCTCTCAGGCATCCTGAATGCTGTCTAGGGTTTCCTGCAAGGCCTTCTAGCCTTCTGCTTCCTGGCAGGCCACCCATGCACCTTTTTCTGGCCTCTTTGAGACCTTGATTCCCTGGAAGGAGAGGACTGTACTTCCACTGTGCTGAGTGGCCAGGGCCATCCAGCTTCCCACCCTCTACTAGCAACCATGGGGCTCTCACTTGGGCACACACTGCCTAACCATGCCCCTTCCAAGGCAGAAGCTCATTTATCTTACACTTTCAGCTTACTAGAACTTAAAAGTTATCAATGCTGTTATTAAGGTAGAGAAATGATGGGGGGAAGGTTACTTTCTGAGTATTCCCATGTTGGGTGCAGGGAGTAGGGAGGCAAGTCAGGGCCTGTGGTTGTGCCTTTTGCTGTGCCTGAGGGCAGGCAGGCAGGCCAGGGCTGGGCACATGAATGTCTGGGGGTCCACCACTGCTGACTCCCTCCCCCTCACTCGGAGCTATAACCAGGCCAATCCATAATCTTATCATGGAGATCATCAGCACAGGTGGGGCTGCCGAGGATGCTGGGGGAGAGTTCCCAGCCTGTCCTGGCGGCCAGTCCTTGCCAGGGGTGGCTCATAACTCAGCCTCTGAGAGAAGCAGGCAGACATCTCTGCAGGAAGCTGGGCGGTTGTGGCTCAGGGCAGCCCAGCCCCCACTGATGGTGGAGTGGAACTACCTCCCATCAGGCTGTGTCTCCACAGCCCACCCTTGGAGCCAGGAGGTGATTTCCCGTGTGTGCAAAGCAGTCAGCTCCATCAGATGCATGGCCTTCAACATTCAATTCAACTCGGACATCTCACCAGAGAAGCAATGGGGACCGGCCAGTGTAAAAGCCCTGCAAAGTTGGACAGAGCCTCACGCTGGGGGGTCTGGGGTCCTCAGTGCTGGCGGGCCTGTCTGCCCATCTGAGCACTGCTCCGTGGGACTGTGTTCGCGGCCTCCTGAAGGAGGGCTGTGGGCTCCTCAGTGAGGTCCTGAGCCTGTGGAACATGCCTGAGGCCACGCTCATGGGGACTTGCACCTACGTGCACCTCCTTGACCATCCCACTACATTATGAGTGACTGTGCCAAGGTGGGTGTCGAGCACCCTCTGGGCTGTATCAGCAAAGGCCTTTGGGCCTGGCCTGGGATTGAAGGATGGCAAATGAGGGGTCTGGGGTTGCATTGTCACCCCACATGGTAGCAGGAAATGAGAGCGTCCAGGCCTACAGGACTGGAACCTTATCGAGGGGGTTAGGAGGCTGTTCACTTCCCCCCCGGGCCCATGTGGAAGATCGGAGGGAGTCTAGGGGGACCCTGGGGAGACACTTGTTCTGTCTGGCATCCCCCAGCTCCACCCTTTGATAACCATTTCCTTGGGAGAGCTGAGGAACCTCTTGTGCTCCATTGAGGCAGGGCCTCACCTCACACGGTATTGGCAAGGAGGCATTCTGAGACTCTGAATGAGAAGCTAGCACAGTGCCTGACAAGTACTCATGGGAGCTGTCATCCTCTGTAACCATCACGTGGCCTTATAGTGTTCAGACTGCCTGGCCTGGGGCTTGGTGAGGCTGTTTGGGGATCAGCTAATTTAGGCTCCCACTCTTTCCTCAATCAGTGTCTCTGTTTGGTGTTTGTTTATTTATGGGTTTTAAAAAACCTAAGATTTCATTTATAGTAGTTTCAAGCTTGTATGTATTTGTATAGATTTTATTAGAAGGAAGAGGGCTTAAGGAAACAACATTTTTGGCCATGCGTGGTGGCTCATGCCTGTAACCCAGCATTTTGGGAGGCTGAGGCATGCAGATCACCTCAGGTCAGGAATTTGAGACCAGCCTGACCAACATGGAGAAACCCCGTCTCTACTAAAAAAAATACAAAAATTAGCTGGGCATGGTGGCACATGCCTGTAATCCCAGCTACTCGGAGGCTGAGGCAGGAGAATTGCTTGAACCTGGACGGCAGAGGTTGCGGTGAGCCGAGATCACGCCATTGTACTCCAGCCTGGGCAAGAAGAGTGAAACTCTGTCTCACGAAAAAAAAAAAGAAAACAGAAAAAGAAAAGAACATTTTTAGAAGTTCTCAGTGGGGCATAGACTTCCATGTCACAAATGCTAATGTTGACCTTCTCTTGCTGCCTTTGTGCAAAGTATATATAGGAAGTGCAGCCAGAGGTGACAAGGCTCAGTGTCTAGAGCCGTGCTGCTTGGGCTTGCTTGCTGGCCTGCGACCAGGTGAACTCTGGGTGTGAGGCCGTGCCCATCCTGGATCTACAACCCCCACTCCCTCTCCCAGGCCCTGTGTAAACAACACAAGGCAGTGCTAATGAGCAGGCTAGTAATGGGCCTCAAGCACCCCAATACCATCCAGGAAGATCTGAATGCCATCTGTGGCTGGGGCTGTGTGGAGACAGGGGCTGTGGCTGCCTTGGCTTGTCATGGCCCACCACAGACGCACCTGTCCTGTGCTGCTTCGCCAGCAGCCAGCTGTCCATGGCCCTGAGCCTGTCACACCATGCTTGCTACATCATGCTGCTCTTGTGTGAAAAAATTATCCTGAGATGGCGCTGCTGGATGTTAGTGCTGGAAAGGCGGCAGCACCTTTGTCCTGGGGGATCAGGAACTGACCAGATCCTTCCTGACTGCCCCCCAGAACAAGTGGGGGCTGGTGCTGCATTGAATGATGACCCCCCCGAAATGCGTTTGCACTGGCTCAGTGAATACACAATGCAGAGGCCTAAAATGAAGACACATGAATCGTATTATGTGGAGATCAGCTTGCAGCTGGGAAACAGGTGGCTCTCAGGTATCTCATCTTCCCCAGCAAGTGTGGAATGTGTCCATGCCCATGGTGTGTGATCTGCCCTTCTTAACTTGTACACAACTCCAGGTCAGTTCTGAGTGAAGGACATGCAGATGAGATTTCTCAGGTCATTTGTATGTTTGACATTATGGCTGCTGCTTTTGCTGCCACTGCCCCTAGGCCCAACCTGGCTTAAAGTCTAGGCTTTAGGTAAAAAAGGTGGAGGGCTTCCTGTATCCTGTGATGGGAAGTCAGATATCCCTGGGGGTTGGGGTGCACTTTAGTTTTGTGGCAGGATGAGAGCTGCAGTGATTTTATTAATTGTGATTGGCCTGGCCAGGGTGTAGCTCTGGGTGAGGGGGAGGGAGTCAGCGGTGGTGGTCCCCCAGACATCCATGTGCCCAGCACTGGCCTGTCTGCCCTCAGGCACAGCAAAAGGCACAACCACAGGCCCTGACTTGCCTCCCTGCTCCCTGCACCCCAGATGGGAATACTCGGAGGCTACAATCTGAATGTATTTTTCTCCCGTTTTAATCCGAACTGCCTAACACACCGTGGAGATAGGATGGGTGAGGGGCTTTGGGGGAACCAGGGCAGAATCATGGATCCTGGGGGAAAGTTAAAGATACAGGAGTGGTTTTCACCTCTCTGTGGAGCCCAGCTCTCTACCTAGTCATTGCCACACAGCACCTTTACAGAGACTAGCTCTGCGGTGATTGGGAATCCCAACAGCCCCGGGCTGCTCCCTGTCCCCTGCTGCCTGTGCTCCTTCCCTTGCCCTTCAGAGCCCACATGAAGGAGGAGGTTGCCACCCTGTGAGCCTGAGAGAGCTGTGTCTGATTGGAGCTTCTGCCTGGGGTATTGCAAAGAGCCACTTATGGGTATAGTGTGTCCAGATACCTTGTTTCAAGAAGAATGGATGCAAGCTAGCAAGTGTAGCATCCCCACAGCTGATAAATATGTGTTTCTTATTTTTAAACCATCACATCTTTATATCACATTAGAATAAAGTTTTTAAAACCTGCTGCTCCAGCCTCACCTGTGTGTTCTGTAACCCAATCTCACAATCAAACTGGGTTTGATTGTGAGTGCTGTTGTTAGAAATGTTACTAAGAGAGGAATATGTATAAATTAGATCAAATTTAAGGTTATTCTTATAATGCCACTTGAGTGGAAAGTAAGAGGGTGGAGTCACAGGCACTCAGTTGGGGTTTACCCACCTTCCAGTTACTAGACTCATGAGGGTGTGGCACAGGTGAACCTGTCATTGGTGACAAAAGGAAAAAGGCTGGTGGGGAGGGGGTGCTAGGCTGTGGGGCTAAACCCTGGGCATGTTGGACCTGTGAGGTCCCTAAACATCTAACTGGCTGGGTACCTGCCCTTGTCAAGGTACCCTCGAGGGTACCTGCCCTCAGGTGAACCTGAGGGACAGAGCCTGTGAAGTAAGAGGGACTGTGTGGAGGTGGCCTGTCCCTATGAGAGGGGGAGTTTAAGGCTCATTACAGCTGGTGGCTGCTGCTCAGCCATCCCTCTGAAGAGCAGGCAGGTCCTCAGCCGCATATATAGTTCAATGCCTTTTAGAGTGTTTAGAGAGTCCTTCATGTTTTAGAAATTCTAAAAACAACAACAACAACAAATTCCAATTCTAATGTCTGTTATTTTCCCTGTGCCAACTGGAAAAAAGATGTCCTTCACCTTGAAGTCTTAAGTGACACCCAAGGATAGCCATCAGTGTCTTGGCCATTGAAGCCTCACGTATGCTCTCTTCCACCAGTTTGATTTGCAGCCTCATGGTTGTGTTGTACTAAATATACTTTCCTCTGGCCTTGTCCACATATATAGGTGTGTGTGTATATATATGTGTGTGTATATGTGTGTGTGTGAATATATCTTAGTCTTTCTAAGATGAGCATATTGCCTGGTCGTGGTGGCTCACGCCTGTAATCCCAGCACTTTGGGAGGCTGAGACAGGCGGATCACTTGAAGTCAGGAGTTCAAAACCAGCCTGGCCAACATGGCAAAACCCTGTCTCTACTAAAAATACAAAAAAGTTAGCTGGAGGTAGTGGCAGGCGCCTGTAATCCCAGCTACTCAGGAGGCTGAGGCAGGAGAATCGCTTGAACCCGGGAGGTGGAGGTTGGAATGAGCTGAGATCAAGCCACTGCACTCCAGCCTGGGCAACAGTGAGACTCTGTCTCAAATAAAAAAAAAAAGAAAAAGAAAAAGAAAAAAAGAAAAAAAAAGCATATTTGGGCAACATAATTCTTGCTTATCCGTTCCCAGCCCCCGCTGCCCCTCCATTTCTAATAGCCATCCCACGTTGTGGTCAGCAGTGTGGTACAGCATGCTGAGAGAGGAGCTCAGGGATGGGATAAGGGTCTTTCCTGCATTATCCAAATGATTAGAAAGTTGTTAAAAAGGTGTCCAATTGTTCTACTTTCTACTTTTAAATAGCTAATAAGATGCATTATACAAGCAGACCCAGGTAAGGGAAAAAGCAAGTGCATTTCAAGGCTCAGCTCACTTCTTAATTAGCTGTGATACCCGGGGCGTGTGACTCCGCCTACAGGATCCTGTTTCCCTGTCCATAAAGCGCACTAATGCTGGGGACGGTGGGTGTGGGGGAGGGTCCTGGAGCCTTATTCAATCTGTCAGAGTAGGAACCGTCCTATCAGGCACGCAGTTGGGGAGGAGGGCGTGGCTTCCAGCGTTTGGCGCGGCCTTTGTCTCTGGCTCAGGCCGGAGCCTGAGATCCATCTCTACTGTCCCGCGTGTTGCCCCTCGGGAGCACTAGGTGACTTTGTCACATCCTCTGTTGCCCTGAGATCTGGAGGTACTGGGAAATGCATAGCTAAGATGCCAGGACATCCTGGAAACCAGGAAATGGTGAGTACGCGGGGTTGGGCATCCCAAGAGGGGAGAGTGGGCTGGTTGAAACCAGCGGAACCGGCCTCCCCACGGTCAGCTCCCGGGTCCACAGACCTGAGTCCCCGTTGGCGCAGCTGGGCCCTCAGTACCCCCGGAGAGTGGGGTGGGGGGCGGTGCAAGACGGCAGCTGAGCCAGCGGACTTTGACCCCTCACCGTCCTCTTCCCGCGCCGCGACCTGCCTGAAACTCTCTGGGCAGCGCTGCACCCGCAGCCCCGACTCTCTCCCAGATTGTTCAGGGATGACAGAGGGTCATTAGAGCAGAATCCCGACTCGGTGGGTGCGTGGGAGGAGCTGCGGCCAGTGGGGTCCCCAGTGTCTCCTGTTAAAAAAATTTTTTTTTGAGATGAAGTCTCGCTGTCACCCAGGCTGGAGTGCAGTGGCGCGATCTCGGCTCACTACAACCTCCACCTCCCAGGTTCAAGCAGGAGGACATTGTACAGTGCCTCCTGGGAAGGAGGACACTCCTTGAGTAATTTAATGGGCAGGATGGGGATGGGAGAATGTTTTGAGGGATACCATGGTCTGACTTGACAGTTGAGTCAGACATGTTTGTGTTCCCATCAGCGCTGCCGCTCCCTGAGTTTGTCACCTTGGAAAGACTTTTTCACTTGTTTCCACTTCAGTTTTTCAATAACTGTAAATTACGTTTCGTCAATAGAGCTGAAAATTTTTTTAAAAAGTCAAAGACCATGAAAGGTGGATTTCAGAAAAATCTAGTCATATATTTTATTTGTTAAAAATGCTTCTTTACCTTTATCTTCCTCAGAGTGAGTGTAGTAAGTTTGTTATGTCCGTTCTTTTTGGGTGGTGATTTCAAACAGGATTCCAAGGCTTTGTTTGGGAATGCTACCAGGGAAAAGAAATAGGAAAAATCACTTTTTCATTATGGCTATAGAAAGTGAACACATTTCCCCAAGAAAATGTGAAAGATTAATTGATGAAGTGCATATATTTGTCAAAACATCAGCTCCCCTTTTTTGCAGGGTCTAAAATTTGTAACAGTAGATAACTCTGTTGTGTATTCTGTTGTCTAAATGTCCAAGTTTAATGTTAAATTTTATGAGATAGAACTTGGCACCTTCTAGAAATGTTCATATATGGTTGTTTATTAAACTATTTATCATGAAAGTATGTAAGTGGCATGCTTAATGTCTGAAAGAGATAGAGACTTCAGCTTTTCCTGTTGAGGTATAAAATTTAAGTGCCTTACTATTTCCTTACAATATTCTATAAACACTGTGTTTGAGTGATTTTGCTGTTTTCTTTAAACACTGGGCATTAGTTTTAAACTAAGATTAGTCAGAAAAGGGCTTTCTTTCATAAGGAGGAGCAAACTACTAGAAGGTGAGAAAAAAATGTGGGAGGGGGAGGAAGGGATAAAACATGGTGAAATCAGATCCTAGATCAGAGAGTGTTTTACCTAGAAGTCAGCCTGTTCTTAAGAGGGACATAAGGAGGGGTTGTAAGGTTGGGTCAAAGTTTGGGGGCCTGGGGAAGGAAAGAAACTTAAGAAAAGTTTGGTTAACAAGTAGTTTGTTCTGTCCACTAGAGACAAACTTATTTAATTGTTTATGAGACAAAAAAATAAAAATAAATGGGAATTTAGAGAGTCTCTGGCTTTGGGATATCAAAAACAGGAAGGGTGTTTCTTAGCAGTGAGATGCTCTTGAAAAGCACAAAGAATGGGGGATTTCTTTAATCACAGCTGCTATCTACCCACCCCATCTTCTCCCACCACTTTTCCTTGCCTTGTACTTTTTTTTCATTTGGCTCTTGTTGATTTGTACCTTTCATAATAAATTGGTAAATGCAAGTATAGTGTTTTGCTGAATTCTGTGAGTAGTTGTATCAAGTTATTGAACTTGAGAAGGAGGTTATGGGAGCCCCCAATTTATATCGGAACTCTCCCTCCCTCCACCCCTCTAACAGGCCCCAGTGTATGTCGTTCCCCTTCTGTGTACATGTGTTCTTATTGTTCACCTCCCAATTATAAGTGAGAACATGCAGTGTTTGGTTTTCTGTTCCTGTGTATTAGTTTGCTGAAGATAATGGCTTTCGGCTCCATCCATGTTCCTGCAAAGAATATGATCTTGTTCCTTTTTATGGCTGCATAGTATTCCATAGTGTGTAAAGCAATTGCAACAAAAGCAAAAATTCACAAATGGGATCTAACTAAATTAAAGAGCTTCTGCACAGCAAAAGAAACTATCATCAGGGTGAACAAACAACCTAGAGAATGGGAGAAAATTTTTGCAATCTATCCATCTAACAAAGGTCTGGTATCCAGAATCTACCAGGAACTTAAACAAATCTACAGGAAAAAAAACAACCTCATTAAAAAGTGGGCAAAAAACATGAAGAGACACTTTTCAAAAGAAGACATTTATGTGGCCAACACACATGTGAAAAAATAGCTCAACATCGAGATTATTAGTGAAATGCACATCAAAACTGCAATGAGATAACATCTCATGCCAGTCAGAATGGCGATTATTAAAAAGTCAAGAAGCAACAGATGTTGGTGAGGCTGTGGAGAAATAGGAATGCTTTTACACTGTTGGTGTGAATGTAAATAAATTTAATCATTGTGGAAGAGAGTGTAGCTATTCCTCAAAGATCTAGAACCAGAAATAACATTCGACCCAGTGATCCCATTACTGGGTATATACCCAAAGGAATATAAATGATTCTATTATAAAGATACATGCATGTGTAGGTTCATTTCAGCACTATTCACAATAGCAAAGACATGGAATCAACCCAAATGCCTATCGATAGACTGGACAAAGAAAATGTGGTGCTTTTTTATTTTTTATTTGAATGCCTTTGTTTTCTTCTTTTTACCTGATTGCTCTAGCTTGATTCCTCAGTACTATGTTGAAGAGAGGTGGTGAGATTTGATATCCTTGTCTTCTTTCTGATACTAGAGAAATAATTTGTTGCATTTCACTCTTGAGTATAATGGGATCTGAGGCCTTAATGTATATGGTCTTTATTGTGTTTTAATGCATGCTTTTATATGTACATTGTTGGGAGTTTTTATCATAGAAGTGTATTAAATTTTGTCGAATGCTTTTAATAAATTTTTTGAGATAATTATATAATTTTCATTCTTCATTTTGTTATTGTATATTATTTTTAATGATTTGTGTATGTTGAAACATTCTTGCATCCTGGGGATGAGTCCTACTTGATCATAGTGTATGATCCTTTTAATATGTTGTTGAATTCAGTGTCTAGTATTTTGTTGAGAATTTTTTCTGTATCTTCAAAGGGATATTTGCTTATAATTTTCTTTTCTTGTAGTGTCCTTATCTGGCTTCAGTATGAGGGTACTAATGGCTGCCTCAAGTGAATTTGGAAGTGTTTTTTCTCTTCAATTTTTGGAAGAGTTTGAGAAGGACTGACATTAGTTCTTCCTTAAATGTGTGATGCAATTCACCCATGCAGTCATTTGGTCACGGAATTTTTTTTTTTTTTTTTTTTTTTTGAGACAGTCTGGCTCTGTCCCCCAGGCTGGAGCGCAGTGGCACCATCTCAACTCACTGCAAGCTCCGCCTTCCGGGTTCACGCCATTCTCCTGCCTCAGCCTCCTGAGTAGCTGGGACTACAGGCACCCGCCACCACGCCCTACTAATTTTTTTGTATTTTTAGTAGAGACAGGGTTTCACCATGTTGGCCAGGATGGTCTCCAACTCCTGACCTCGTGATCCGCCCACCTCGGCCTCCCAAAGTGCTAGGATTACAGGCTTGAGCCACCACGCCCGGCCGGTCATGGGATTTTTCAAAATTGGAAGTATTTGGTTACTGCTTCAATCTCCTTCCTCATTATTGATCTGTTCGGTATTTCTTTTTTTTTATAATTTAATCTTGGTGGGTTTGTTTCTAATAATTATTTCTTGAGTTATCAAATTTGTTGTCATATAATTGCTCATAGTAGTCTCTTATTATCTTTTGCATTTCTGTGGGATCTTTTGAAATAACTTAATTTTTTATTTATAATTTTTTTAAGTCCTCTCTCTTTTTGTTCCCTGGGTTAATATAGCCAAAAGTTTGTCAATTTTGGTTCTTTAAAAAACTCAGCTCAATTAAAAAAAAATTTCTATTGTCTTTCTAGTCTCTGTTTACTTTCTTTTTTCTCTAATTCTTGATATTTTTATAATTAAGCTAACGTTGGAATTATTTTGGTCTTGTTCAAGTTTTTTGGGAGTTAAAGTTAGGTTGTTTACTTAAATCTTTCTTTTTTTATTAGTGTAGGAGTTTATTATTATAAACTTCTCTTAGAACTGCTTTTGTTGTATCCCAGAAATTTTGGATCCTTGTGTGCTCAATTTTATTTGTATTGGGGTGCTTTCCTTTTTCCCTTTTGACTTCTTCTTTGAACCCCATTGGTTGTTTAGGAGCATGTTGTTTAATATCCACATATTTGTGAGTTTTCCAATTTTCTTCTTGCTATTGGTTTCCAGTTTTATACCATTATAGTCAGAATAAAAACTTGACATAATTTTAACCTTCTTAAATTTGAAACGCTTGTTTTTTATTTTTGGTTTAATATATAATCTCTCCTGGAGAATATTTTATGTATTTTTGAGATAAATGTGTATTCTTATACTGTTGGGTGAAATGTTATATTTATATCATCTATTTAGTCTATAGTGTTATACAAGCACACTTCTTTTTTTGAAGATTTCTGTTTGAATAATCTGTCTGTTTCAAGTAGGGTATTAAAGTTTTCTGTTATTGTATTCCTATCTACTTCTCCCTACAGTTCTGTCAATATTTGCTTTATATATTTAGAAGCTCCAGTGAGAATATATAAATTCTTTTTTTTTTTTGAGACAGAGTCTTGCTCTGTCACCCAGACTGTATGTAGTGCAGTGTCGCGATCTTGGCTCATTGCAATCTCTGTCTCCTGGGTTCAAGCAATTCTCCTGCTTCCGCCTCCCGAGTAGCTGGGACTACAGGTGTGCACTGCCATGCCTGGCTATTTTTTGTATTTTCAGTAGAGACAGGGTTTTGTGTGTTGGCCAGGCTGGTCTCAAACTCCTGACCTTGGCCTCCCAAAGTGCTGGAATTATAGGCATGAGCCACCGCGCCCAGCCAAGCATATATATGTTTAATCATAATATCCTCTTGACAAATTAGCCTCTTTATTATTATATGGAGAACTCATTTGACTCTTGTGGTAGATGTTGCCAGGAGGTCTATTTTGTCTAATTTAAGCATAACTACTAATACACTTCTTTGGTTATTACTTGCATGGAATATCCTTTTCCATCTTTTCACTTACAGCTTGTGGTTGTCCTTATAGCAAATGCTAGTCTCTTGTAAGCAGCATATCATTTGTCTTTAAAAAAATTTATTCATCCTGTTTTAGTCTATTTTGTGCTGCTATACCAGAATATCACAGACTAGGTAATTTATAAAGAGTATAAGTATTTGGCTTATGATTCTGGAGGCCAGGAAGGCAAAGAGCATGACACTGACATCTGTTAAAGGCCTTATTGCTGCATGATAACATAGCCAAAGGTATGAGGGAGAGAGAGAGCTTCCTTTTATAATGGACCCCCTCTTGTTATAATTAATAAATTCCCGTGATAAGGACATCAATCCATTCATGAGGGCAGAGTGCTTATGGCCTAATCAATTCTTTTTTTTTTTTTTTGAGATGGAGTCTTGCTTTGTTGTGTAGGCTGGAGTGCAGTGGCACAATCTCAGCTCACTGCAACCTCTGCCTCCTTGGTTCAAGCTATTCTCCTGCCTCAGCCTCCAGAGTAGCTGGGACTACAGGTGTGAGCTGCCACGCCCGGCTAATTTTTGTATTTTTAGTAGAGACGGGGTGTCACCATATTGGCCAGGCTGGTCTCAAACTCCTGACCTCATGATCTGCCTACCTTGGCCTCCCAGAGTGCTGGGATTACAGGCGTGAGTCACTGCACCTGGGTTTTTTTTTTTTTTTTTTTTTTGAGATGGAGTTTCAGACTTGTCACCAAGGCTGAAGTGCAATGGTGTGATCTCGGCTCACAGCAACCTCCGCCTCCTGGATTCAAGTGACTCTCCTGCCTCAGCCTCTCAAGTAGCTGGGATTATAGGTGCCCACCACCACGCCTGGCTAATTTTTGTATTTTTAGTAGAGACAGGTTTTCGCCATGTTGGTCAGGCTGGTGTCCAACTCCTGGCCTCAGGTGATCCACCTGCCTCGGCCTCCCAAAGTGCTGGGATTACAGGCGTAAGCCAGTGTGCCTGGCCAGGCCTAATCAATTCTTAAAGGTCCTGCTTCTTAATACTATCATAATGGCTATTGAATTTTAACCTAAAATTTAGAGATGACATTTTCTGTAGCAGTGTCTGTTTATTGGATAATTTAATCTCTTTATATGTAAAATAGTGATAGATTACTATTAATAAGTTTCCATTAATAAGTTATTATTGTGGTTTTGTTGTTTTCTGACTATCTAAAATTTGTTTGTTTTTTCTTGTCTTATCTTTCCTGTGGTTTTGTTCATTTTTGTTGAGACAGGGTCATGCTTTGTTTCCCAGGCTTGCGTGCCTGGCATGATCATAGCCCTCTGTAACCTTAACATCCTGGGCCCAAGCAGTCCTCCCATCTCAGCCACCAAAGTAGCTGGGGCTACAGGCATGTTTCACAACACCCAGCTATTTTTTTAGAGATATGGTCTCCTTATGTTGCTTGGGCTGGTCTCAAACTCCTTAGCTCAAGTGATTCTTCCACTTCTGTCTCCCAAAGTGCTGGGACTACAGGAATGAGCCACTGCACCCAGCCTTAGCTTTTTGGGTTTTTGTGTTGTTTTTATATGCTTTAGTTACTTTCTCTTTTTCTTTTGTGTATCTACTACAGTTTTTTCCTAGTGGTTATCATGGGACTTACATAAAACATCTTATATTTTAACAGCCTAGCTTAAGATGATAACAATTTAACTTCTGTGCCATAGAAAAACTACAAATTTTCTCCTTTCACACATTTTATACTATATATGGCACTTTAGAACGTTTTATATTGTACATTTAACAAATTATTGTGGCTATCTTTCTTTTTAATACTTTTTAATAGATCTTACATTAGAGTTAAAAGTGATTTATGCAAAACCATTGCAGTATTAGAGTATTCTGAACTTCACTACATACCATTTCCAGTGACATTTATACTTTATGTCTAATGTATAATATAATGTTTTTTGTATTGTTAGTTAACATTCCATCATTTCAGTGTGAAGAATTTCTTTTAGCATTTCTCATAAGACAGGTTGAGTGGTGATAAATTCCCCCAACTTTTTTGTCTTAAAATGTCTTGATCTCTTCTATGTCCAAAGGACAGCCTAATTAGATATAGTCTTAGTTGTCAGGTTTTTTTCTTTGTAAAGCATTTTAAATATATAATTGAGTCTCCTAGCTTGCAAGGTTTCTGCTGAAAAATTCACTGATAACATTATAAAGGTTCCCTTGTATGTGAAGAATCTCTTGTCACTTACTGTTTTCAGGAATTGTGCTTTATCTGTGAATTCTGAAAATTTAATTATAATGTGTTCTAGGGCAATCCTTATTAGGTTCTTTTTGCTGTAAGTATATTGAGCTTCATGAAACTGGATGTTCATATCTTTTTCTAAATTTGGGGAGTTTTTGTTCTTGTTGTTTTTTGTTTTTTTTTTTTGAGACAGGGTCTTACTCTGTCAGCCAGGCTGGAGTGCAGTGGCGTGGTCTTGGCTCACTGCAACCTCTGCCTCCCAGGTTCAAACAATTCTCCCACCTCAGCTTCCCAAGTAGCTGAAACTACAAGCATGTACCACCACACCTGGCTGACTTTTGTATTTTTTGTAGAGATGGAGTTTTGCTATAATGCCCAGGCTGGTCTCAAACACCTGAACTCAAGCCATCCCTGCACCTTGGCCTCCCAGAGTGCTGGGATTACAGGTGTGAGCCACCATGCCTGGCCTAGATCTGGGAAGTTTTTAGACATTATGTCTTTCAATCTCTTTTTCTTTTTCTCTCTCCCTTCTGAAAATTCTAAAATGTGTTGATTTGTTCACTTTATGATTGGTCACTTTCAAATAGCCTATCTTTGAGTTCGCTGATTTTTTTTTATTTTATAATTGAGTCTCCTGTTATAGTTTTCTATTATGGTTTTTCAGTTCTACCATTTTTTTTTTTTTACTTTAGCTGCAGGATTTCTGTTTGGTTGTTTTTTATGGTTTCTATTTTCCTATTACTTTTTTTTTTCTTTTTTTTTTTTTTAATGAGCGATCTTGCAATGTTGTCCAGGTTGGTCTTGAACTCCTGGCCTCAAGCAATCCTCCTGTCTCAGCCTCCCAAAGTTTTATTATTACAGGTGTAAACCACCATGCTTGGTCTACTTCTTTATTATATTTCTCACTTTGTTTCTGTGTTGTTTTCTAAAATTTTTTAGTTGTCTATTTTGTTCTTTTGCATCTTATCGAAGTTTCTTAAGATGATTATTTTCAATTCTTTGTCAGACAATTCTGAGATCTCCATTCTTTGTAGATGTTTACTAGAGCTTTATTAGTTCTTTTGGTGATGCTCTTGTTTTCCTGATTCTTTTTCATCTATGTAGCCTTATGTTTGTATCCCTAAATGTGAAAGAACAAATCTTCCATTACATAAGTTTTTGTAAGATAAATAATTTCTTTTATTGGGTCCTTGGGCTGATGAGATTTCAACTGATATTGCATTTGAGTTTGCTGGAGCCAGATGACATGACTTCTTACTTGGCCTTGAGTGGGTTTCATGGTTGGCTGACCTGTTATCAGGACATCAGTCCTAGATTCTGTCTACTACTTAGGAAGACGGGGGCAGAATCTTTATTATCAGGGCTGTTGTTGAGATAAGAAATTTCACTTGTTTCCGCATATAGGGGTGCTTGACTCCTACTGGATCTCTGGTCTAACCTAGTCATTAGACAGTTCACTGGATGGGCAGGACTGACCCCTGATCAAACCTGAGAGCCACTGGAACTGATTCATAGGGCTGCTTCAGGATACACAGCTGAGACTAAAAATCTTCAGTTTTGTCTCTGGGTCCATGATATATTTCCCTCCGGGTTTCTAGGTGGGCAGGACTGTTCCCAGACACTGGCTGACGGGGATTAAAACTGGGTTACAGGCCTTGCTTTAAGATTCACAGTGAGACTGATGTCAGCAGGCCTGCCTCAAGGGGCACAGACTTGCATGCTTTTAGGCAAGTCCCAGGTTGAGCAAAACTGCTCCTGAACTGTGGCTGCATGAAACCAGAGCCAGGTTGCAGTGCCATTTCAAGAGCCAGGTTACAGTGCCATTTCAAGACTCCAGAATAATGTTGATTGTCCTACATCGAGGGGCACAGATGGATGTTTTTCCTTGGGGGTCCCTTAATTTACATATGAATTAGCTATATGCCTCTTGCCTATAGAAATATCTATGTTTTTCACCTATGTTGCCCCTACTTTATGACATATTTTTTCTTGGCTTTCTTTTCTTTTTTTTTTGTTTTTTGAGATGGAGTCTCACTCTGTCTCCCAGGCTGGAGTGCAGTGGCATGATCTCGGCTCACTGCAACCTCCACCTAGTGGGTTCAAGCGATTCTCCTGCCTCAGCCTCTCAAGTAGCTGGGATTACAGGAGTCCGCCACCATGCCTGGCTAATTTCTTGTATTTTTTAGTAGAGACAGGGTTTCACCATGTTGGCCAGGCTGGTTATGAACTCCTGACTTCAGGTGATCCACCCGCCTCAGCCTCCCAAAGTGCTGGAATTACGCACCCGGCCAGTTATTTGTTTTTTTCTTGTAAATTTGTTTAAGTTTCTTATCGATGCTGGATATTAGTCCTTTGACAAATGCATAGCCTCCCAGAGTGCTGAGATTACAGGCGTGAGCCACCACTCCCGACCTTTTTTCTTGGTTTTCAATGATTATTTTATTCTGTCCAGGTGACAGTCAGGAAAATAATCTTAAATTCATAATCTACTTATAGTTTGAATATATATGATTGTGTGAAAGGAACATTTTTGTTATTTGAAGGTAATTTAAAAAAAATTTTGTAACTGTCTCTTAGGTAGTCTTAAGTGTTTAATTGTGGTTAAAAACATACAATTGTCATCTTAAACATTATTAAGTGTACAGTTTAGAATTCTTAAGTACAATCCTATTGTTTTGCAAGAGGTTCTAGATAATTTTTGTCTTACAAAAGTAAAAGTGAATACCCATTAAACAACAAATTGTCCTTTCTACCTGTTTCCAGTTCCTGAAGAACACCATTCTACTTTCTGTTTCCATGAGTTTGACTAAATATTTTATACAAGTGTAATTATACAGTGTCTCTTTCTTTGTGACTATCTTATTTTACTTAACATAATGTTCTAAAGATTTATCGTTATTGCAGTACTTGTCAAGATGATTGGCTGACTTGTTATCAGGACATCAGTCATAAATTCTGTCTATTACCTAGAAAGATTCAACTTTCTTCAGAGTCTTTATTATTACGGCTGGTGATGAGATAAGAAATTGCACTTGTTTCTGCATATAGGAGTGCTTGACTCCTACTGGATCTCTGGTCTTGTCAAGATGTCCCCTTTTTAAAAGACTGAATAATATTCCATTGTATATATGTGCCACATTTGTTTAATCTACTCATCCATAAAGAAACATTTGCTTCCAGGTATTATTTTTTGTAATGCTGCAACGTACCTGAATGTACAAAATATCTATTCCATGTTCTGCTTTGACTATGGGATATTTTAAATATACTGAAGTAGTACCATGTATATGCTCTTGATTTTGTCACCTGATCCTTTACGTTATATCCCCCAAATCATTGCCAAAACCAGTTGTCGTGAAACTTGCCCCTTCTGTATTGTTCTAGGAGTTTTACAGTTACAGGATTTATGTTAAAGTCTTAGTTCATTTTTTTAAATTGACACACGTAATGTTACATATATTGGGGTACAATTATATATAGGTTGTATAATGATCAAATCAGAGTATTTAGTGTATTTATTACCTAATGCAATTGTTATTTTTGTGGTGAGAACATTCAAAAGCCCCTTTTCTAGCTATTTCATCTTATCTTTGTTTTTTGGGTTTTTTTGAGACAAAGTCTTGCTCTGTCACCTAGGCTGGAGTGCAGTGGTGTAATCTTGGTTCACTGCAACCTCCACCTCTTGGGTTCAAGTGATTCTTGTGCCTCAGCCTCCTGAGTAGCTCGGATTACAGGCATGCTCCACCACACCCAGCTAATTATTGTATTTTTAGTAGAGATGGGGTTTTGCCATGTTGGCCAGGCTGATCTCGAACTCCTGGCCTCAAGTGATCCACCAGCCTTGGCCTTCCAAAGTTATGGGATTACAGGCATGAGCCAACTTGCCCGACCTTATTTATTTATTTAGAGACAGAATTTTGCTCTATCACCCAGACTGGAGTGCAGTAGTGGAATCATAGCTTACTGTAACCTCAAACTCCCAGGCTCAAGTGATCCTCCCACTTTAGCTTCCCAACTAACTGGGACTACAAAAACATGACACCATGTCTGGCTAATAATTTTATTTTCTGTAGAGATGGGGTCTTATTATGTTGTCCAGGCTGGTCTTGAACTTCCGACTTCAAGTGATTCTCCTATCAGCCTCACAAAGTGTAGGGATTACAGTCGTGTTTCACCACACTTGGTCTCTTCTAGCTATTTTGTACTACTGCGTAGCAGAAAACCAGAACTTATTTCCCCTGTCTAATTGTAACTTAATATTTGTTAAGTAACCTCTTCCCATCCTCCCCATTTACTCTCTTGTGATCCCTGTTGTATTCCTTTTTTTTCATATTACTCATAAAAGTGAGATTATAATGTTGATTGTCATATATCCAGGGGCACAGATGGATGTTTTTCCCTGAGGGTCCCTTAATTTGCATATGAATTAGCTATATGCTTCTTGCCTATGGAAATATCTGTTTTCTTTCAGGGTTTTTATAGTTTTGGGTTTTACATTTAAGTCTTTAATTCATCTTGAGTTAATTTTTGTATATGATGTAAGGAAGGAATTGAGTTTCAGTTTTCTGCCTATGGCTAGCCAGTTCTCCCAGCATTATCTACTGAACAGAAAATTCTTTCCCCATTTCTTGTTTTTGTCAGCTTTGTCAAAGGTCAGATGGATGTAGATGTGCAGCTTGATTTCTGGCCCTCTATTCTGTTTCATTGAGACAAAGAAGGGCATTACATAATGGTAAAGGGTTCAATTCAACAAGAAGATGTAACTATTCTAAATATAAATGCACCCAATCCAGGAGCACCAAGATTCATAAAGCAAGTTCTTAGATACCTACAAAGAGACCTAGACTCGTATATGATAACAGTAGGAGAGTTTAACACACCACTGACAATATTAGACAGATCATCGAGACAGAAAATTAGCAAAGATATTCAGGACCTGAACTTAGCTCTGGATGAAGTGGACCTGATAGATATCTACAGAACTCTCCACCCAAAACAACAGAATATACAGTCTTCTCATCACCACACAACACTTACTCAAAAATTGATCATGTATTGTAAGTAAAATAATCGTCAGCAAATGCAAAAGAACTGAAATCATAACAGTCTCTCAGACCACAGCATAATCAAATTAGAACTCAAGATGAAGAAATCCACTCAAAACCACACAAGTACATGAAAATTGAATAGTCCGTTCCTGAATGACTTTTGGGTAAATAATGAAATTAAGGCAGATATCAAGAAGTTCTTTGAGGCTGGGCGTGGTGGCTCACGCTTGTAATCTCAGCACTTTGGGAGGCCGAGGCGGGTGGATCACGAGGTCATGAGATCGAGACCATCCTGGCTAACACGGTGAAACCCCGTCTCTACTAAAAATACAAAAAATTAGCCGGTCGTGGTGGCGGGCGCCAGTAGTCCCACCTACTCGGGAGGCTGAGGCAGGAGAATGGCGTGAACCCTGGAGGTGGAGCTTGCAATGAGCGGAGATTGCGCCACTGCACTCCATCCTGGGTGACAGAGCAAGACTTGTCTCAAAAAAAAAAAAAAAAAAAAAAGAAGTTCTTTGAAACTGAGAACAAAGACACAATGTTCCAGAATCTCTGGGATACAGTTAAGAAGTGTTAAGAGGAAAATTTATAGCACTAAATGGCCTCATCAACAAACTAGAAAGATCTCAAGTCAACAACGCTAACGTTTCCACCAAAAGAACTGAAGAACCAAGACCAAATAAAACCTAAAGCTAGCAGAAGACAAGAAATCACCAAGATCAGAGCCAAACTGAAGGAGATAGAGACATGAAAAACCCTTCAAAAATTCAAAAAATCTAGAACCTGGTTCTTTGAAAAATTAATAAAATAGATAGACCACTGGCTAGACTAAAAAAGAAGACAAGAGAAAAGAATCAAATAAACACAATCAGAAATGATAAGAAGGATATCAGCATTGAGCCCACAAAAATACAATCATCAGAGAATATTATGCGTACATAAATTAGAAAATGTAGATGAAATGGATACTTTTTTTTTAAACATAAACCCTCCTAAGACCGAACCAGAAAGAAATTCAATCCCTGAATTGACCAATAACGTGTTCTGAAATTGAAGCTGTAATAAATAGCCTGCCAACCAAAAAAAAAAAAAAAAAAAAAACAAAAAACCCAGGACCAGATAGATTATTCACAGTGGAATTCTACCAGAGGTACAAAGGAGAGCTGGTACCATTTCTACTGAAACCATTCAAAATAAAATGAAAAACAGGGACTCCTCCCCAACTCATTTTATGAGGCCAGCATCATCCTAATACCAAAACCTGGCGACATACAACAAAAAATGAAAGTTCCAGGTCAATATTCTTGATGAACATTGATGTAAAAATTCCCAATAAAATACTGGCAAACCAAATCCAGCAACACATCAAAATGCTTATCCACCAGAAAGAAATTGAATCCCTGAATTGACCAATAATGTGTTCTGAAATTGAAGCGTAATAAATAGCCTGCCAATCAAAAAAAATCAAAACAAAACAAAACAAAAACCCGGGACCAGATAGATTCACAGTGGAATTCTACCAGAGGTACAAAGAGGAGCTGGAACCATTTCTACTGAAACTATTCAAAAAAATTGAAAAGGAGGGACTCCTCCCTAGCTCACTTTATGAGGCCAGCATCATCCTAATACCAAAACCTGGCGACATACAACAAAAAAAAGAAAGTGTTAAGTCAATATTGTTTATGAACATTGATGCAAAAATTCTCAATAAAATAATGGCAAACCAAATCCAGCAACACATCAAAATGCTTATCCACCATGATGAAGTTGGCTTTTTCCCCAGGATGCAAACTTGGTTCAACATATGCAAATCAATAAATGTGATTCATCACATAAACAGAACTAAAGACAAAACACACATGCATATTTTAATAGATGCAGAAAACAAACAAACAAAAAAGCTAAAACTAAAAACCCTACAAGAGACCAAGCATGGTGGCACACGCCTGTAATCCCAGAAGTTTGGGAAGCCAAGGTGAGTGGATCACCTGAGTTCAGGAGTTTGAGACCCGCCTGGCTCACATGGCAAAACCCTGTCTCTACCAAAAGTACAAAAAAATTAGCCAGGCATGGTGGCACACACCTGTAATCCCAGCTACTTGGGAGGCTGAGGCAGGAGAATCACTTGAGCCAGGGAGACAGAGATTGCAGTGAGCCAAGATCACGCAACTGCACTCCAGCTTGGGTGACAGAGTGAGACTCCATCTCAAAAAACCAAAAACAAAACAAAAAAGAAAAAACCCTAGAAGAGAATGTAGGCAGTACCATTCAGGACATAGGCACAGGCAAAGATTTCATGGCAAAAACACCAAAAGCAATTGCAACAAAAGCAAAAATTGACATATGGGATCTAATTAAACTAAAGAGCTTCAAGTAACTATCATCAGAATGAATAGACAACCTACAGTACGGGAGAAAATTTTTGCAATCCATCTGACAAAGGTCTAATATCTAGAATCTACAAGGAACTTAAACAAATTTACAAGAATAAACCAACCTCAATAAAAAGTGGGCAAAGGACATGAACAAACACTTCTCAAAAGAAGGCATACATACAGCCAACAAACATTAAAAAAAAGCTCAGGCCGAGTGCTGTGGCTCACGCCTGTAATCCCAGCACTTTGGGAAGCTGAGACGGGTGGATCACCTGAGGTCAGGAGTTTGAGACCAGCCTAGACAACATGATGAAACCCTGTCTCTACTAAAAAATAATACAAAAATTACCTGGGCATGATGGCGGGTGCCTGTAATCCTAGCTACTTGGGAGGCTGGGGCAGGAGAATTGCTTGAACCTGGGAGGTGGAGGTTGCAGTGAGCCAAGATCGTGCCACTGCACTCCAGCCTGGGCGATAGAGCGAGAGTCTTTCAAAAAAAGAAAAAAAATAAAAGCTCAACATCACTGATCATTAGAGAAATGCAAATCAAAACCACAATGAGATACAATTTCATGTCAGTCAGAATGGCTTTTATTAAAAAGTTAAAAACAACAGATCCTGATGAGGTTGTGGAGAAAAGGGAATGCCTTTATGCTGTTGGAGGGAGTGTGAACTAGTTCAGCCATTGTGGAAGACAGTGTGGCAATTCCTCAAAGACCTAGAGGCAGAAATACCATTTGACCCCAGCAATCCCATTACTGGGTATATACCCAGAGGAATATAAATCATTCTATTATAAAGATACATGCATGCATATGTTCATTGCAGCACTGTTTACAATAGCAAAGTCATGGAATCAACCTACATGTCCGTCAGTGATAGACTGGATAAAAAAAATATGATACATATATACCATGAAATACTATGCAGTCATGAAAAAGAACAAGATCATGTCCTTTGCAGGGACATGGACAGAGTTGGAAGCAATTATCCTCAGCAAACTAACGCAGGAACAGAAAACCAAATACCAAATGTTCTCACTTATAAGTGGGAGCTGAATGATGAGAACACATGAACATATGGTGGAAAACAACACTGGGCACCTGTTGCCAGGGGAGAGCATCAGGAAGAATAGCTAATAAATGCTGGGCTTAATACCTGGGTGATTGGATGATCTGTGCAGTAAACCACCATGGCACATGTTTACTTATGTAACAAACCTGCACATCCCGTACATGTAATCCTGAATGCAAAAGTTAAGGAAAAGTTGAAGAAAGTTGAAGTGCAGGCAGATAAGAGGCAATAAACAAGAGGAGAGGGAAAGAGAAGAGAAGATGGAAGGGAAAGAAGAGGTAGCCTGGAATAATGAAAGGATCCCTAGGTGGTGTCAGAACACGAGGGCCAGAGGCCTGGCTTTGCCTCTGTCTAGCTGTGTGGACTTGAGCAAGTCCCTTGGCCTCTCCAGGCCTCTTTTGTAAAAAGGGATAAGTAAGATAACTGCTTGCAATATTGTCATGAGATTTGTATAAAGTATTAAACAAAGAGTTTTCTGTAAGCAACTTGAAAAGAGCTGTGTCATTCTGAGGACTGGTGACCTGCGGTCTCAGGGGGATGTCCCAGGGCACCTGCCAGTTCCAGGCATTAGATTTGTATAGTCCTGATGCCCAGAACAAGCCTTCACTCATATTTCTTGCTATGAAAATGTGTTGGCCATCTTTATTATATAATGCACAGTAGGTTTCAATTTCCTAAGCTCTTTTTTATCCCTGTTATCCTGTCTGCCCTTGACAAAAAACTGAAGGTCAAATAGGGCAACCCCAGAATCAAGTCAGGCCCTCAGCTGCTCACACAGCAGCCAGTTCTAACTGGAAGGTCCCATCCTGCCAGGTCTTTGCCTAGTTCCTCAGCTCATGTCACCCTCAGCCTCACTCTCTGCTTTTAGAACATGTCATGCTTCATCCCACCTTGAGGCCTTTGCCCATGCTGGAAACCCAGCGCCTGATAACAGTATCTTTCATGTAGTAGGTTCTTAATAAATATTTAAATTTTAAAAATAATAATTTATTTTATTTTTTAGCTCCACACTTTGCTTCTGTTTTTATGGTTTTAATCTCGTTTTCTTCATGCATTGTTTTCCTCTTTTGTTTAGTTTTCTGTTTTTTCATTTAGCTGACTAAGCATCTTTAAGATAGATGTTTTAGCCAGGCACAATGATGTGTGCCTGTAATTGCAGTTACTTTGAAAGCTAAGGCAGGAGAATTGCTTAAGGCCAGATGTTTGAGACCACTCTGGGCAATATTGTGAGACCCTGTGTTTAAACATATTATTATTATTATTATTATTATTATTTTTGAGATGGAGTTTCACCCTTGTTGCCCAGGCTGGAGTGCAATGGCATGATCTTGGCTCACCGCAACCTCTGCCTCCCGGGTTCAAGCGATTCTCGTGCCTCAGCCTCCCAAGTAGCTGGGACTACAGGCATGCTCCACCATGCCTGGCTAATTTTGTATTTTTACTAGAGACAGGGTTTCTCCATGTTGGTCAGGCTGGTCTTGAACTCCCAACCTCAGGTGATCCACCCACCTCGGCCTCCCAAAATGCTGGGATTACAGGCATGAGCTGCCATGCCTGGCCAAAAATATTTTTAAAAATTAGTCATGTGTGGTTACATGTTCCTGTAGTCCCAGGAACTCAGGAGGCTGAAATGACAGGATTGCTTAACCCCAGGAATTTGATGCTGCAGTGGGCTATAATTATGGCATTGCATTCTCGCCAGAGTGAGAGAGTAAGACCTTTTTTCTTGCCTTTTTATACTTTAATTTTAATTTTACATTCGGGGGGTACCTGTGCAGGTCGGTTACATGGGAATATTGCATGATACTGAGGTTTGAAGAATAAATCATCCCATCACCCAGATAATGAGCATAGTACTCAATAGGTAGTTTTCCAGCCCTTGGCCCCCTCCCTTTTTCCACCCTCTATTGCTTTCATTTTTATGTCTATGTATGCCAATGTTTAGCTCTCACTTGTAAGTGAGAACATGCATCTTTTGGTTTTCTGTTTGTGAATTAATTTGCTTAGAACAATGGCCTCTAGCTGCTTTCATGTTGCTGCAAAGGACAAGATTTTGTTCTTTTTTTATGGCTAAGTAGTATTTTTTGGTGTAAAATACCAATGGTAAATCCAATTTACCATTAATAGACACCTAAGTTGATTCCATGTCTTTGCTATTGTGACTAGTGTAGTGATGAACATAAAAGCGCATGTGCTATTTTCATAGAATAATTTATTTTCTTTTGGGTATGTACCCAGTAGTGGGATTGCTGGGCTGAATCTTAGTTCAACTCTCAGTTCTTTGGGAAATCGCCAAACTGCTCTTCATGGTGGCGGAACTAGTTTACATTCCCACCAGCCGTGTATAAGTGTTTCTTTTCCCCTGAAACCTCATCCACATCTGTTTTTCTGTTTTGTTTTGTTTTTTAATTTTTTAACAAAAGCCATTCTGACTGCTGTAAGATGATGTTTGAGTTTCTTATAGATTCTCTATATGCTTAACACTGCTTTTGCTGCATCCCAAAGATTTTGGTATGTAGTGTCTATATTTTCATTTATTTCAAACATTTTTTAAATTTCTGCCTTAATTATGTTCTTTATCCAAAAGTCATTCATGAGCAAGTTGTTTAATTTCAATGTCATTCTGTGGTTTTGAGAGATCTTCTTTGTATTACTTTTTATTGTTGTTTTTTGTGGCCTGAGAGTATGGTTGGCATGATTTTTATTTCTTTTGAATGTCTTGAGATTTGCTTTATGGCTGGGATGTGGTTAATATTAGAGTATATTCTGTGGGCAGATGAGAAAAATGTATATTCTTCAGTTGGTGTGTGGAGTATACTGTAGATGTCTATTAGTTCCAATTGGTCAAGTGTCAAACTTCAGAATTTCTTCATTTAGTTTTCTGCCTAGATAATCTATTAAACACCGTCAGCGAAATGTTGTATTCCGCTACTGTTGTTGTGTGACTATTTAAGTATTGTTGCAGGTCTAGAATTACTTCTCTTACGAATCTGTGTGCTCCAATGTTAGGTGCATCTATATTTAGGCTAGTTAAGTTATCTTGTTGAATTGAATCCTTTATCATTATGCAATGCCTTTCTTTGTCCTGTTTTACTATTGTTAAAGTCCTTATTTCTTTAAAAAAAAAATGCCAGGGGTGGTTGCTCATGCCAGCACTTTAGGAGGCTGAGGCAGTAGGATCACTTGAGACCAGGAGTTTGAGACCAGCCTGGGCAACATAGCAACATTCTGTCTGTACAAAAATTAAAAACAACTATCCAGGTGTTGTAGTCATATGTACTCAGGAGACTTAGGTGGCATGACTGCTTGAGTTCAGAAATTTGAGGTTATATTGAGCCATGATTGCACCATTACCCTCTGTTCTGGGAGACAGAGCAAGACCCTGTCAGTGTGGAAAAACAAAAATAAAAATATTTAAACTTTTTAAAAATTAATTCATAAATTTTCACTTTTTAGGTTCACTTGAATATATATTTTGTTCCTTTGACTGGGCTGTGTTTCCTGGTTACTTTTATGTATTGCGATTTTGTTGAGATTTTGGCCAATTAAGAAACAACTACCTATTCATCCCTTGTGGAATGGCTTTTCACAGGGGAAAATTGACAACATTTAGCCACACTAATCATTCTGGGAGCTTTTCTAACCTATTAGCAAAACTGTGTCTTCTCTGGACTACTGTGTGTATTTTCTTGTTAAAAAGGTTTACCTCAGCTGGGTGCGGTGGCTTACTCCTGTAATCCCAGCACTTTGGGAGGCCGAGGCGAGTGGATCACGAGGTCAGGAGATCGAGACCATCCTGGCCAACATGGTAAAACCCCGTCTCTACTAAAATACAAAAAAGTAGCTGGGCGTGGTGATGTGCCTGTAGTCTCAGCCACTCGGGAGGCTGAGGTAGGGGAATCCCTTGAACCCAGGAGGCGGAGGTTGAGTGAGCCATGATCGCGCCACTGCACTCCAGCCTGAGTGACAGAGCAAGACTCCGTCTTAAAAAAAAAAAAAAGAAAAAAAAGGTTTACCTCTGTTTCTGCTCAAGAGCTTTTAATCTCTTCCCTTGGTCACTCTTACAGGCACTACAGTCTCTCTGTTGTTGTAGCAAGCATTTATCTTCATTTTTCTTGACCAAACCTCTCATTTTAACTGTATCTTTATTCTCTTCAGCAGGAGGTGTTAAAGGAAGCAATAACCAGTCTTTGTATAGCCCAAGAATAACTCCGTAACTCAGAAATTTGGATACACATTCCACTTTTTTAGTTTTTCCTCAGGGAGAAACAGAAAGTGGGAAGATTTGTTTAACTGCACGGTGCTGTAGTGCAGAATGTAACAAATCTTCTAAATGTGGTTATTCTTGGCTTTCTGCTCACATGAGGTGTTGCAAACTCAACTGGTTTTGTTCACCCTGTTGTCATTAAAGTTAATATATTGGCTGGTCACGGTGGCTCACGCCTGTAATCCCAGCACTTGGGAGGCCAAGGCAGGTGGATCACTTGAGGTCAGGAGTTCGAGACCAGCCTGGCAAACATGATGAAATCCCATCTCTACTAAAAAATACAAAACTTAACTGGTTGTGGTGGCAGGCGCCTGTAGTCCCAGCTACTCGGGAGGCTGAGTCAGGAGAATTGTTTGAACCCGGGGGCAAAGGTTGCAGTGAGCCGAGATTGTGCCACTGTACTCCAGCTGGGGTGACAGAGTGAGACTCCATCTTAAAAATAAAATAAAATAAAAATAAAGTTCATATGTTGAGAAAAAAGGATCTCAGGTTTTTGATTCAACTATTATGGTGCTGTTCGCAGCTGGCCTAGTTTTGTGTATTTATGTAGTATATTTACTTCAATCTAGTAATTGGAAAATTTAAAAATATTTTTCAGATATGTTTTCTCATTATACCTGAGATATGTTGAGAAAGCACTGCATAGAAGCTTTTTTCTTTCTTTTCTCCCTTCCTTCCTTCCTTCCTTCCTTCCTTCCTTCCTTCCTTCCTTCCTTCCCTCCTTTCTTTCTTTCTCTTTCTTTCTTTTCTCTCTCTCTTTTTCTCTTTCTCTCTTTTTTGATGGAGTTTCGCTGTGTCGCCCATGCTGGAGTGTAATGCCGTGATCTCGGCTCACTGCAACCTCCGCCTCCCGGGTTCAAGCGATTCTCCTGCTTCAGCCTCCTGAGTAGCTGGGATTACAGGCGCTGGCCACCATGCCTGGCTAATTTTTTGTATTTTTAGTGCAGACGGGGTTTCACCATGTTGGCCAGGCTGACGTTGAACTCCTGACCTCAAGTGATCCACCTGCCTCAGCCTGCCAAAATGCTGGGATTACAGGTGTGAGCCACCACGTATGGCCCTAGAAGCTTTTTTTCAAAAAGTAGTATTGGGAAGATATGGGAACCGTGGCCTTGAGAATTTACCCTTAAGGAGAGTGGGAGAGTAAAGGGTAAGTGTGAAGAACACAATAGATGTTACGATGGCTATACCAAATGTAGGACAACTACCTATACCAAACATACCACTGCTAAAAGAGGTCAAGAACATAAAGTATTCCGAAGACAGCACAATTTATGTCAATTGCTTTTTCTGTACTGTATGTGTGCGTGTGGTTTTCTTGTTTTGTTTTGTTTTGAGATGGAGTCTTGCTGTGTTGCCCAGGCTGGAGTGCAGTGGTGCCGTCTGGGCTCACTGCAAGCTCTGCCTCCTGGGTTCACGCTATTCTTCTGCCTCAGCCTCCCAAGTAGCTGGGATTACAGGCATGTGCCACCACTCCCGGCTAATTTTTGTGTTTTTAGTAGAGACAGGGTTTCACCATGTTGGTCATTCTGGTCTCGAACTCCTGACCTCGTGATCCGCCCACCTCAGCCTCCCAAAGTGCTGGAATTACAGGTGTGAGCCACTGCACCTGGCCCCGTACCATGTGTTTCTACAAATATTAATATCAATTTTGAAACATATTTTTCTTTGAAATAAAACTTAGAAAATCTAAATAGTAATCTAGACTATGTTCAAAATAATCATATGAACGAGTTGAAATATAAGACTGGATTAAACATTAAAATATTTCTGAAAAGCAAATATTTCAAAATGAGAATATTTCTAAATATGATCAGTTTAATGGGTCCTTGTTAAAAGGTGTTCACCAAGAAAAAATACCTTCTTCTGCCATAATCTGCAAATTTTGTCAATATGAGAAGGTCTTTACCCATTAAGTATTACTTAGCCAATATCATGGAATAGATAATTGTGGAAAACGTCACACATATAATACAACTTTGACAACCAGTAGGGAGGGCTCTACGCTATATATTTACCAAGATATTTTTATTGAAGAAAAAAATTAGCAATGCAATAAATCGATAAAACCTTGAGCCAAAGCTTAATCCCTAGAAAACATTAGAAAATTCATTTTCTAGAGAACCACTACAAATGTAGAAAGTGTGAGAAAGTCTTTTATTAGTTCTTCATCTTTATTATACATCAGAATACCAATGTTCAGAGAAGTCATACAAATATAATAAATGTGTAGAAGTTTTTAGCCAGTTGTCAAAACATACTCAGCATTAGAGAATCTATATTGGATAAAACTCAGATACAATAAATGTGAGACAGTTCTTAGTTAATAATCAAATCTAAAAAAACATGAGATAGCCTGGCGCGGTGGCTCACGCCTGTAATCCCAGCACTTTGGGAGGCCGAGGCGGGTGGATCACGAGGTGAGGAGATCGAAACCATCCTGGCTATCACGGTGAAACCCCGTCTCCACTAAAAATACAAAAAATTAGCCGGGCGTGGTGGCGGGTGCCTGTAGTCCCAGCTACTCTGGAGGCTGAGGCAGGAGAATGGCGTGAACCCGGGAGGCGGAGCTTGCACTTGCAGTGAGCCGAGATCGCACGACTGTACTCCAGCCTGGGTGACAGAGCGAGACTCCATCTCAAAAAAAAAAAAAAAAAAAAAAAAAAGAGATAATCCGTAATGATGAGAAAACTTACCAATTGAAAGAATGTGGCAAAACCTTTAACCATAGTTTACACTTTACTCAACACCAGAGAAATTCATACTGGGGAGAAACCCTGCAATTATTGAAATGCCACAAACTATTTGGTTGCTACTCAACCCTTACTTAACATAAGAGAATTCATATTAGAACTCTATAGAAGTAATTGATGTGAAAAGAGTTTATCTAAAATATGGAACTTAGAAATCACCATAGAGTTCACACAGAAAGAAACTTCACAGATGTAATAAATGTGATGAAATATTTAATAAAACTCGAGTATAAATGTGTCAGAAGATTTACACAAGAAAGGACTAAAGCACGAACATTTTCAGACTTTACATCAAACCAGAGTATTTATTACAGAGAATAATATAAAGTCAAGGCAATTAGATAATTTATTTGCTTATTTCTTTCAATCAAGCAAGAACATTGATGTTCTGTCATATTCAATGGATATATTATTGACACTGGCAGTACTTGAAATTTTTGAAAAGCAAGTATTATTGATATAATTCAATTCTCAAATAGTCGATGCTATATATTAATTCCTAGTGTTTATATAAAAATATGAGGTCTGTTTTTTCTGCCTCAGGGCCATGAAAGGCCATTCTATATTAGGTAAAAATTATTAATGTCAGTTTGTTTTAAGGAAAGTTTAATGGCAAATGTAAAATATATAAAGAAAATATAAAGAAAAATACTTGAATATAAAACAGTAATGCATGTAAAAATATATATGTTCAGATCATTATTCTTCTATATTAAAGTACAAGGAATATTCTGAAGTTTCCAAATTATTTCACCAATTGCTCCTTAAGTATAATAAAATGGTCAGGTTTTTAAAATACTGACATATCTTTGTAATGTTGGGTACTTTTTGTGATGGAAGACATAGAAGACAAATATTATTTGATAATTCAGATATCAGAAAAGTGAAAATAACTTCTATCAGAATAATTGTAAGTTTATTCAAAAGTAATGTTTATTAGATAGCCTTATGCTTTAAAAATGGAGAAAGCATGACTCCATAATCATGGTACTGGAAAAAAAAATGCTCCTTCAGTGTTCGTAATTCAGGGAGCATATAGGGGATTGTAAATGCTTCATTTAGACTATGCGTGAACTTAATTTGGGGTTTCAGTGTTACTATTTTTTTATTTCAATAGGTTTTTGGGGGACAGGTAGTGTTTGATTACATGAATGAGTTATTTAATGGTGATTTCGGTGTACCTGTCACCTAAGCAATGTACACTGTACCCAAATGTGTAGTCTTTTATCCCTCACCCCCCTCCCACCCTTTGCCCTAATTCCCCAAAGCCCAATTGTATTATTCTTATGCCTTTGCATTCTCATAGCTTAGCTCCCACTTATGAGTGAGAACATATAATGTTTGGTTTTCCATTCCTGAGTTACTTCACTTAGAGTAATGGTCTCCAATTACATCCAAGTTGCTGTGAATGCCATTAATTTAATTCTTTTTTATGGCTGAGTAGTATTCCATAGTGTGTGTGTGTATATATAATATACACCATATTTTCTTCCTTTTTTTCCTTTGAGACATATTCTAGCTCTGTCATCAAGGCTGGAGTGCATTGGTGTGATCTTGGCTCACTGGAACCTCCACCTCCCATGTTCAATCAATTCTCATGCCTCAGCCTCCTGAGTGGCTGACACTGCAGGCGTGAGCCACCATTTCCAGCTAATTCTTGAATTTTTAGTAGAGATGGGGTTTTGCCATGTTGGCCAGGCTGGTCTCAAACTCCTGGCTTCCAGTGATCCGCCCATCTTGGCCTTCCAAAGTGCTGGGATTACAGGTGTGAGCCACCACACCCAGCCACATTTCTTTTATCCACTTGTTGATTGATGGGTGTTTGGGCTGGTTCCACAGTTTTGCAATTGCAAATAGTGCTGCTATAAACATGCGTGTTCAAGTGCCTTTTAAGTATAATGACTTCTTTTCCTCTGGGTAAATACCTAGTAGTGGAATTGCCGAATTAAATAGTAGATCTATATATCTCCACACTGTTTTCCGTAGTGGTTGCACTAATTTACATTCCCACCAGCAGTGTAAAAGTGTTCCCTTTGCACCATACCCATGCCAACATCTATTTTTTTTATTATGGCCATTCTTGCAGAAGTAAGTTAGTATCCCATTGTGGTTTTGAATTGTATTTCCCTGATCATTAGTGATGTTGAGCCTTTTTTTCATATGTCTGTTGGCCATTTCTGTATCTTCTTGTGAGAATTGTCTATTCATTTCCTTAACCCACTTTTTAATGGGATTGTTTTTTTTCTTGATGACTTGTTTGATTTCCTTGTAGATTCTGGATATTAGTCCGATGTTGAATGCATAATTTGTGAAGCTCTCCCACTCTGTGAGTTGTTTATTCTGCTGATTATTTCTATTGCTTTGCAGAAGCTTTTTAGTTTTATTAAGTCCCATCTATTTAACTTTGTTTTTGTTGCATTTGCTTTTGGATTCTTGGTCATGAAGTCTTTACCTAAGCCAATGTCTAGAAGAATTTTTCCAGTGTTATCTTCTAGAAATTTTATGGTTTCAGATCTTAGATATACGTCTTTGATCCATCTTGAGTTGATTTTTGTATAAGGTGAGAAATAAGGATCCAGTTTCATTCTTCTATGTGTGGCATGCCAGCACCATTTGTTGAATAGGGTGTCCTTTCCCCACTTCATGTTTTTGTTTGCTTTGTTAAACATCAGTTGGCTGTAAATATTTGGCTTTATTTCTGGGTTCTCTATTCAGTTCCATTGATCTACATGCCTATTTTTATACCAGTACCATGCTATTTTGGTTACTATGGTCTTATGGTATCGTTTGAAGTCAGATAACATAATGTCTCCAGATTTGTTCTTTTTGCTTAGTTTTGCTTTGGCTATGCAGTCTCTGTTTTGGTTCCACATAAATTTTAGGATTGTTTTTTCTAGTTCTGTGAAGAACGATGGTGGTATTTTAATGAGAATTGCATTGAATGTGTAGATTGCTTTTGGCAGTATGGTCATTTTCACAGTGTTAACTCTACCGATGCATCCATGAGCATGAGATGTGTTTCTGTTAGTTTGTGTCATCTGTGGTTTCATTCAGCAGTGTTTTGTGGTTTTTCTTGTAGAGGTCTTTCACCTCCTTGGTTAAGTATATTACTGAGTATTTTATTTTATTTTTGCAGTTATTGTAAAAGGGCTTGAGTTCTTGATTTAATTCTCAACTTGGCCACTGTAGGTATATAACAGAGCTATTAATTTGTGTACATTAATTTTGTGTCCTGAAACTTTACTGAATTCATTATGAAATCTAGAAGCTTTTTGGATTAGTCTTTAGGATTTTCAAAATATACAATTATGTCCTCAGCAAACAGCAACTGTTTGACTTCTTCTTTACTGATTTGGATGCCCTTTATTTCTTTCTCTTGTCTGATAGCTCTGGCTAGGACTTCCAGTACTTTGTTGAATAGAAGTGGTGAAAGGGGCATCCTTGTCTTGTTCCACTTCTCATGGGGGAATGCTTTTAATTTTTTCCCATTCAGTATATTGTTGGCTGTGTGTTTGTCATAGACAGCTGCTATTACCTTAAGGAATTTTCCTTCTATGCCGATTTTTCTGACGGTTTTAATCATAAAGCAATGCTGGATTATGTCATATGCTTTTTTTCTGCATCTATTTTGACGGTTATGTGATTTTTGTTTTTAATTCTGTTTGTGGTGTGTTACTTTTTTTTTTTTTTTTTTCTGAGATGGGGTCTTGCTCTGTCGCCCAGGCTGGAGTGCAGTGGCGCGATCTTGGCTCACTGCAAGCTCTGCCTCCTGGGTTCATGCCATTCTCCTGCCTCAGCCTCCCGAGTAGCTGGGACCACAGGCGCCCGCCACCACACCTGGCTAATTTTTTGTATTTTTAGTAGTGACGGGGTTTCACCATGTTAGGCAGGATGGTCTCGATCTCCTGACCTCATGATCCACCTGCCTCGGCCTCCCAAAGTGCTGGGATTACAGGCGTAAGCCACCGCACCCGGCCAGTGTGTTACATTTATTGACTTGTGGATGTTAAACCATTCCTGCATCCCTGGTATAAAACCCACTTGATCATGGTGGATTACCTTTTTGATATGCTGTTGGTTTCAGTTAACTAGTATTTTGTTGAGGATTTTTGCATCTATGTTCATCAGGAATATTGGTCTGCAGTTTTCTCTTTTGTTATATCTTTTCCTGGTTTTGGTATTAGAGTAATACTGGCTTCATAGAATAATTTAAGGAGGATTTCCTCTTTCTCTATCTTTTGGAATAGTGTCAATAGGATTGGTACCCATTTTTTTTTTTTTTTTGAATTGTCTTATAGAATTCAGGTATGAATCGGTCTGGCCCTGGACTTTTTTTTGGGTAACTTTTTAATTACCATTATAATCTCGCTGCTGCTGCTGCTTCTTTTTTCTTCTTTCTTCTTCCTCATCCTCCTCCTCCTTGTTCTTCTTCTTTCTTTCTTTCTTCTTCTTCTTCGATGGGGTCTTGCTCTGTCACCCAGGTTGGAGTGCAGTGGCACGATCTCGACTCACTGCAACCTCCGCCTCCTGGGTTCAAGCAATTCTGCTGCCTCAGCCTCCCAAGTTGCTGGGATTACAGGTGCCTGCCACCACGCCTGGCTAATTTTAATAGAGATGGGGTTTCACTATGTTGGCCAGGCTGGTCTTGAACTCCTGACCTCAAGTGATCCACATGCCTTGGCCTCCCAAAGTGCTGGGATTACAGATGTGAGCCACTGCGCCCAGCCAGAATCTTGAATTAATTTAAAATTTTTAGTGAGACACCACTCCAGAGTACAGAGGGTGGTATGCACAATAAAAAGTTTTAAAAAGCAGCCATACGTTAAAAGTACAATAAACTGTTTGCCCAGTGAAGTGCATTTCTTGGTCTCTGGAAAGCTCAGAAGAAACTCCCCAAGAAGAAATTGTACAAGACTTAATATGGTCAGATTAAAGATGCAGTTGTCAAAGAAATTTGGTCATTTTCTTTTTTATTTTACACAGTTTACTCAAAAGGTGAACCCCAGGTCTTTTATTATTGCTTAAAAATACTTCACAAAAATTCTGTTTAAAAAAAGAAAACTGAATTGTATCCCATGTTTGATACAATTGATTGTATGATTAAAATTAAAGCTAATTTCAATAAAATCTCATAAACAGATCAGTGTAATCTCAGTCAGCTTTGACCGCTCATAATAAGATTTTTTTTTTTTTTTTGAGATGAAATTTTGCTCTTGTCGCCCAGGCTGGAGTGCAGTGGTGTGATGACGGCTCACTGTAACCTCCACCTCCTGGGTTCAAGAGATTCTCCTGCCTCAACCTCCCAAGTAGCTTGGATTACAGGTGCCCGCCACCACTCCCAGCTAATTTTTGTAGTTTTAGTAGAGATGGGGTTTCACCAAGTTGGCCAGACTGGTCTCAAAGTCCTGACCTCAGCTGATCCACCTGCCTCGGCCTCCCAAAGTGCCGGGATTATAGGCATGAGCCACCATGCCTGGCCCATAATAAGATTTTTTATAAAACTTTGGTTTTTCTATTTGTTAGTTTTTGGAGACAGAGTCTCACTGTGTCCCCCAGGCTGAAAGTGCAGTGGTGTGATCATGGCTCACTGCAGCCTCAACCCCACCAGGGGTTCTCCTACTTTAGCCTCCCCAGTAGCTGGGAATATAGACATTCAACACGATGCCCAGCTAGTATCTAAATTTTTTTTGTAGAGATGTGGTCTCCCTATGTTGCCCAGCCTGGTCTCAGACTCCTGAGCTCAAGCAGTTCTTCCTCCTCAGCCTCCCAAAGTGTTGGAATTACAGACTTGAGCCACCATGCTCCTCTATAAATCGTTTATAAACTCTTATAATTTTTTTCTATTCTTTTTCTTTCTTCAATTTCTATACCCATTTAATTGTTCTATCTCATTTTTTTCTTTTTTCAATTTAAGAAAACATTTAAATAATTTCTACATTAAGCAAAATTACTGTTTCTTTAAGAAAAACCACAATCCTCATGTCTTTTTCAATATGATCTTTTTTCCAACAGACATATCTTATTTTCTTTATACACACTGTATATAGAATTGTTCTTTATTTCTAGTTTCAATCACCATGTTAGTAAGAATTTTAAATCCTAATGATGTTCATTCATAGTATAAAAACCTAAGAAGTAAGAAAGTTTAACTCCTTCTATAATCCCAGCACTTTGGGAGGCCGAAGTGGGCGAATCACGAGATCAGGAGTTGGAGACCAGTCTGGCCAACATGGTGAAACCCCGTCTCTACTAAAAATACAAAAAATTAGCTTGGTGTGGTGGCGGGCGCCTGTAATCCCAGCAATTTGGGAGGCTGAGGCAGGAGAATCGCTTGAACCTGGGAGGTGGAGGTTGCAGTGAGCCGAGATTGTGCCACTGCACTCTAGCCCAGGCGACAGTGAGAGACTCTGTCCCCCCAAAAAAAGAATTTATAAATACACATTTTATAATATTTAGAAACATAATTCTAGTTGGACAGTTTTTCAGTTTGGAACAAAACATATTTACTAATATCTAGATAGCTTTTGTTTCTCTGAAATAAAAAGCCAAAAGTATATGATTATATTTAGTAATTAATGTCAGTAGTGTTAGCTAATGTCAGTAATGTTAGCTAATTTCATATTACTGTATGTTAGGCAAGTATTATAAGAGGCAATAGCTTTACAGTGAAATACACGCATATTTTGCTGGTAAGTCAGAAGCTAATTGTTTTTATTAATGCAACAATATTAAACTAATTACATTTACCAAATAATTTGCTCAAGTAGTGTGAACTTGAAAAATATTTGGACTTATTTATTTAATTTACAAACCCTTGTTTATCTTTAAGTTAATTTGGTACCATATGGATACTATACAAACAGAGGTATAAACATATGCATATATGTAGATACAGTACATAACTTATGTGTGTACACATGGATGCATTTAAAATTCAAAGAGATTGAGGAGTTCAATTAAAAATATACTAGAGCTTACACCTAAGAGGAACCTTTCCACCTGCACAAGCCTTGGAGCTCTGTGAGAAAAAATAAAAGTACTCTGCCAAAACAGAGTCCCTTATGTCCTTTCTGTCTTCTTCAAAGGGTCCCTGGGCCTCTAGAAATTTCCTTTAGGGCCCCTTATATGGTGTCAAAAGTGGCAAAAGGAAGGACTGACAGAACATAGTAAATGAAAAAACTAATTCTAGAGCAGCCAGTTTGAAAATATCTTCTTTATCAAAAAGCCAATAATGTTTTAGATTATCCTTGGCAAAAAATATGTCAACAAGAGGATAAATGAGGAGTTCATATAGATAGCAGGAGTTTAAGAAGTGGTAAATTTAGTTGACTGAGAAGCTTTTATGGAGAGAACAGAGACCTCAAATAAATGTATGTGTCCATATATAGTCTAAATATCAGTTTCAATTAAGTAAACTTTTGACTATAGGGTTCTTAAAATATTTTTGCCGGGTTTTAGCTGCATAAATAGCAAACATTTCTGTTTCTTGGCTATTTTATTCTGAAATTTACACTACTAATAAATAAGTTTTGGAGGTGGGGCATATTTCTTTACTAGAGGTGTAGGATAGTCGTTATTTAAAACTGTTTGCCTTTGAATTTTTTTTTTTTTTTTTTTTTTTTTGAGACAGAGTCTCGCTGTCACCCAGGCTGGAGTGCCGTGGCACAGTCTCGGCTCACTGCAAGCTCCGCCTCCCGGGTTCATGCCATTCTCCTGCCTCAGCCTCCTGAGTAGAAGGGACTACAGGTGCCCGCCAATATGCCCGGCTAATTTTTTGTATTTTAGTAAAGACAGGGTTTCACCGTGTTAGCCAGGATGGTCTCGATCTCCTGACCTCGTGATCCGCCCGCCTCAGCCTCCCAAAGTGCTGGGACTACAGGTGTGAGCCACTGCGCCTGGCCCGAAATGTTTTAATTATTTTCTCTTTGGATATATATCTTATTTAGCTTAGGAGAGAAGTCTATACAAACAATTTTTTTAATCACATTCTTAACATATATCAAAATTTTAAATCAAAGGGATACCTTAATAAATGTCTCAGAACTACACAAATAAACACACGTGAGACCACAACCAAGAAGTCCTTTATAGCTGTAATTAAGGTCTCCAAAAAAGAAGCAAAAGCTATAGCCCTTCTAAGATCCACATCTCTCTGATTGACAGCTTAAAGAACATTCGGCTAGCTGCAAATGGGGTACAACCCACATCTGTAGGCCATATATTTTAGGGTCCCGGCTTCTCAGCTGACCATCTACACACAAAGGCTAAATGGAATATTAAAAGATACAGTTGGTAAAACAAGAAAATAAAAGCTGTTCATTGGTATGGAAAAGCTTACAAATGTAATAAACCTGACTTGGAAGTTAAAATAATTAATGTAGAGTAGTTAACTGAGATAACAGTCATGATAAGATTATGCCAATAATTGAACTGGATGAATTAATAGTTTAGTAGGATCATCAACATCTTAATCCTACAGCAAATAAAATTTACATCTTTCTATTTACTCTTTGCATAACTACTCACTTGCCCTCCATTACTTAATTACTAAAACCTAATTCTCAGCGAGGCTTTCCTGGGACCACCTAAGCTTCAGTCCTTAACCACACTTGCATCAGCCTTCCCTCTTCTCCTTATCTTGCCTGGTGCAAACCACAGTGGTGCTCTGCTTGTCTGTTTCTTTGTATGTGTTTGCATTAAGACAGCTGCCTTCATGTCAATTCTAACCAGTTACAGCTATGAGATTTTTTTCACAGCATATAAAATGGTTATTTTCTCATTTAAAATCTTGCACATGTTGACCACAGTATCGTCACTCTTTTGAACTAAATGTTTCTAAAAATACCTTAGATATAAAACTTTAGAACACAGCCAAGAAGTAAAATTTTTTGCAACAGAAATATTAAACTATAATGGTATTTTGAGTATAAAATCTTTAGATAATGTTTTAAAGAGTCATTGCTTTCAAAGTATATTTGAAAAATAAAATTTTTTAAAAATTAGCTTAAGCAATAGATCTTTTTTGGAGACAGAGTTTCACTCTGTCTGGCTGGCTGCCTGGCTGGGTGCAATGGTACAGTCTCAGCTCACTGCCACCTCCACCTCCCAGACTCAATCCATCCTCCCGCACTCAAGCAATACTCTCACCTCAGCCTTCCAAGTAGCTGGGGCCACAGGTACACACCATCACACCCAACTAACATTTGTATTTTTTCTAGAGATGGGGTTTCACCATGTTGCCCAGACTAATCTCAAATTCCTGGGTTCAAGCAGTCCACCCACCTCAGCCTCTTAAAGTGCTGGGATTACAGGCATGAGCCACCACACCTGGCCCTAGACTTTTTTTTTTTTTTTTTTGAGATGGAGTTTCACTCTTGTTGCCCAGGCTGGAGTGCAATGGCGCGATCTCAGCTCACCACAACCTCCGCCTCCCGGGTTCAAGCAATTCTCCTTCCTCAGCCTCCCAAGTAGCTGGGATTACAGGTGTGCGCCACCATGCCTGGCTAATTTTGTATTTTTAGTAGAGACGGTTTTCTCCATGTTGGTCAGGCTGGTCTCGAACTCTCGACCTCAGGTGATCCACCCACCTTGGCCTCCCAAAGTGCTGGGATTACAGGCGTTAGCCACCGTACCTGGCCAGCCCTAGACTTTTAAATGAGAAAATACAAGGACTTAAAGGGGATATATTGTAACATAATAGAAAAAACACACAGAAAGTAAGCAAAAACAACAGAATCACATTTCGATGGTGCTATAATCTAATTTGTTACTTGACATGTTTCACAACTTGCTTTGTGTATCATCACTGCATAATGGCATCTTTGTTAAGGGCTTCCATCCATTCCAACCAGATGTTATTAAACCATGCTCCCTTGTTGCATTCTTGGATAAAAACACCTTCATTCTCATGTGGAAATGATTCCTGACAGTATGCCCTGAGAAATACCCGAAAGAAAGGCAGTTAGTTTTTGTGCTCAGGCTTCTGAGATTTGGCCTAAGTGTCTCTAGTGAGATACATTAGGGGAGGTAAGAACGTGTGGTTGCCTGTGAGTCTCGACCAGTGCTTTTCAGATGGGTGTCTGGGCTGGGGGTAGACTCCGGGTGTCTCATGGAAGGGAGGCTCTGTTCTCCTGCACAGAGGCTGTCACACTGAGAATTGTCCTATGATTCTGTTTCTCTCCCAGGGTCAGTGGAGACTGAGAACCATCAACTTAATATAATCAAAAAGTCAGAATCTTGTTTAGAGTTTAGGTATGGCAAAATTTAGGGTGGCCACAGGGGAGCACAGATTACAGTTTCCCTGAATACACACTCCTATTAGTGTGACAGGCCAATTTTTTTCTAGCAGTCACACAGACAGGCCTCCATAGCACTCAAGTTATACAGGCAAACTTTCACAGCATCTGCCTTAACATTAAGTTAGTACTTAACCCTAGAAACATCAATCCCTGGACACCAAAGCCAGAAATGAAATATATGTTTGGTAAGAGTCTTGCGCAAGTTTCTCCTAAAACCTGGGGCAAGTCAAGATAATGAAGATAGCCCCACATTCCTTGTACCAGGACCCATCTTGGGTCAAATAAATTTATTGGGCATCTGAGGCAACTCTCCAGACCCAAACCATAGGTAATATAAGATAGAACTAATCACTCCTCTACCAGGGCCCTCACAGATTAAGTAGAGCAAAAATAGGGGACATTTCTTAATCACCCTAGTACCAGGGCCCTCGTAGATTAAGTAGATTTAGGGTACATTTCTGGTCTCTGAGCTTTTAGTTAAAATTATTTACCTGTAGACATAGGTCAGTATGATACTGCACATAAGCATACAGTTTGAAACATATATAAGCAATGGAAAAATGTTTGTTAGTCTTGAGTTGGTCTGGGGAATTATCTTTGACCTCCTCCCTGTACTTGTTTACAGAAATAAACTCTCTTCTTTCCCAGTTTGTCTGCATCTTGTTATTGGGCCACAAGAACACACAGCCAGACCCAGTTTGGTCCAGGAACAACATCTGGCAAGCTAGCCAAGAGTCACTGAAATGGTGCTGCACTCAGTGGCCCGTGATTGTGGCGAGATGGTCATTTGGAGACTCCCAGAAGCTGCTGGATAAGATTGTCCTGGGGACTCTCCCAGGGGCTATTCCATGTGCAAAAACCACATGTCCCTCTCACCACTGGGGAAGAATGGTGATCAGGCAGGAGTGGATGCACTCAAAGGGTGAGTAAAACTGGATCATATGCAGGAAGCCTGTTATTTTCTTATCTGGGCTTATTAAGCCGTTTGGTCTGATACCGTCAGGAAAATAGTAGGGCTCATTTTTATACTCAGTTGCTATTTGGTTAGGAGTAAACCTGAAGCTGATTTCAGATCTGTTTTACCCAAGTACGCTTCCTTTTGTGTTTGTCTGAAACTGTCTCCATGTTCATGTCTGTGGTTTTGTCAGACTTAAAATGGAAAGTGCTGCTTTCCTTCCCTCAGGGAGCCCTCTGGGAAAAATGCTGTCAGATTGGAAATAGTACGAGGTTACCCCCATGACTAAGAGGAAAATGGTTTACTATTGTAATATGGTTTGGCTAATGTATGCTTTAGGATCCAAAAAATGGTGGCCAATTTTGGGGTCTTTAAGCTATTATATCTTTCAGTTACAGCTGTTTTGTCAATGTTTGAGGAAATGGGAGGAAGCGTTTAAAAATTCCCCTACATTCAGGCACTTATGTTGCTACATAACCAAGAGGTTAAAGGGAGTGAGTTAATGTTGCATTACCCAGACAAAGTGTCACCTGACCCTGAGGGAGAGGAAGAAAGAAAAAGAGCTAGAGTCAGCAATTGCTATACATGCCTAATCCAGTAAAAGCTAGTGTCCCACCACCTAGTCAAGAGAGTGAAGAGTCACCACCCCCAAAGTTCAAAGAGGCTACAGACACAGTCTCTCCCTCCTGAACTGGGCAAGGCACTAATTTTGGCTGAGGAGCTACCAAGCCTGGGGCAGGACAATTTCCCTTCTGACAATATCCCACGGGAGTTAATCAGCAAGAGCCTCTGGCTGGATATTACTGAGCATGAAGCCCTTTTCCCACATCTGATTTACTGAATTGGAAAAGTTCCAGTCCTTCCTACAGGGAAGAACCCCAGAAGATGACTGAACAGTTACCACTATTTTTGCCACCCATTGCCCTACCTGGGCTGATGTGCAAGCCCTCCTAAATATTATGCTTACTGCAGATGAGAGAAGGCTAGTATTAGACAAAGGAGAAAAAAAAGCACTTTCATGATGAAAGCCCTGATGATACCCTAGACCCTGATGAGCTGATTCCATGCAGTGACCCAAATTTGGACCCAAATGAGGCCATTGTAGCTGGAGATAATTGTCTGTAGCATTGTAAAAGGTGTATTCTAAAGGACATTAGGTAGGGGTGCTGAGACCTAAAAGTCTGAACAAAGTGCAGGAACTTCAGCAGAAACCTAATGAGGACCCCTCAGAATTTATGGAACAGATCTGTCAAATGTATAGAAAGTATACAGACTTAGATCCACAGGACCCCAAAAATGTCAGAATGGTAAACATGACTCTTACAAGGCAAAGTGCCCCCAGACATCAGAAAGAAGTTCCAAATGTGGAAGGGGCTATGGGAATGAATGCTTCTCAGTTAATTGACATTGCATTCAATGTCTACAATAGCAGGGAATCCAAGGAAACTAAGGCTCTATGGCAGGCAGCAATACTTAGAGCCACTGTGGTAGGAAACCCGAAGAAAAAGGGACCCCTGAGGCAGAAGGAAAATATAGGAAAGGATCAATGCACTTACTGTCAGGAGACAGGGCATTGAAAGAAAGACTGCCCCAAGTTGATTAAGAAGGAGCTTAGGTCACTTATGGCTGTTAAGCCTGAAAACGAATCCAAAGAGGACTGAGGGGCCCAAGACTCCTGATGGCTCCAACCCTGTCTGACGTTAAGATTTTCCCTCAGGAGCCTTGGGTAAATTCGACAGTGGGGAAATGAAAATTGGACTTCTAAATCCATATGGGTGCTGCTTACTCGTCAATTAATATCCCAATTACTGAACCTTTTTTGAGACTGAGTTGCTCTATCGCCCAGGCTGGAGTGCAGTGGCATGATCTCAGCTCACTGCAACCTCTGCCTCCTGGGTTCAAGCAATTCTGCCTCAGCCTCCCAAGTAGGTGGGAATACAGGCATGCCTCACCATGCCCAACTAATTTTTGTATTTTTAGTAGAGACAGGGTTTCACCATGTTGGCCAGTCTGGTCTCGAACTCCTGACCTCAAGTGATCTGCCCATCTTGGCCTCCCAAAGTGCTGGGATTACAGGCGTGAGCCACAACACCCGGCCTTACTGAACTTTTTGACACCTCTGTCAATATAGTTGGGGTGAGCGGAAAGCTGAAATCAGAATAGTTCTTTCACCCTCTATCCTGGAAGGTGGGAAATGGCTTAATAACTCATTGGTTTCTTTTTTCCTTTTGTTTTTTGAGACAGGGTCTTGCTCTGTCACCCAGGCTGAAGTGCAGTGGTGCGATCTTGGCTCACTGCATCCTCCATCTCCCAGGTTCAAGCAATTCTCTGCCTGAGCCTCCCGAGTAGCTGGGATTACAGGCACCTGCCACCGCGCCCAGCTAATTTTTTTGTATTTTTAGTAGAGGCAGGGTTTCACCATCTTGGCCAGGCTGGTCTTGAACTCCTGACCTCGTGATCCACCCGCCTCGGCCTCCCAAAGTGCTGGGATTACTGGTGTGAGCCAAGGTGCCCGGCCTCATCAGTTTCCATATGTGCTGGACTGCTCGATGTCTCTGCTTGGTAGAGACCTCTTATGTAAGTTACAGGCATGAGTTGTCTTTGACCCAGAGATGCGCCAGATGTGCCTCCAGGTACCCTCAGAACACAGATTGTGGCGACAGGCCCTCCTGATGAAATCGGAGACTTCACACCTTAAGGTAGAGATGATTCCACAGGAAGTCCTCAACAAGGTAAAGCCGAAGTATCAGCATCCAACCAACCAAGGCGGACAATTAATGTGAATCCAGTAGAAATCAAGCTGAAGGAAGGGACCCAACCTGTTCGAAAGGAACAATACGCCTTAAAGAAAGAGGCCCTAGAAGGCATCCAGCTGGTACATTCTGATTCTTGTGGCATGTCTTAATAAGACTTTGTCAGTCTCCATAGAACATGCCCATTCTTCCAGTAAAGAAATCTCATCCATGCAAGTACAAATTCATGCAAGATATAAGGGTGATCAGTGATACTGTAGAAGACACCCACCCCACTGGGGCCAATCAATACACTATTTTTATCTTCCTGTCCAGAGACCATGAATGGTTTAGAGTATTAGATTTGAAGGATGCTTTCTTTTGCATACCAGCGAATGCAGAAAGCCAATTATTGTTTGAGTGGACAGACCCTGAAACAGCCACACAATTTCAATATTGTTGGACAGTGCTTCCTCAAGGGTTTAAAAATTCCCCAACTGTATTTGGGGAAGCACTGGCTCAGAACTTAAGAGACTTACAATTGGAAAATGGGGTACTGCTACGGTATGCGGATGATTTGCTAATCTCCAGCTCCTTGAAGCAAGAATGTCAGGATAACACTGTAAAAACTAAACCATTTGGCAGCCTGTGGGTACAAGGTCTTAAGCAAAAGGGCACAGGGGTACAGATATGCAAACAAACTATGGGATACCTAAGATTTCTGTTACAGAGAAACCAGAGCCCTGACGGTGGAGAGGCAAAATGCAGTTGCCTCTATCATGACACCCACAACCAGAAAGCAGCTAAGGGGCTTCCTGGGAAGGGCAGGGTTCTGCAGAATCTGGATTTCCAATTATGGCTGAAGGTAAAGCTGCTATATGAAGTGATAAAAGGGGCCAACCACAACCCCTTTAAATGAGAGCTGTAACACCAGAATGCGTTTAAACAATTAAAGCTTAAGATGACATCTACCCCATCTCTGAGGCTGCCAAATCCTCATAAACCCTTGCAACTTTACGTGCATGAAAGACTGGGTCTGGCACTCGGGATCCTAACACAAAAACTAAAAGAAATATTGCAACCAGTGGCTTATTTCTCAAAAGGATTGATACAGTGGCAATGGGCTGGCCCCCTTGTCTCAAAGCAGTAGCTGCCGCCTGCTTGTTGCTCAAGGGAGCTGAGAAGCTGACTTTGGGTCAGCCCATCGTGATTTATGTGCCCCATCAAGCCTGGTGTTATTTGAGCAGAAGGGTGGCTACTGGCTGACGGTTGTCAGATTAGGCTGATATCGGGCCATCCTGCTTGATAATCCCGCAGTAAAACTGCAGACCACTGGAGCCTCAAACCCTGCCATTTTGCTGCCACCTACTGGGGAACAAAGGAACTAGTACACAACTGCCTAGAGGTTATAATCAAGTATTTTCTGGTCTCCCAGATCTAAAGGATGCAGCCCTCCCCTATGTAGACTGGTTGCTGTTCATGGATGGAAGCAGCTTAGTCACCAACAAAGGAGAAATGCTGCCTATGCTGTAGTAACTCTCTTGGAGGTAATAGAGGCAAGAACACTCCCGACAGGGACTTCTGCGGAAAAGGCTGAGTTAGTCGCTTTTACCAGAGCCTTGCAACTGTCCCAAGGTGAGAGCACCAATATCTACACTGATTCCAAATATTCCTTCATGATAGTTCATGCACACAGAGCTATTTGGAAGGAAAGGGGACTGCTAAAAGCTGATAATACTGAAATTTAATATGCTAAGCAAGTGTTGGAGCTGTTGGAAGCAGTAACAGCGTCAAGAAAAATAGCTGCTATGCATTGTCCAGGCCATAAGAGCAGCGATTTCAAACCAGCTAGGGGGAACACCTTCACCTACTGCACAGCCAGGCATCTAGCCAGCACCAGTGCCAAGGTCCAGGCACCTTTGATTTCCCAAGTAGATTTGGCAGCTTTCAAACCCCAGTGTAGTTTGAGGATGAAAAGATTGCCAAGGACAAAGGGTTTATTTAAGACAAGAAAGGCTGGAAAGTAAATAACAAGGGCCTGGTTTGGGTGCCAGCACACCTTCCTTCAACCCAATGCTAAAATATATTCATGATAGCATGCATTTTGGATGAGATGCCTCGTTAACTTTTGTGCAAAAATATAGGAAGGAAAAGGCTCACTTAAGAAGTATAATACAACATTGCTACCTTTGCGCTGAAAATGAGACCAATAACTATAGCAAAGGACAACCCAGACAACAGGCGAGAGGGAAGCATCTACTAGAAAATTGGCAGATTGACTTTGCTCAAATGCCACTTGCCCCTGGAAGGTACAAATACCTCTTAGTTGTAGTGGACACTCTCAGGCTGGGTGGAAGCCTACCCATATCATACCGAGTGGCCAACAGAGGTAGTTAAAGTGCAGCTAAAGAACATCATACCCCGATATGGGCTCCCTGACATTATCCATAGTGACAATGGGCCTTCATTTACCTCGGAAATAACCCAACAAGTAAGCAAAACAGTAGGAATAAAATGGAAGCTGCACTCGGCATGGAAGCCTCAATCCTCTGGACAGACTGAAAGAATGCATCATACTTTAAAGACAATTCTTGCTAAGCTATGTCAGGAAGCTCAGTTAAAATGGATTCAGGTACTTGGGATTGCACTACTCTGGGTAAGAATGGCCCCCAGAAATGGGATTAAGTTAAGTTCTTATGAAATTATTTTCGGGACGCCCTTTGTAGCCTTGTCCTGGGTTGCTAGAGTGTCACTGGATACAGAATTAGCTATTAAAACTTATGTCACTCAGGACGAACTCTTAATGATTTGCATAAGTTTGCTTCTTAGAGGAATGACACAGATTTTGCAGGAGACCGCCACCCATTTCAGCCTGGTGATCAAGTGCTGCTGAAGGAATGGAGGGAAGCTGATCCTGCCCAACAACTACAGGAAAAATGGAAAGGGCCCTACGATGTGCTGTTGACTACTGACTTGGCACTGAAGCTGACAGGCATCAAACCCTGGGTTCATCATATGTGAGTGAAGAAATTCCAGTCACCTGGGGTATCCACAATGGAAACACCTGCAACCACTCAATGGGAAGTGGAGCCCCTAGAGGACTTAAAGTTTCTATTCAGAAAATGATACAGATTTCTTTTATGCTGTGCTTCCTTTTATACCTCTTACTGTTTCGTTACACACTTGTAACCTCTGTCTACAATGGGCGCAGGACTATGCAGACAGCCTCCAGCAGGATTCCTGCTGGGTCTGTGGCCTGTTACTGCTTTCTAGTACCACAGGTCTGCCTTGGTGGGTCTCACCTGTGCAAGGAAAAGATTGGGTGTACCTACAAACTTTTCCAGGAAATTCGAAAACTGGATTGGGTTGCAAATGACTGGGATAACTAAAGCAAATGTGTCAGAATGGCCCATAAATGAGACTTTAAGTGACCCAGGACACAAAAAGCCATTCTCTTTAATAGAACAAGGGACAAAGTTATAGCATTAGCTACTCCTTTATTAGATTCAAAAGTGCCCATCCAAACCTTCAAGCCCCAAAATGTTTGATACAAGAATGGCTTTCTTCAAATCTGGGATGGGTGCATTTGGTTAACTGCTTCTACTGGACATTTAAGGCAAATAGCTTCCTTGTTCTGGGAGCAATGAAAACATTTCCTTGACCATTGGCCTAATGCAACTCAGATTATAGGATGGATTCCTTCTCAGTGGTACCAATATATTATAGTACTCCAGCAGAGGGATGTGTTCACCATAGATTGGTCTTAATGGCCTGGCCTAAATTGGTATCCTCCCAACAGGACTTTGCAGCACCAACCTGTGGCCGCGGCTTCCCTTGGGCTGGTAGGGATGTTGCACTCTAGGCTTCCCATAGGCATAAGGTTGTTAGGTAAAAACCATACAAAATCTGCCCAATCTTCCACATATGATTAACAGATGGACCAGGTCAGTCTTTCACTGGTACAACCATCAATCTGCAATATTCATGCTCTTAATAGGATTAGAAAATGTTATATGGCACATAGAGGCATTAGCCAACTTTACTCAGTGGGCTCTAAGTGACAGCTTCCAAAGCATCTCTCTTATAAATACTGAAATGTATCATATGTGAAAGGCTATTTTGCAAAATCGAATGGGCTTAGACATTCTTACTGCAGCCCAAGGGGGATCTCATGCCCTCATCAAAACTGAATGCTGTGTGTATATTCCGAATAATTCTAGGAACATCTTTCTAGTACTAAAGGGTATACGTTAGCAAATTATAGCCATTTCCAGCCCAGTTATCACGAAATGATTGTCTCGCATCATGGCTCAGCACAGAATCTTCTTGCTGGCAGGAAGTCCTGGCATTCTTTGCTATTTTCCTAGGCTTAAGTATATCTCTGTGCTGTGTAATGTATTGCTGCTATGCGCTGTGTGCTGTTTCACAACATTCCCAAAACTCATGCCATTATGTTTCAGCAGGTGCTGCTGCTAAAAGCCTGAGGCCAATAGTATTTCCAAGAGCAAATGAACCTCTGCCACTCCAATCCCATGTTCACTGCCCCCTAACAGTGACCCCCCTCAGCAGGAAGTAGCCAGAATGATCATGACGTCCCACATCCCTGCAGTCCCTCCAGCTTAGGCATGATAGAAATCATGCGCAAATTGACAGTGGGGATTGTGGCAGGCCAATTCTTCCTAACAGTCACACAGACAGGCCTCCATAGCACTCCAGTTATACATTCAAACTACCACAGCATCTGCCTTAACATTAAGGTAGCAGTTAAACCTGGGGAAATTGATGCCCCAACAGCAAAGCCAGAAATGAAACATATGTTTGGTAAGAATCTTGCCCAGGCTTCTGAAACTTGAGGCAAGTCAAGATAATAAAGAAAGAAAGCCCTACATTCCTCGTACCAAGACCCATCTTGGGTCAGATAAATTTACTGGGGGTCTGAAGCAACTCTCCAGACCCAAACCATAGGTAAGACAGGATGGAAGTAATCACACTGGTACCGGGGCCCTCACAAATTAAGTAGATTTAGGGGACATTTATGGGCTCTGATCTTTTAGTTAAAACAAAATTAATCCCCCATAAACTTAGGCGAGTATAATATTACACGTAGGCATATAGTTTGAAATATATATAAGCACTGGAAGAACTTTAGAATCTTGAGTTGGTCTGGTGAATTATCTCTGACTTTCTCCCTGTACCCAGTTACAGAAAAAAACTCTCTTCTTTTCCAGTTTGCCTGCATCTTGTTATTGGGTTGCAAGAACATGCAGCTGGACACAGTTCTATCTGGGAACATTAGCCAAAGTTACATATGGCTTTGCAAAGGGAAATAGCAAAAATAGTTTATAAGTTGTTTTCTAAGCATTACATTAAAATAACATAAGCAGCCAGGCGTGGTGGCTCATGCCTGTAATCCCAGCACTTTGGGAGGCCAAGGCGGCCGGATCACCTGAGGTCAGGAGTTCGAGACCAGCCAGGCCAACATGGTGAAACCCCATCTCTACTGAAAATACAAAAATTACCCGGGCGTGGTGGCAGGCACCTGTAATCCCAGCTACTCGGGAGGCTGAGGCAGGAGCATCGCTTGAACCCGGGAGGCAGAGGTTGCAGTCAGCTGAGATCACGCCATTGCACTCCAACCTGGGGGACAAGAGTGAGACTTAGTCTCAAAAAAAAAAATTACAAAAAATAAAATAACATAAGCTACTGGCTAAGCGCAATGGCTCACGCCTGTAATTCCAGCACTTTGGGAGGCCTAGATGGGTGGATCACTTGAGGTCAGGAGTTCAAGACCAGCCTGAGCAACATGGTGAAACCCCGTATCTACTAAAAAATACAAAAATTAGCTGAGCAAGGTGGCAGGCGCCTGTAATCCCATCTACTCGGGAGACTGAGGCTGGAGAATCTCTTGAACCCAGGAGGCAGAGGTTGTAGTGAGCCGAGATTGCACTACTGCACTCCAGCCTGGGTGACAGAGCGAGACTCCGTCTCAAAAAACTAAAAATAAATAAATAAATAAAATAACATAAACTATTGATTGGCCGTGCATTGCACTTTGTGTCACCAATTTCAGGAACACGAAGATGAGTGAGATACTAGTTGGGAAGAAAATATCTAAACAATTGCTTCCAGGCATGGGTGGGGTGGGATGACTTAAGTTTCATATTCATGTCTCTCTGAGTGTGATTGATTTTGCATATGTCACATAGACAGCTCTGAGCTATTTCTCTTGTCTCACAACACAGAATAAATCAATTCTGAGGACAGACCCCTCTTTTCTCCCAGCTGCCACCATGTTATTTTCACCCACTCACGCACATGTGCTCTAGCTCTAGGTAACGACAGGGCCCTGCTTCTCCCAGGACAAACGTACAAACTCAGGAATTGCACCCACAGTGCTTTTGCTCTGTGGGAACCTAGAGGTTTCCACCAAAAACCCAAACATATGCCTAGAGAACTCCTGGAATATCCTTGCCCCAACACCCTGAATCAGTGGCAGTAATGTGGTCCCTTTATGCACCTAGGCTTCTGGACCACTTGATTATACTCTCATCCTTATGGAAACAGAAATAAGTCAGAGCATAATCCTGCCTAGGCCAGTATTTGTAGCACAAACCAGTCCTTCCAGCAACTCTTCATTGTCCCTCACACGTCTGTCCTAAATAGCATTTTTTTCTCTTCTGACATTTTATTTTCCACAGACTTTATTTCAAGTGCATACAGTGTGGCCGAGGCTACCCCTCAGGTGCCTGAGTCCAGACTTACTGGAATTCAAATACCCATGAGTTTAAGACCAACTTCCCTGGACTTGGCTGTTGAAAGCATAAGTACAAATTAGAAATATAAGACTTAATTTTCCAACTTGAAAGTAAGAGTAGAAAATTTGCTCTCCTTCCTTAAAGCATTTAATTCAGAAAACTTTTATATTTAATTTTTTCTCTGCCTCTTTGACATATGTGTTAATATTTTTAATGGCTGAACAGTCCTTTTGTTATTTTTTTCTAGGAAAAGTCTTTCTCTAGGACCTGGAAATGATTGCTCGGAAATGTAAACAGCAAAAAAGTTAGAGCCCTATCGCACAGCTTGCTCCAAGTTTCAAAATTACCTTCTGTCCCTCCTGGACTTGGGACCATTATTTTTCCTTCAGATATGCCAGTCAGCAACCACAGATGGCCTCCCCAATTACCAGGTGAATTTAGGATAAACTGTATATGACACATGGTGCTGTGAAGTGTCCTACTTGAGGACTAATTATGTCTTTCAGTCTGTTATGAGGTTACCTGTAATTTAAATCAGATTCTGGTCTAACTGTGTAATAATAATTTGCTTTCTATTCTACTTTGGCGAGTGTTTGGGGGAGTTGGAGACAATTAAGTTTTCAGTTACATTTTATGAACACTGTCCAGAATTGCCAGACACACTATAAACATATGAGGTGCCCACCAGGCTTCACACTAGAGGGGTCCTTTCCACTCAGTAACTCACAGTTGTGCAGCAACATGCATGCTGCCCCCAAAATCTGCAGGTAGAGTGGTGTCTCTGCCTATTTGGGATCCACAGTCATGTCAGAGCAGTTAGAGCAGGTTTCCACATAAATAACTTCAGAGGACAGCAGTCAGCCAGTCTACCTCTTTTTATGCCCTTGGCATTCTTTATACCTGAAACTGGTTCAGAGACCATGGGGCCTCGAAACCCATCCAGGCTCACACATGTGCAATAAGTAGCTTTGAGAATCTTAATTCCCCTCATTTTCCTTCTGCCATAATGCTTAGGGAGGCACAGAGTTCACCGCTGCATCCTCACCCTGCTAAGACCCAAATTGGCATCTTCAAATTCTGTATATAGGTCCTAAAAAATGTAAGTTTCATCTGAGAAATGCAAGTAACTTTAATTATCAGGCCCATAGAGACATTAAAAGGAGATTATAATCATGTCCTGCTCCCCTCTTTGAGCTACGTATTTATTTATATATTTATATATTTATTTATTTATTTTTTTGAGATGGAGTCTCACTCTGTTGCCCAGGCTGCAGTGCAGTGGTGTGATCTTGGCTCACTGCAACTTCCGCCTCCTGGGTTCAAGTGATTTTCCTGTCTCAGCCTCCTGAGTAGTTGGGATTACAGGTGCGTGCCACCACGCCTGACTAATTTTTGTATTTTTAATAGAGACGGGGTTTCACCATGTTGGCCAGGCTGGTCTCAAACTGCTGACCTCAGGTGATCTGCCCACCTCAGTCTCCCAAAGTGCTGGGATTACAGGTGTGAGCCACTGCACCTGACCTATGTATTCATATCTTGAAACTGCTTGCTTTTGCTACAAATGACTATACATTAACTAATAATACCACACCTGAAATCGTAGCCTACACCCTATGTAAGCCAATCACTAATCAATATTATTTCTGTAAATCAATAAGATGTCCTGACAAATAACTTTGTGACAGCCCATGTCCCGTCCTCAATTTTTGCGTTTAAAAATCCACTTGTAACTGCTGCTAGTCAAAGTGCATATTCAGGGAAACTTGAATCTATGCTCCCAGGTTGCAATCCTCAAACTTGGCCCAAATAAACTCTCTACTTGTATTACTTTTGCCTCATCTTCTTCCTTAGAATGTGTTACAGGAGTCTCCATGAGGGAATCTCTCCTCTGCTTTTACTCCACTTGCTGTAACCCCCCAAAATGCAGAGACAGGTGGATCCCATCTAAAATCTGCACACCTGGAATTTACAAGATAGGGTCAGATTTTGGATTGAGGATGTACAGAAAACCCATGGGGCACATTTGTTTCATCATGAGAGAACAACGTAGAAATCTTAGTGCTCTTCTTTCAGGGTGAGGTCCTTCAAATTTTCCAGATAATGTTTAGTGACTTGCTATAGTTGTGTGATATGTTCCTGGTGTAAACAGAATCTGGTAGCAGAATCTGTAAGTTAAACAAGCACCTTAGCAGAAGGATGTTAGGGCCACACAATATCCAGAGCTATGACCACAATTAACCCACCTGTAAACTGTGTTTCTGTAGTAGAGTATTCTTGTTCTTTTTCTTACCCAAGAGTGAGCTGATCACAAACAAGTGATATCACACCTGGATCCAGGGTCTGCAGCTCCACCAGGGCAGGTTTATTCTTTATTCCGATCATGCAGAGTTAGCTTGAGTCTCTCCTGCCTGGATAACCACGGGGGCTTCAGTCCAGGCTCACTGGGGACCTTCTCACCAGCACCTGGGAGTCTTTGAGACATTTGGGGATGTGCTGTGCAGATTGGCACAGCTGTGTCAGGCTGACAGCAGGGTCTAATTCTGTTCCCATTTCAGAGGAAGGGGAATGAATCATCCAGGATTTTTTCCTCCCCTCACAGAAGGAATCTCCTTGGTTGGTACCCAGATGGGTGTTTCTCCAGTTTTCTGGGTAATGAACGAGGAGCTCTGGAGACAGATCGATAAATCAATTGCTTCCATTAAAAATGAGCATTAGAAAAAACAGATAAGGCAGTCGCTATCTCTACAATCCTGGCAGTTTCAGCCTAGAGCACATGGATAAATGGTTGAATTCAGAATTATGGGGTCAGTACAAAGAAGGGAGGTGTACAGGAACTTGGGCTTCCTTTGGGGCCAATTCCCTTACATTGTTCAGAGTTGTTATGTCACCAGCTGAAGGGCTATTGATGCACAGAACGGTTGTTATTGTTATCATTATTTCTATTGCTTTTACCTTGCTAAGAATACATGTTTAGCTTATAATTGTGCTAGAAAACCATAGGGGTTTTTGGTTAAATTAACATGTATGTATGTTATTATATGTTATAAAACAGACAGAAAATTGGCCAAAATAGATGACAATTCTACAAACTTCAAGTCAAGTTTCCCTTGGACAGACTTAGAAAAGACAGACCTGGAAATACCCCAGCAGCATAGAGATGAGAATCCTGTGGCCCCCTCGTTACTCTAGGGCTGCTTAACTCCATCCTCTTCTGAGGCCTCATCCAGGTCTTGCCTCACCCTGGAATCTCCCCTTACAGACTGATTAAAGGAGATCAGAGTTTTGAGTGGCGGCTTCTGCTGCCTCTCTAGAGCTGCTGCTCACAATTTCCTGAAAGCTAAAAGCAGATAAATGAAAGAGAACTCTCTCTCTTTTTTTTTTTTTTAAATTAAAACAAGTATTTCTAGAGACATATGCCACCTAGCAACCCGTTCTCTATTCCTGGAGATCCAGTAGTTGCCATGCAAGTCACAAAAAAGTAAATATAAATATAACAATTCCTCTAAATTAAGCTTAACCATTCTTTTCTGTATCTCTCCTACTTGTCTAGTTAAAATTTTATTATATACATTTTCTTTTTAAAATCAGTGTTAGGGCCAGGTGTGGTGGCTCACGCCTGTAATCCCAGCACTTTGGGAGGTGGAGGCGGGTGGATCACGTGAGGTTAGGAGTTCGAGACCAGCCTGGCCAACATGGTGAAACCCCGTCTCTACTAAAAATACAAAAATCTGCCAGGTGTGGTGGCATGCGCCTGTAATCCCAGCTACTCAGGAGGCTGAGGCAGGAGAATCACCTGAACCGAGGAGGTGGAGGTTGCAGTGAGCCAAGATTGTGCCACTGCGCTCCAGCCTGGGTGACAGAGAGAGACTCTGTCTCAAAAAAATAAATAAAATAAAATAAAATTAATGTTAGGAAAACAGAAGAAGAAACAGAAATGCTGGGCTTTTTATCTAAATTCTGAGAATCATGGGACACTTAGTACCCACCTCCCATGGTATTATGAGGATTCACTCACATAATGTGAGGTTCCCAGCACTGTGCTCTGTAGCATACTGTTGAGCACACAGCATATTCTCAGTAAATACTGCACTGATGCATGTACATATGTTCTTTTCCAAATGCAGACTCACTCAGACATTGCTGCCTTCTCCAGCCTCTTTAAACTTTAAAGGCCAGCAGAGAATGCTATGTTTCAGGATGGTGATTGGTGGTTTTCACTTTGGACCATAAGCATCCGTATTGTGGTAAGAGTGTTGGGTTGAGTGACTCAGTGCTGTGCCTGCTTTCTCCACCTGAGTGCTACTGATGATGGGTCTGGGGGAGCAGCATGAGCATTAACAGGGGACTTACTAAAAATAGGAAGAATAGGAAGATACAGACAAATATTTCTTATTTGTCTCACGTGTATGAGGAATCTAAAAGGTTGAACTCCTAGACGCAGGGAGTACAAAGGTGGATACCAGAGCCAAGAGGTAGGGAAAATGGAAGATGTTGTTTAAAGGGTACAAACTTTTAGTTATAAATAAGGTTCGTGAATCTAATATATAGCATCATGATTATAGTAGATAATAATGTTTTTGTATACTTGATACAATAAAGGAAACTATGTAAGATGATACATGTATTCATTAACTTCATTGAATTAATTATTTCACAACTGGCAGGGCACAGTGGCTCACGCCTGTAATCCCAGCACTTTGGGAGGCTGAGGCAGGCAGATCACCTGAGGTCAGGAGTTCGAGACCAGCCTGGCCAACATGGTGAAACCCCATCTCTACGAAAACTACAAAAATCAGCCAGGTGTGGTGGTGGGCGCCTGTAATCCCAGCTACTCGGGAGGCTTAGGAAGGGAGAATTGCTTGAACCCAGGAGGCGGAGGTTGCAGTGAGCTGAGATGTGCCATTGCACTGCAGCCTGGGTGACAGAGCAAGATTTCGTCTCAAAAAAAAAAAAAAAACAGAAGATACAAAAAATTAGTGTGCCTTGTAATCCCAGCTACTGGGGAGGCTGAGGCAGAAGAATCGCTTGAACCCAGGAGGCAGAGGTTGCAGTGAGCCAAGATTGCGCCATTGCACTCCAGTTTGGGCAACAAGAGTGAAATTCTGTCTCAAAAAAAAATTATTTCACAATTTATATACATATTAAGTGCTCATTTAATATGGGCACAGGATGGGCATGGTGGCTTATGTCTATAATCCCAGCACTTTAGGGGGGCCAAGGTAGCCACATCACTTGAGATCAGGAGTTTGAGACCAGTGTGGGCAACATGACAAAATTCCATCTCTACAAAACTAAAAAAAAAATAAGCCAGGTGTGGTGGCTTGCACCTGTACTCCCAGCTATTTAGGAAGCTAAGGTGGGAGGATCAATTGAGCTTAGGGGATTAAGGTTGCAGTGAGGCATAATCACACCAGTGTATTCCAGCCTGGGTAACAGAGCCAGACTCAGTCTCAAAAAAATCATTATATTGTGTACAATAGTTATCCATTTTTTATTTGTGAAAAAATCTAAGTTGGCCGGGCACAGTGGCTCACGCCTGTAATCCCAGCACTTTGGGAGGCCAAGGCAGTCAGCAGTTCGAGACCAGCCTGGCCAACATGGTGAAACCCCGTATCTACTAAAAAATACAAAAATTAGCTGAGCGAGGCGGCAGGTGCCTGTAGTCCCAGCTACTCGGAAGGCTGAGGCAGGAGAACCACCTGAACCCGAGAGGCAGAGGTTGCAGTGAGCTGAGATTGTGCCATTGCACTCCAGCCTGGACAACAGAGCAAGACTCTGTCTAAAAGAAAAAAAAAGAAAAAGAAAAAAAAAAACAGAAAGAAAGAAAATAGAGAGTAAAAAGAACTGGCTCTGACGTATATGAGTGACTGGAGTTGTCCAGTAAAATAATTTTTAACACAGAAATACTCTCTAATTTATTCTCTAATGCTGAAGAAGAATGGCAAAACATCCACTAAACTAGAGTAGTGAGTATCCTTTTGTGGATGAGACAGCATAAAATTTAGCGCATTAACCCATGCATATATATTTTTTACTGATATATTTACATTATACAGGCTAAGTTATGAATTTTATTTTTAATGTTTTGAGACAGAGTCTCGCTCTGTCACTCTGGCTGGAGTGCAGTGATGAGATCTCGTCTTACTGCAACCTCTGCCTCCTGGGTTCAAGCAATTCTCCTGCCTCAGCCTCCTGAGTAGCTGGGACTACAGGCGCCCAACACCACACCTAGCTAATTTTTGTATTTTTAGTAGAGACAGGGTTTCACCATGTTGGCCAGGATGGTCTGGATTTCCTGACCTTGTGATCCACCCGCCTCGGCCTCCCAAAGTGTTGGGATTACAGGCGTGAGCCACCAAGCCTGGCTGAATATTTCTTATATGAAGAAGTTATGGTCGGTTAGAAGGTATGCCTCAAATTTTAATGTGTAAAACAATGAACTGGAGATCTTGTTAAAATGCAGGTTTTGATTCAGAAGATCTGGGCTCAAGCCTGAGTTTCTGAATTTCTAATAAGCTACCCAGTGATGCCGATGCTTTTGGCCCAAGGAGAATATCCTGTCAAATATTAAGTACATGGCAGAGCCTGGGTTTATCCCAGTACACAAAGGTGAGAACTTCCATTTTCTAAAGCAAGCCATAAGCAAGGAGAATTTGAAAAGAATTGGGAGACTCCAGATTACATGTGATGATTTATGAACATCAGTTGGTAAATCTCCTAAAGTTACTTATTAATAATAAAGAGAAAAATCATTAACTCTACAGTTAAAAAAATCTGTCAGCACCTTATCCAACAGAATAAAATTAACATGAACTGTAATAGAAAGAATTGGTATAAGTGCTAATGCACACAGAGGGCACAATATCACTGCTGTAATTTTTTTTTTTTTTTTGAGACGGAGCCTCATTCTGTCAACAGGCCAGAGTGCAGTGGCACAATCTTGGCTCACTGCAGCCTCCACCTTCCAGGTTCAAGTGATTCTCCTGCCTCAGCCTCCCGAGTAGCTGGGACTACAGGTGTGCACCACCACGCCCAGCTAATTTATATATTTTCAGTAGAGATGGGGTTTCACCATGTTGGCCAGGATGCTTTTGATCTCTTGACCTCGTGATCCACCCACCTCGGTCTCCCAAAGTGCTGGGATAACAGGCGTGAGCCACCGCACCCAGAGCTGTGATATTATTGAACACAAAGAAGTAAATTACAATCTGAATCTAATTATAGAGATACATTAGTTTTATTCAAAGATTAAGCTACAGAAATATCCCAGGTTCTGTAATCTTTAGTAAATGTAGTTAAATATTTTTTCTTTAGCATCATAAAAAGTAAGTGTCTTCTAAGTATTCTTTTGTTCAAAACTTTCGGAGAAATTCTGGGGAATTAATGCCATCCTCTTTCCGCATTTCCTTAATTCTGTTACGCATGGAGCAGATGGAAGCATCCAGATGGGACCTAAAGAGCATGTGTTCCCCTTCTTCACCAATATCTGAGGGCATGACCCTATCCCCAACAGAAATCTTGGGTGTTCATGCCTGCTCTTGTTGATCTGTCACAAAGGGAACCTTCTTTTGAGACAGGCTGTCACTCTGTCATGTAGGCTAGGTACATTGGCATGATCATGGCTCACTGCAGCCTCAGCATCCTGGGCCTAAGTGATTCTCCCAACTCAGTCTCCTAAGTAGCTGGGACCACAAATGTGTGACATCATGTCAGCTAATCTGTTTTATTTTTGTAGAGGCAGGGTTTCCCTATATTGCACAGGCTGGTCTCAAACTCCTTGACTCAAGAGATTCTCCCATCTCAGCTTCTCAAAGTGCTGGGGTTACAGGTGTGAGCCAGCATGGCTAGCCAAATGGAACACTTTTAATATTGCATGCAATACATTCATAGTGAGGTTTGGTCATGGTGTGTATAAAGCCTGAATGGAGAGAGTAGAGGGAAGGTTCTGGTATATAGAGGAGAGAAATTTTGCAGAGCTCTTTGACCACCACAGGAAGAAAAGGGGAAAATGTAGTTGAAAAAAAAAACACATAGGCAGGAATATCACAAGTAGAGAAGCAACGGTTTTTGAAGTTCTAAACATGTAACATTCCAGGAGGAAAAGTGGACACAGCCTCTGAACTGGGACACATTTACCCAAAACCCAGTCATTTTATTCTCTTTTTTACTTATTCTCTGAGATTCCTTGTCAGGCGAGATCCTCTGGAAAAAATAAAACTTGCTTCTTTTTTTTTTTTTTGAGACTGAGTCTCACTCTGTCATCCAGGCACCCAGTGGTGCGATCTCTGCTTACTGCAACCTCCGCCTCTCGGGTTCAAGTGATTCTCCTGCCTCAGCCTCCTGAGTAGCTGGGGTTACGGGTGCGCACCATCATGCGTGGCTAATTTTTGTATTTTCAGTAGAGGCTGGGTTTCACTGTGTTGGTCAGGCTGGTCTCAAACTCCTGACCTTGTGATCCGCCCACCTCAGCATCCCAAAGTGTTGGGATTACAGGAGTGAGCCACCATGCCCGGCCAAAACTTGCATCTTGAGAATATTCCTGTAAAGGCATCAACACAACCCCTTCACCTGCTACCACTGCACCCACAGGCAGAAGGATGTAGAAGTGCATAAAAAGTCACACTTCTCTGTCTTTTATCCCAGGAGAGAGTCAGGAACAGTGAGCTCCTACATAAAGATCAACATTTGTTTCTCCTTTCCCTCCTGCAAGTGCCTGTCTCTGCCAAAGATTTCAGTAATTTCTGCTGCAGCAATGGGAATAATGGCTGCACTGGCCTGCTTCTATCAAACCCAAGCAGAGCAGGGTCTGCAACTTCCCTTTGAAACAAGGGCTGACGGGAGGCGGAGGTTGCAGTGAGCCGAGATTGCGCCACTGCACTCCAGCCTGGGTGATGACAGCAAAACTCCATCTCAAAAAAAAATAGAAATAAGGGGCGAATTCAGTTCTCAAGAATGTCTCTAGGAGCCCTCAGGCATGATCCTGACCTCACATTAGAACCACAAGGGCACTTAATTAAAACAACATAGACGCTCCCATCCAGATCAACAGACATAATCTGTGAGGAGGCATGGGTGATGGGACTTTTTTAAAACTGGCTATGTAATCCTAATTAGAAGTCTGGGCTAAGAGCCACTTAGCTAAGCATTGCCTCTCAAGCTTCAATGTGCATATAAATCATTTGTTATTCTGGGGCCTACTCTAAGTGATGAGTAGGTGAGTCCATAAGTTAGCTTTTTTAGTATCGTCCTATTTCAATTAGCATATTTTTCTTCAGGTTTATCCATGTTGTCAGACTGACTAATACTTCATTGAGTATATATACAACATGTTTTGTTGATCCATTCAGCATTCAACAACATTTAGATTGTTTTTATATCTTGGCAATTTTGAATAATGCTGCAAGTAACATGGGGATCCAAATACTCAAGATACTAATTTTATTTCTATATATTATATATATACACAGAAGTGGGACTGATGTATTGTATGGTAGTTCTGTGGGGTTTTTTTCTAAATAATCTCCACACTGATTTTTATAATGACTACCAATTTATAACTCATTAACAGAGTACAGAATTTTTTTCACACCCTTTTCAAAACATTATATATTTTTTTTTTTGTATAAACTCTGGGAGCACAAGTGTAATTTTATTACATGAATAGATTGCAGTGGTGAAATTAGTGCTTTTAGGATATTCATTACCTGAGTAACATACATGTCTCATTTTTTTTATATTAGCCATCTTAACAAGTGTGAAGTGATAGCTCATCATGATTTTAATTTGCATTTGCCTGATGATTGGTCATGCTGAGCAGTTTTTCATATATCTGTTGGCCATTTCTATGTCTTTACTAAAAAAAATTATTCCTTTACCTATTTTTATTTTTTTATTTTTTGAGACAGAGTCTCACTCTCTTGCCCAGGCTGGAGTGCAGTGGCATGATCTTGGCTCACTGCAACCTCCGTCTCCCAGGTTCAAGTGATTCTCTTGCCTCAGACTCCCGAGTAGCTGAGATTACAGGCGTGCACCACCACATCCAGATAATTTTTGTATTTTTAGTAGAGACAGGGTTTTGCCATATTGGCCAGGCTGGTCGCTAACTCCTGACCTCAAGTGATCTGCCCACCTCAGCCTCCCAAAGTGCTGGGATTACAGGCATGAGCAATGGCGTGATCTCAGCTCAACTGCAACCGCCGCCTCCCGGGTTCAAGTGATTCTCCTGCCTCAGCCTCCTGACTAGCCGGGGTTACAGGCACGTGCCATCACGCCTGGCTAATTTTTGTATTTTTAGTAGAGATGGGGTTTCACCATATTGGTCAGGCTGGTCTCAAACTCCTGACCTCGTGATCTGCCTGCTTTGGCCTCCCAAAGTGCTGGGATTACATGCGTGAGCCACCGTGCCCGGCCTCCTTTACCTATTTTTAAATCGGGTTATTATTATTATATTTATTATTGTTGTTTTCACCTTTGATTTGTATGAGTTATTTATATATTTTGGATATTAACCACTTAACAGATATATGGTTTGCAATTATTATCTCCTATTTTGTGATTTTTCTTGTTGCATTCTGTTTAGAAACTTTTAAGTTTGATGTAGTCCAAGTTGTTTATATTTGCTCTTGTTTTTGTACTTTTGGTACCATTTCCCAAAAAATTACCATCAAGACCAATATAGAGGAGGTTTACCATATGTTTTCTTTTTGAATTTTAAAGGATTCATGTGTTTTATTTAAGTCTTTATTTTATATTGAGTTAATTTTTGGGTATAATTTAAGAAAAATGGTCTAATGTCATGCTTTTGCTTGCAGATATCCATTTATTTAGCACCAAATATTGAAGAGACTATGCTTTCTGCATTGTGCATTCTTAGTACCCTTATTGAAGATTAACTGACCTAATATAAATAGGTTTTTTTCTGGGTCCTCTACCATGTTCCATAGGTTCTTTTGTCCACTTTTATGTGCATGGCATCACGTTTTTATTACTGTAGTCTTGAAATATAGTTTGAAATCAAAACTATAATGCCCTCAACTGTTTTCTTCTTTCTCAAGATTGCTTTAGCTATTCAAAGTCTGTTAGAGTTTCATATAAATTTTAAGCTTATATTTTCTATCACTGTGAAATAGGTCACTAGAATTTTGATAGGAAATTCATTGAATCTATAGATTGCTTTGGATAACATGAAAACTTTAACAGTATGTATTCTTCCAATCTATAAATGTGGCACAATTTTACATTTGTGTGTTCTCCAATTTTTATTAATATCTTTTATTTTTCATCATAAAGGTCTTTTATCTGGTTTAATTTCTAAGAAATTTATTATTTTGATGCTTTTTTAATTTTTTTATTTATTTTTGGAGATGGAGTCTCGCTCTGTCACCCAGGCTGGAGTGCAGTGGTGTGATCTCGGCTCACTGCAACCTCCGCCTCCCAGGTTCAAGCAATTCTTCTGCCTCAGCCTCCCGAGTAGCTGGGACTACAGGTGCATGCTACCACGCATGGCTAATTTTTTTGTGTTTTAGTAGGGATGGGGTTTCACCATGTTGCCCAGGCTGGTCTCGAACTGCTGAGCTCAGGCAATCTGCCCACTTCAACATCCCAAAGTGCTAGGATTACAGGCATGAGCCACCACACCCAGCCTTGATACTATTTTAAATGAGATTATTTTTTTCTTTTTTATTGGATAGTTTGTTGTTAGTGTATGAAAACAATTGATATTTGTATGCCAATTTTATATTCTGCTAATTTACTGCATGCATTTATTATGTTAAACAGCTTTCTGGTGTACTATTTATTGTGTTGTTTTTTTTTTTGAGATGGAGTTTCGCTCGTGTTGCTCAGGCTGGAGTGTAATGGCGTGATCTTGGCTCCCGGCAACCTCTGCCTTCGGGGTTCAAGCGATTCTCCTACCTCAGCCTCTCAAGTAGCTGGGATTACAGGCATGCACCAATATGACCAGCTAATTTTGTATTTTTAGTAGAGATAGGGTTTCTCCATATTGGGCAGGCTGGTCTCGAACTCCCAAGCCCAGCTGATCCACCCGCCTCGGCCTCCCAAAGTACTGGGATTACAGGCGTGAGCCCACTGCGCCAGCTATTTATTGTTTTCTATATATAAGAGTATGTCATCTACAAACAGTGACATTTTTCTTTTTTTTTAATTTCAGATGGCTTTTTTCATTTTATTGCCACATTGTTATACCTAGGATTTTCAGTAATATGTTAAAATAGAAGTATTTGAATTAGACATAATGTAGTCTTCTTGTAAATCCTTTCTTATTTTGAGCAGACTTTGCTTTCAGAACTTTGTTTTGTGGGGCAGATACCAGGGCAGGGTTCTGCCGTTGGGTTCACATAAGGTAGGCCTGTTACAAGATGTGTAGATGAGTGTGGCTCCTTCTGAGTACCTGGGAGGGTTTCCTTGGGTCTCTGTGTAGGTTCCCAAGTAGGCAGGACTGTCCATGAACTGTGGCTAAGATGGCTACGACTGAGTCACAGACCTGCTTCAGAGGTCACAGTAAAGACTAAAGACCAAGTTCTGTAGGCCTGCCTCCATGACCATGACTGAGTGTCCTGAGGTCTCCGGGAAGGACTGCTTCTAGACCGTGGCTAGAAGGCATCGGAGATGATTACAGAGTCACTTCAGAATATTCAATGTGACTGAGTTGAGTGAGTCATTTTCTGGTCTGTAACCAAGATCAGGAGCCCTCAAGTTTGCCACCTGAATGAGGGCCTGCCTTCCCAATACAGCCCTCCTCAGTCTTGGGCTTTTGCAGGGCATCACAGTACTCTCCCTGGATCCCAAAAGTCTCATAAAGGCACTTTTGTCCATGGATGGCAGCAAAATTATTGTTGCTCTGGCAGGATAAACAAGAGTGACCCCCCTATTTCCACATTCCTGCTGATGTCACTCTCCCAATATGGTTTCACTTTCTATTTTTCTGTCTTTCAAATTTGTCTGTAATTTTAGATTCAAAGGTTCAAAACAATATACTGTAATTTACATGTTACGTAAGAAGTTAATTAGATACTAGGCACTCCTTATTTATTAAAATGTTCATTTGTAAGTTTTATAGTAGCCAGAAATACATCAAGATTTTCATTTTCTCAACCTATATCGAAATTATTATATAATTTATTCCAAAATTTTTATTTTATATATCAGTGACTCATGTTTTCAACATACACATTTTTACTTTATTTAGAAGTCTAAGGCTTTTTTTTTTTTTTTGCTTCTAAAGACTGGATTGCAGACTTTTAATTTTGTGTAAAGATAGCATCAGTATATTAATAGTAAGAAATTATCTTTACTGTCTTTAAATGCTTATTAAAATTTTCTTATTAGAGCATTTTCTTATTGACTGTAGTGCATTTTCTGTAAAATTTTACTGCCAAAGCAGGATTTAGACTATGATATAGCTGTTAAGTGCTGTTGTCATTTCCTGTGCTCAAAATAAAGTTGTTTCTTGACCGGGCATGGTGGCTCATGCCTGTATTCCCAGCACTTTGGGAGGCCGAGGCGGGTGGATCACCTGAGGTCAGGAGTTCAAGACCAGCCTGGCCAACTTGGTGAAACCCCCATCTCTACTAAAAATACAAAAATTAGCCGGGCATGGTGGTGGGCACCTGTAATCCCAGCTACGTGGGAGGCTGAGGCAGGAGAATCACTTGAACCTGGGAGGCGGAGGTTGCAGTGAGCTGAGATTGTGCCATGGCACTCCAGCCTGGGCGACAGAGTGAGACTCCATCTCAAAAAAAGATAAATAGGCCAGGTGCGGTGGCTCACGCTTGTTATCACAGCACTTTGGGAGGCCGAGGTGGGCAGATCAAGAGGTCAGGAGATCGAGACCATCCTGGCTAATACGGTGAAACCCCGTCTCTACTAAAAATACAAAAAATTAGCCGGGCGTGGTGGCGGACGCCTGTAGTCCCAGCTACTCTGGAGGCTGAGGCAGGAGAATGCCATGAACCCGGGAGGCAGAGCTTTCAGTGAGCCGAGATTGTACCACTGCACTCCAGCCTGGGCAACAGAGCAAGACTCTGTCTCAAAAAAAAAAAAAAAAGATAAATAAAATAAAATAAAGTTGTTTCTTAACTATACCTGTCTGCTATTCTCCTGTAGCAACCAGGGATGATTGGTTTCATACATGTTAAAATAAATAAATAAATCAAGAATAAAAGGGACCAGGTGCGGTGGCTATCATGCCTGTAATCCCAGCAAATTGGGAGGCCGAGGCAGGTGGATCACTTGAGGTCAGGAGTTTGAGACCAGCCTAGTCAGCATGGTAAAAGCACATCTCTACTAAAAATACAAAAATTGGCCAGGCGTGGTGGCACGCACCTGTAATCCCAGCTACTTGGGAGGCTGCGGCAGGAGTATGGCTTGAAACCAGGAGGCGGCAGTTGCAGTGAGCTGAGATCCTGCCCCTGCACTCCAGCCTGGGTGACAGAGTAAGACTCTGTCTCACAAAAAAAGTATAAAAAAGAAAAAAAATTACTGCCATATGGTAGACACCAATTATTGCAAATGTGTCCACTCCAGAAGTGCACAAGCACATTTGAACACTGTAGTTATCTAGCAAAATTATTTCTTAATAGTACATCAATGTAGCCTACAGAATTTTATGGGTAAATGTTTCTCTTATTTTTGTTGTACAATTCATATTACTGGGTTTCTCTTTTAGGGTAGATTCCTTGACATCAGTTTATTGTGTTTTTGGTTTTACTTATGCATTATAGCTTTGGATGACAATTTGCAACTCTATATATGCACTTTAAGTTAATGTGGGGCTTAATTAGAAAATGAATCCACCAGATGGCTGTCATTCTTAAATTACACATATGAATGTGCATGTTGTCTATAAATATGACCCCAACTTTGTTCATAGCTTATCTTATATATTTTTTCTTGGCTGATCTTTTATGTTTTTTTATCTTGTCTAGGTGAGTAGTCAGGAAAATAATCTTAGTTTTACTGTGTGTTTGTTGATGAATTTGTATTTTCTCTATGTGAAACAATTTTGTGATTTGAAGGTAATTTTTGGATAGCTTTATAACTCTGATTTTTTTAGTTATCCTTTAAGAAAAATATTGTGGTAAAGAACATAACATCGAATTTACCATCTTAAATCTTTTTTTTTTTTTTTTTTTTTGAAACAGAGTCTTGCTCTGTCGCCCAGGCTGGAGTGCAGTGGTGCAATTTTGGCTCACTGCAACCTCCACCTCCTGGGTTCAAGCAATTCTCCTGCCGCAGCCTCCTCAGTAGCTGAGATTACAGCATGCACCACCATGCCCAGCTAATTTTTTTGTATTTTTAGTAGAGACAGGGTTTCACCATGTTGGTCAGTCTGGTCTCGAACTCCCCACCTCAGGCGATCCAACTGCCTCGGCCTCAATCTTTTTAAGTGTATGTTTCAGTTGTGTTATGTATAGTCACATTTTAATGCAAAAGACCTCTAGAATGTTTACATCTTGCAACACTAAAACTCAATACCCCTTATATAACAACTGCCTATTTCACCTTCTCTCTACCCCTTGACTAATGCCATTCTACTTTATGTTTCTATTTGACTACTTAAGATATTTCATAAAAATGAAATCATACGCTATCTGTCACTTTGTTACTGGCTTATTTCAGTTTACATTCTCAAGATTTATTCTTAGAGAATGTGACCAAATTTCCTTTTTAAAGGCTGAATAACGCTATTGTGTGTATATGTGTGTGTATACATATGTTGTGTGTATATATATATACCCACTATAGTGCACATATATGTGTGTATATATATTTGGCATATATATAGATAGATAGATAGATATACACCACATTTTTTTAATTGCTCATTAGGGACATCTGGGTTGCTTCTACCTTTTGGATTTTGTAAACATTGCTATAATAAACAAATATTGTGTGTGTGCAGATATGTCTTCCAGGTTATGTGTCTTATATTTTGTGTGTATACTTAGATGTGGAATTGCTGGATACTATGACAATTCCATTTTTAATTTTTTGAAAAACTTCCATATTGTTTTTTATACTGGCAGAGTCATATTTCCCCAGCAGCAGTTTACAAATTTTCTCTCTCAAGTCTCCACATTCTTGACAGATTTTTTTTGTAGTCATTATTCTAATTGGTGTGAGATAATATCTCATCGTATTCTGCTTTGCATTTTTGTAAATCATCCTTTCAAATGCTTATTGGCCATTTGTATATTTTTCGAGAAATATCAGTTCAATTTTGTTCTCATTTTTAATTTTGTTCTTCACTTTTTTGTTGTTGAGTTTTAGGAACTGTTTATATGTTCTTGATACTAACACCAATCAAATATGTGATTTGCAAATATTTTTACCTTTTTCTACTTCACCATTTCCTTTGACCTTTAGAAATTTGGAATTTGATATACTCCCATTTTTCCGTTCTTTGTTATTTATACATTTAATTCCATACATAAGAAAGTGCCAAGACTGATGTCATTATATTTTCTCCTATACTTTTTCTAAGAATTTCATTAGTTATGTTTTTTACGTTTAGTTAATCCCTTTAAAAGATTGTTTTGTATCTGGAGAAAGGAAAGGATCCAACTTTGTGGTGTTTTTAATGAAGATATTCAGTTTTCAATATTATTTGTTAAAGACATTCTTCTTTCCCCACTGGATGATCATGGCTACATTGTGGAAGTTCATTTAATCATATGTAAAAGGGTTTGCCTCTGGGCTTTCTGTTCTGTTCCCTTATATAATTATCTGTCTTTATGTCAGTACTACATTGTTTTTATATCTGTAGCTTTGTTATATGTTTTGAAATCAGGAAGTGTAATGCCTCTTTGTTCTTGTTTTTTGGGAATGCGTGCCTAGTCATTGTCCCTAACAGAAATTTTAGGATTCTGAAAATACTTCTGCAAAAAAGTACCATTGGGGTTTTGATATATATAAAATTGAAGTTGTACATAACTCTTGGTAGTATTAAAGTCTTAAAAATATTAAATTATTTTACCCTTGAACAAAAATATGTTCAAGCATGTGTTTAAATAATTCCAAGTAATTTGGGATTTGCCACTTTTTCTTCTTTTAATGTCTAGTTTCATTTTATTTTGGTCAGAGAAGATATATTTCATGATTTCAATCTTTTACAATTTTGTATGTCTTATTATGTATCCTAACAGAATTTGCCATGTGCAATTGAGAATATTGTGTATTCTGCCAGTTTTGACTGAAGAGTTTTGTACATGTTTATTAGGTCTATTTGCCTATAATGTTCAAGTTTTCTGTTTTTTTAATTGACCTTATATTTGATTTTTCTATTCATTATTGAAAGTGGGGTCTGGTCTAGAAGTACACAATTATTGTGTTGCTATGTATTTCTTGCTTCATTTCTGTCAATATTTGGTGTAATATACACACAAAAATATGTAAATTTATATAACTGTTACAGATTCCTGGTAAATAGATTTTTTTTATTTTTTAATTTTGTGGGTACATATTAAGTGTATATATTAATGTGTTTCTTGAGTTTTTTTTTTTACAGGCCTAAAGTGTTTAATAATGACACCAGGGTAAATGAGGTATACATCACCTCCAGCATGTACTATTTTTTTGTATCATGAATATTCCAATTATACTTTTTTAGTTATTTTGAAATGTACAATAAGTTATTACTTACTGTAGTCACACTGTTGTGCTATCAAATACTAGATCTTATTCATTCTAATTACAATTTTGTACTCATTAATCATCCCTCCTCACTACCCTTCTCTGCCTCTGATAACTATAATCTACTCTTCATCTTCATGAGTTCAGTTGTTTTAATTCTTAGATCCCACAAATAAGTGAGAACATGCAGTTTTTGTCTTCCTGTACCTGGCTTATTTTACTTAATATAATATCTTCCAATTCCATCCACTTTGTTGCAAATGACAGAATCTCATTTTTTATGGCTAAGTTGTACTTATTGTGTGTACACAATAATATTGTGTGTACACAATAATATTGTGTGTGTGTATGTAGTACATTTTCTTTATTCATTTCTCTGTTGATGCATACTTAAGTGGATCCCAAAACTTTGCTATTGGTAATAGTGCTGCAATAAACATGGGAGGCCAGATATCTATTCAATATACTAATTATTTTTATTTTTTAGTATGTATACCTAGAAGTGTGAATGCTGGATCATATGGTAGTCCTATTTTTAGTTCTTTAAGGAACCTCCATACTGTACTTCATAGTCACTGTATTAATTTATATTCCCAGAAACAGTGTATGAGAGTTCACTTTTCTTCACACTTTCAGCAACATGTATTATTGCCTGTCTTTTGGGGAAAAGTCATTTTAGCTGGAGTGAGATGATATCTCATTGTAGTTTTGATTTGCATTTCCCTGACAATCAGTGATACTGAGCACCTTTTTATATACCTGTTTGTCATTTATATGTCTTCTTTTGAGAAACAATTATTTTATCCAATCTTAATGGAATTAATGCATTTTTTTCATAGCATTTTTAAGTACCTTATATATTCCTGTTATTAGTCTCTAGTCATATAGATACTATGCAAATAGTTTTCCCATACTGTGGGTGGTCTCTTCACTTTGTTGATTGTTTTTTTTTGCAGTGCAGAAGCTTTTTAACTTGCTGTAATCCTGTTTGTTCCTTTTTTTTTTTTTTTGAGACAGAATTTTGCTCTTGTTTCCCAGGCTGGAGTGCAATGGCACAATCTCAGCTCACCACAACCTCTGCCTCCCGGGTTCAAGTGATTCTCCTTCCTCAGCCTCCCATGTAGCTGGGATTACAGGCATGTGCCACCATGCCCAGTTAATTTTTTTATTTTTAGCAGAGATGGGGTTTTACCATGTTGGCCAGGCTGGTCTTGAACTCCTGACCTCAGGTGATCCACCCACCTCAGCCTCCCAAAGTACTAGGATTAAAGGCATGAACCAGCACGCCCAGCCCTGTTTGTTCATTTTTGCTTAGTTGCCTGTACTTGTGAGGTACTACTCAAGAAATTTTTGCTCAGTCCAGTGTCCTGGAGAGGTTCCCCAGTTTTCTGGGATTTTTTAGTAGCTTCATAGTTTCACATCTTAGATGTAAGTCTTTAGCCCATTTTGCTTTTATTTTTGTATATGCTAAGAAATAGAGATCTAGTTTTATTTTTCTGCATATGGATATTTAGTTTCCTCAGCATAATTTATTGACAAGACTGTCCCTTTTTGCCAATGTATGTTCTTGGCACCTTTGTTGAAAATAGGTTCACTGTAGATATACAAATTTTTTTCTGAGTTCTCTATTCTGTTCTATTGGTCTATGTGTCTGATTTTATACCAGAACCATGCTGTTTGGGTTACTATAGTTCTGTAGTATAATTTGAAGTCAGGTAATGTAATTTCTGATTTTGTCCTTTTGCTCATGATGGCTTTAGCTGTTCTGGGTCTATTGTTGTTCAATATAAATTTTGGAATCTTTTTTTCTATTTCTGTGAAAAATGTCATGGTATTTTGATACGAATTGCATCAAATCTCTAGACTGCTTTGGGTAATGGGAACATTTTAACAGTATTGCTTCTTCCAGTCCATAAAAATAGAATATCTTTCCATTCTTCTGTTTTATAGTTTTCATTATAGAGATCTTCTTGTTTCTTTGGTTTAGTTTATTCTTGGGCATTTCTTTCTATTTGTTGCTATTGTAAATGGGATGACATGCTTGATTTCTTTTTCAGATTGTTCACTGTTGGCATTTAGAAATGCTACTCATTGTTTTTGAGATGGAGTTTTTTTTATTATTATTATTGTTATTTTGAGATGGAGTTTTGCTCTGTCACACAGGCTGGAGTGCAGTGGTGCGATCTCAGCTCACTGCAGCCTCTGCCTCTTGTGTTCAAGCAATTCTTCTTCCTCAGCCTCCCAAGTAGCTGAGATTATAGGTGTCTGCCACCACACCCAGCTAGTTTTTGAATTTTTCGTAGAGGTGGGGTTTTGCCATATTGGCGAGGCTGGTCTCGAACTCCAACCTCAAGTGATCCGCCCCCTTTGGCCTCCCAAAGTGCTGGGATTACAGACTTGAGTCACCGTGCCTAGCCACAATGCTACTACATTTTGTATGTTGATTTTGTGTGCTGCAGTTTTACTAAATTTTTTTATTAGTTCTAATAGTTTGTTTTGATGGAGACTAGGTTTTCCAAATATAAGATTATATCACCTGCACGCAATATTACTTTGACTTCTTTCTTCCTTATTTGAATGCCCTTTCTTTCTCTTGTGCGATTGCTGTAGCTACAACTTCCCTGACTATGTTGAATTAGAGTGGTAAAAGTAAGCATCTTTCTTTTGTTCCAAATCTTAGAGGAAAGACTTTCAGTTTCTCCCCACTTAATGTAATTGAGACGTGGTTCTATCATATATGGCTTTTGTCATGGTGAAGTGTGTTCTTTCTATACCCAGTGTTTTTAGGGTTTTCTTATGAACCAATGTTAAATTTTATGACGTGTATTTTAAGCATTACTTAAAATGTTCATAAGGATTTGTCTTTGGTTATGTTCATATAATGTATCACATTGATTGATTTGTGTATGTTGAACCATCTTTTTATCCCTCGAATAAATTCCAATTGGTCATGATGAATGATCTTTTTATTTATTTGTTTATTTTTATTTTTTTTTACTTTAAAAGTGGTTTTATTTTATGTGCAAATAATGAACAGATATTGTACCCATAAATTCTACTTTACAAAAACAGGAGTTTTTTTTTAAAAAGAAAACCAGATAATAACTTTTAGAAGGCACTGGGATTCCTCTGCTTCTAGATCATTGCTAGACTAGAAAAATAAAGTTTGTTCTGCCAGGAATCACAAGTTAGAACTGAGTATCCTCCAAAGTGGAAAGTCTAGAGTGTAGTGCCATTTATTCAGTTCTCATCCCCAACTTCCACAACTACCTATCAGAACGGTTAAATCAGGTCAAAACAGTCCAGCATAATTAGACTTCATCAAACAATGCCGTTATGCTTTTCTAAGATGCAAATAAACCAGAACAGGATATACTAAAATCAAAATAATATTTGACACTGTCATACAAATTGTTAGTTCCTTATCCGCCCCCCACTTTTTTTTTTTTTTTTTTTGAGACAAAGTCTCACTCTGTTGCCCTGGCTGGAGTGCAATGGGGTGATCTCGGGTAACTGCGACATCCGCCTCCTGGGTTCAAGAGATTCTCCTGCCTCAGCCTCCAGAGTAGCTGGGATTACAGGTGCCCACCACTGCGCCTGGCTAATTTTTTGTATTTTTAGTAGAGACGGGGTTTTACCATGTTGGCCAGGCTGATTTCGAACTCCTGCTCAGGTGATCTGCCCGCCTCTGTCTCCCAAAGTGCTGGGATTACAGGTGTGAGCCACAGTGCCCAGCCATATCCCCCCTTTTATAACATTAATAAAGGGAATATTTTACTGCAAAGAATATTTTATTTTATACATCGCTAGCCATGAATTTTTGCCATTAGTTATTACACAAATGCCACCTAGTGCCACTGTCCAAATGGCAGAACTATTTTACGTCTACAATTCACTTCTATAGTTGTAAGTAGAATTTTCATGGTTTACATAAATACATCTATCAGTGAAGATTTAACACTGGAATGCAATCTAACATCCGTAATATCTGATGTTTTGTAGATAGCAATGTAGGAAAGATATATTTTAATCACTTTTCATTTAAGTGACCTTATGTAAAAAATAAACCAATTTAAGTGACCTTATGTAAGTGACCTTATTTAAGTGATCTTATGTAAAAAAGAAACCATTTAAGTGACCTTATGTAAAAAATAAACCAATATCCATTTTCAAATGTATATAAATGGTTACAGAGATTTTTAAGAAGCATCTTTCATGTCCACATCCTCTTGTAACTGCTGTACCATTTTCTCTTCCAGCTGCTTCCCTTTGCCTGCAAGCCTCAGATAAGATGGATGTTTTGATTGACTTCTTTGATGTCCTGAACTTTCTGTAGCTCTTTCTTTTTCTTCAATCTGTTCATTATAAATTTAGCTTAGTGTTTCTGTTTGATCATCTCTTTAACTCACTTTATTGCATCAATAGTTGTATTCCATAGCTCTCGCTGGTATTTGATAGGTTCATTTCTACGTTTTTCAAATTCAAATTAACTATCCACTGTAAGCTCTTTACCAGCTGCTTTCTGAGTGGAATGCTTTGGTCCACCTAATTTTGCGAGGATTGCACTTCTTTTTAAAGTTTTTATGACATTTAGATTTACGAAATCTGAACACCTTGCAATCATTGCGGATGAACATCATGCCATGGCCAGGGTAGGTGGGCCCCAAACAGAAATAACATATCTCGACATGCATGTCGAACCCGCGGGTCCCTACCGACCGAATGCCAAGCTTGAGAGGAAGTTGAATGATGTTTTTAATGTGTTGTTGAATTTGGTTTTCTAGTATTCTCTTAAGGATTTTTACAATGATGTTTATCAGAGATATTGGCCTCAGAGATATGTCAGTTTTCCCTGCTCTTGCACAGCCTTTCTCACCTGTCACTATGTAAGATGTGCCTGCTTCCTTTTCTGCTGTGATTGTAAGTTTCATGAGGCCTTCCCGGCCATGCTGAACTACGAGTCAATTAAACCTCCTTTGTTTATAAATTTCCCAGTCTTGGCCGGGCGCGGTGCCTCACACCTGTAATCCTAGCACTTTTAGGAGGCTGAGGTGGATGTATTACCTGAAGTCAGAAGTTTGAGTCCAGCCTGGCCGACATGGCGAAATCCCATCTCTACTAAAAATACAAAAATTAGTCAGTCATGGTAGCGGGTGCCTGTAATCCCAGCTACTCAGGAGGCTGAGACAGGAGAATCACTTGAACCTGGGCGGTGGAGGTTGCAGTAAGCCAAGATTACACCACTTCACCCCAGCGTGGGCTAAAGAGTGAAACTCCGTCTCAAGAAAAAAAAAAATTACCCAGTCTCGGGTAGTATGTTTTTTGTTTGTTTGCTTTGTTTTTGAGATAGGGCCTTGCTCTGTCACCCTGGATGGAGGGCAGTGGCATGATCTTGGCTCACTGCAACCTCTGCCTCCCAGGTTCAAGTGATTCTCCTGCCTCAGTCTCCTGAGTAGCTGGGACTACAGGTGTATGCCGCCATGCCCATCTAATTTTTGTATTTTTAGTAGAGACAGGGTTTTGTCGTGTTGGCCAGGCTGGTCTCGAACTTCTGACCTCGGGTGATCCACCTGCCTGACCCTCCCAAAGTGCTGGGATTACAGGCATGAGCTACTGTGCCTGGCCTCAGGTAGTATCTTTATAGCAGTGTGAAAATGAACTAATACAGGAAATTGGTACTGCATAGAGTAGGGTACTGCTATAAGGATACTTGAAAATGTTGAGATGACTATGGAACTGGGTAGTGGGCAGAGGTTGTAGGAATTTGGAGAGCTCAGAAGAAGACAGGAAGATGTGGGACAGTTTGGAGCTTCCTAGAGACTTGTTGAATGATTTTGACCAAAATGCTGATAGTGATGTAAACAATGAAGTCCAGGCTGAGGTGGTCTCAGATGGAGATGAGGAACTTATTGGGACCTAGAGTAAAGATCACTCCTGCTATGTTTTAGCAAAGAGGCTGGTGGTATTTTGCCCCTGCCCTAGAGATGGTGTGAAACTTCGAACTTCAGAGAGATGATTTAGGATATCTGGTGGGAGACATTTCTAAGCATCAAAGCATTCAAGATGTGACCTGGGTTATTCTGAAAGCATTCAGTTTTATGCATTCACAAGGAGCTCATTTAAAATCGGAACTTCCCAGCACTTTGAGAGGCTGAGGCAGGCGGATCACCTGAGGTCAGGAGTTCGAGACCAGCCTGGCCAACTTGGCGAAACTCCGTCTCCACTAAAAATACAAAAATTGGCCTGGGCACAATGGCTCACGCCTGTAATCCCAGCACTTTGGGAGGCCAAGGCAAGCGGATCACAAGGTCAGGAGATTGAGATTATCCTGGCTAACACTGTGAAACCCCATCTCTACTAAAAATACAAAAAAAATTAGCTGGATGTGGTGGCGAGCGCCTGTAGTCCCAGCTACTCGGGAGGCTGAGGCAGGAGAATGGCGTGAACCCGGGAGGTGGAGCTTGCAGTGAGCTGAGATTGTGCCACTGCACCATCCAGCCTGGGCAGCAGTGCGAGACTCCGTCTCAAAAAAAAAAAAAAAAAAAAGAAAAACAAAAATTAGCTAAGCGTGGTGGTGGGCGCTTGTAGTCCCAGCTACTCAGGAGGCTGAGGCAGGAGAATTGCTTGAACCCAGGAGGTGGAGGTTGCAGTGAGCCGAGATGGCGGAAATGCCTAGCTGTCTAGGCAGAAGTTCACTGCAGAGGTGGACCCCTCATAGCAAACCTCTGCTAGGGCAGTGTGGAAGGGAAGTTTGGGGTTGGAGCCCTCATGCAGAGTCAGCACTGGAGTACTGCCTAGTGGAGCTGTGAAAAGAGGGTCACCATCCTCCAGACCCTAGAATGCTAGATCCACCAACAGCTTGCACCACGCACCTCAAAAAGCCAAAGACACTTAATGCCAGCCTGTGAAAGTAGCCAGGGGGCAAGGGCTGTACCCTGCGAAACCACAGGAGTGAAGCTCGCCAAGGCTGTGGGAGCCCATCTCTTCTTTCCTCAGTGTGACCTGGATGTGAGACACGAAGTCAAAGGAGATTATTTCAGTGCTTTAAGATTTAATGACTGCCCCACTGGATTTCAGACTTAAGTGTGGCCCGTAGCCCCTTTGTTTTAGCCAATTTCTCCCATTTGGAATGGGAGCATTTATCCAGTGCCTGTACCTCCATTGTATCTTGGAAGTAACTAACTGGCTTTTAATTTTACAGGCTGCTGGGCAGAAAAGACTTTCCTTTTCTCGAATGAGACTTTGGACTTGGACTTTTGGGTTAATGCTGGAATAAATTAAGACTTTGGGGAACTGTTGTGAAGGCATGATTTGTTTTAAAATGTCAAAGAGATATGAGATTTGGGAGAGGCCAGGAGTGGAAGGATATAGTTAGGCTTTGCATCCCCACTCATATCTCATCTTGAATTGTAATCCCCAGGTGTTTACGAAGAGACCTTGTGGGAAGTGATTTGATTATGGGGTGGTTTCCCCCATGCTGTTCCTGTGATAGTGAGTGAATGCTCATGAGACCTGATGGTCTTATAAGGCAGTTTTCCCTGTTCTTCCATGCTCTAGCTCACCTGCTGCTGTGTAAGACATGCCTACTTCTGCTTTCACCATGATTACAAGTTTCCTGAGACCTCCCCAGCCATGCAGAACCGTAAGTCAATTAAACCTCCTTTGTTTACAAATTACCCAGTCTTGGTTAGTATTTTTATAACATTGTGGGAATGGACTAATACTGTCTGTTTTGTTAAAAGACTAAGTTTCAATTGGGAGCCAAGATGACTGACTAGACACAGCCAGGGGAAACAACTGACAAGACACTGAGACATTGAAATTTCCATCCCATTCTGAGCCTATCTTCAGATGAAATGCATTGCAAGTGGGCAGAGGGAGGACACAGATGCTGGAAACCCTTCATGGTGTACCAAGTACTAGGAACTTAAGTCCACTTTTTCTGAGCCCTGCAAAACATCAGAACTTGCTCAGGGATTGCCATCATTGTGATCTAGACTGCCGGGGTTTTTTGTGATTTTTTTTTTTTTTTTTTGAGACGGAGTCTTACTCTGTCACCCAGGCTGGAGTGCAGTGGCGTGATCTCAGCTCACTGCAACCTCCGCCTCCTGGGTTCAAGTAATTCTCCTGCCTCAACCTCCTGAGTAGCTGGAATTACAGGCATGTGCCAGCACGTCCGGCTCACTTTTGTATTTTTAGTAGAGATGGGGTTTCACCATGTTGGTCAGGCTGGTCTCGAACTCCTGAACTCGTGATCCACCCGCCTTGGCCTCCTAAACTGCTGGGATTACAGGCTTGAGCCACCGTGCCCCGCCTAGACTGCCTTTTATATTTACTTAAAATTCCAGAGCACTTTAGCCTGAGGGGCTAGCCACAACTCAGGTACCAAGTGCTGGGATAAATAATTTTCTTCTGTCTGGGGCTGATCAAAGTGCTCCCGCCATGGGCAATGGCCAAATTCTGCCTTGGATTACTTCCTACTAAAACAGGGCAGCACTGAGTTCCAATGCAAAGTTCAACAATCCCTTGCTGTCCTTCCCCTAAGCACACAAATTCTCTCTTTGTGCCACATATTTACTGCTGGGAAATGAGGGATAAGTGGTGTAGGAAATTCTAGACTGTCTTTCCTACCCTCTTCAGTACCTCTATTTTGTTAAAACTGGGTACTGTAATTACTCACCTAATTTTTGGTTGTTGTGAAGGTGCTTTCTTGTGTGAATAGTTGTTCAATTTGGTGTTCCTATATGGGATGATTGCTAGAGGGTTCTAATCAGCCATCTTGCTCCACCTCTGTCTCTCTTCCTTTTTACCATTATGAAATGACAATCTTAGTCTCCTGTGACAGTTGTTTACTTAATGTGTATTTTGTCTAATATAATTAAGACTACTTTACCAAATTGTGGTTATTATTTGCATGGAATATGTTTTTCCATCCTGATACTTTCGGCCTATTTAACTCCTTAGAGCTAATGTGACCCTATTGTGGAAAGCATATTGTAACATCTTTTTTTTTTTTTTTTTTTTTGAGATGGAGTCTCGCTCTGTCACCCAGGCTGTAGTGCAGAAAATATTTCTTTATTTGTTTGTTTGTTTATTTATTTATTTATTTATTTATTTATTATACTTTAAGTTTTAGGGTACATGTGCACATTGTGCAGGTTAGTTACATATGTATACATGTGCTGTGCTGGTGCGCTGCACCCACTAACTCGTCATCTAGCATTAGGTATATCTCCCAATGCTATCCCTCCCCCCTCCCCCCACCCCACAACAGTCCCCAGAGTGTGATATTCCCCTTCCTGTGTCCATGTGATCTCATTGTTCAATTCCCACCTATGAGTGAGAATATGCGGTGTTTGGTTTTTTGTTCTTGTGATAGTTTACTGAGAATGATGATTTCCAATTTCATCCATGTCCCTACAAAGGACGTGAACTCATCATTTTTTTATGGCTGCATAGTATTCCATGGTGTATATGTGCCACATTTTCTTAATCCACTCTATCATTGATGGACATTTGGGTTGGTTCCAAGTCTTTGCTATTGTGAATAATGCCGCAATAAACATATGTGTGCATGTGTCTTTATAGCAGCATGATTTATAGTCATTTGGGTATCCTAAAACCATAAAAACCCTAGAAGAAAACCTAGGCATTACCATTCAGGACATAGGCATGGGCAAGGACTTCATGTCTAAAACACCAAAAGCAATGGCAACAAAAGACAAAATTGACAAATGGGATCTAATTAAAATAAAGAGCTTCTGCACAGCAAAAGAAACTACCATCAGAGTGAACAGGCAACCTACAAAATGGGAGAAAATTTTCGCAACCTACTCATCTGACAAAGGGCTAATATCCAGAATCTACAACGAACTCAAACAAATTTACAAGAAAAAAACAAACAACCCCATCAAAAAGTGGGCGAAGGACATGAACAGACACTTCTCAAAAGAAGACATTTATGCAGCCAAAAAACACATGAAAAAATGCTCATCATCACTGGCCATCAGAGAAATGCAAATCAAAACCACTATGAGATACCATCTCACACCAGTTAGAATGGCAATCATTAAAAAGTCAGGAAACAACAGGTGCTGGAGAGGATGTGGAGAAACAGGAACACTTTTACACTGTTGGTGGGACTGTAAACTAGTTCAACCATTGTGGAAGTCAGTGTGGCGATTCCTCAGGGATCTAGAACTAGAAATACCATTTGACCCAGCCATCCCATTACTGGGTGTAACATCTTGTTTGTTGTGAATTCCTTTAGCTATTGTATTTCTTTTCATTAAAGATTTTAGTCCATTTATATGTAACATAATCTCTAATGGAAAAGTTACTATTACCATTTGGTTTGTATTTTCTTTCTGTGTTTCCTGTGGATATGTTTTTCTTCATTTGCTCTGTGTCTTCATTTTTTTTGGCGATTTTGTAGTGACATGCTTTAATTCCTTTCTCATATTTTTGATATACTTTCTATAAGATTTTTATGATCATCTTAAGAAATGCAAAGTATATAAAACATTAAATTTATAACTATATTCTAATAAAGTTACTTCAATTAAATCATAACTATACATCTTTACATCTGCCATTTTATTATTAATGTCACAAATATTTTATTTCTTATCAACAAAGATTTATGCTTTTTTTATTTTTTCAAATTCTGTAACATTTTAAAAACTTTATGCACCATTATTATAATAGTAGCAAATTTTTTATCTGTCTAAATATTTCCCTTAAAAAAGAGTGTTATATTTTCCTATGGTTTTATGACACTGTCCTGCATTATTTCACTTTTCAACATATTTGACTCCCTTTAACATGTCTTCTAGTACTGTACTAGTTGCGAGGAGCACACTCAGATTTTGTTTATCTTGGAAAGACTTTATTATTACCTTAGGGTTTTTTTTGTTCTTGCTGTTGTTGTTGTTGTTGTTGTTGTTGTTTTTTGAGACAGAGTCTCTCTCTGTTGCCCAGGCTGAAGTGCAATGGTGCGATCTCAGCTCACTGCAGCCTCTGCCACCCGAGTTCAAGCAATTCTCCTGCCTCAGCCTCCCGAGTAGTTGGGGTTACAGGCACCCACCACCACGCCTGCCTAATTTTTATATTTTTTGTAGAGATGGGGTTTTGCCATGTTGGTCAGGCTGGTCTCCCAAAGTGCTGGGATTACAGGCATGAGCCACTGTGCCCGGCCTAAGATCTTTATTTCTTAAAGGTAAATTTCTAGAAATTCTTTTTTTTTCTTTCACGGGGGACAAGTTTTTGGTTTCTCTGTATGCACAGTGATCTTTTGATGAAACTTGGTTATTTATAAAACAGCTGTCTAACGTAGTATTTATAGACTGGCTTATTATAGGGCAATACTCACAACAGTCAGCCAGGCTATCAGTTCTGGGTGCTTTATGAACATATCCTCAGATATATCTTCTCTGGACTTCTGTGTGTGTTTTTTGAATTGAAGAGATTTTTTTTCATTTCTTTTTCAAATCCTGTAATATTATGCTTTCTTTGTTTACTTCCTGTGGTATTCCAGTTTCTCTAGTAATATAATAAGCATCAACCTTCTTCTTAGCAGAAATAAACTGTTTTCTTCATTACTTCATCATTTCTTATAATGCACCATGTAGGGGAGATGGAATCTAGCCTACAGTCAGTCCTGGAGAAAGATAAAACTTTAAACACATCTTCTATTGTTCTAATTTTCTCCTGAGACAGATAATGGGAGTTTTTTGTGTGTGTGTTTTTTTTTTTTTCTGAGTCCAGTTAATATTGTGGAAAATATGAATGGGTCTAATGGACAGTCTTTAAACAAGACCTGGTTACTTTGTACAGCAACAGGAATATACATGGAATGTAAAAAGAGAGGAGACAATTGCCATAAATCCTGATGGGTGGGAAGGAATGAACAGATAACACATGTGTGAAGTCCAAAGGTCAATGGAAAACCAAAGTTTTAAATGTAGCTTGGGAAGCTCTGCTGCAATAGAACTGATTCTCTTTCTCTCAAACAGGGTATTGCTCTGTCACCCAAGCTGGATTCTCATAATCTCAGCTCACTGCAGCCTTGACCTCCTGGTGTCAAGCAATTCTCTCACCTCAGTCAGCCAAGTAGCGGGGATTACAGGCATGCACCATCACACCTGGTTAATTTTGTTTATTTTTTAAGTAGAAATGAGGTCTCACTGTGTTGCCTAGGCTGGTCTCAAACTCAAGCAATCCTTCTGCCTTGGCCTCACAAAGTGCTTTGGTTACAGATATGAGCCGCTGTGTTTGTCCTGGAATTGGTTCTTGAGAATTTGAGCTTTATTTCTCTTGTGGCCACAGAGAAAAATTTTCTACCTATGCTTATAATGTTCTTAAATCCTTAAAGGTTTCTCCTGTCCATCCAATGATTTTCCAGTGCATACACTGTTAGAGCCAAAGTCCTCTTCTTATCTTGGGAGGGCCTGCATGATCTGACTGCCCTTCCATTGCTTTTGGAGATCTGTGGCAATCTGTGCATATTTTCTGAGACCTGTATGTTATTTTTAATGTTCTGTTTGTGCCTTACGTCAAAATCGTTTGAGGAATAATGGAGAAATTGAGATTTCACTCAGAAATTCCAGAAACACCAGGGACAGATGTCATATGTTTTTATCTTTGTAATTTCCACTTAATAGAGTTTTCATATGTGATCTTAAAGAAAATCAGACTTTGACTTTTCATCATAGCACAAAGCATCTTACTAAATGTGAGAATAATTATCAATTTTATTTAAAAAATTTATATTAGAAGAAACTCAGCTTAGAAATTTAAACTCCATATGTTTAATCCCTCTAGTGTAGAATATTTTTATGTCTACTCACCTCAGGAAATTCATAAAGAAACTAATGTCAAAGAGGAACTTGGATGATTACCCAGCATATAGTAAATTTTAATTGTTACTTATTTATAATAACTTTATTTTAAAATTATGTTGGCTGGGCATGGTGGCTTACACTTGTAACCCTAGCACTTTGGGAGGCCAAGGTGGGCAGATCATCTGAGGTCGGGAGTTCGAGACCAGCCTGGCCAACATGGTGAAACCCCGTCTCTACTAAAAATACAAAAATTAGCCAGGCATTGTGGTGTGCACCTGTAATCCCAGCTACTTGGGTGGCTGAGACAGGAGAATCACTTGAACCTAGGAGATGAAGGTTGCAGTGAGCCAAGATCGTGCCACTGCACCCCAGCCTGAGCGACAGAGTGAGACTCCATCTAAAAAAAATTAACAAAAATAAAATCATGTCTTCTTTAACATAAATATTATCAGGATTATGTGCTATATTTGTTCACTTTGTAATCTGAACTATGCCAGATTTGCCTGTAATTCTAGATTTAAAAGTTCTGAAATAAAATTGTTGATTTTACATGCTTTTTTAAAAAATTATTTTACTTTAAGTTCTGGGATACATGTGCAGAATGTGCAGATTTGTTACATAGGTATACATATACCATAGTTGTTTGCTGCACTTATCAACCCATCATCTAGGTTTTCAGCCCAACGTGCATTAGGTATTTGTCCTAATGCTGTCCTTCCCCTTGCCTCCCATCCCCTGACAGGCCCCGGTGTGTGATGTTTCCCTCCCTGTGTCCATGTGTTCTCATTGTTCAGCCCCCACTTTTGAGTGAGAGCATGCAGTGTTTGGTTTTCTGTTCCTGTGTTCGTTTGCTGCTGCTGATGGCTTCCAGCTTTATCCATATCCCTGCAAAGGACATGATCCCATTCCTTTTTATGGCTGCATAATATTCCATGGTGTATATGTACCACATTGTCTTTACGTAGTCTATCATTGATGGGCATTTGGGTTGGTTCCATGTCTCTGCTATTGTAAACAGTGCTGCAATAAGCGTATGTGTGCCTGTGTCTTTATATATTCCTTTGGGTATATACCCAGTAATGGGATTGCTGGGACAAATGGTATTTCTGGTTCTAGATCTTTGAGGAATCACCACAGTGTCCTCCACCATGGTCAAATTAATATACATTTCCATCAACAGTGTAAAAAGCATTTCTATTTCTCTACAGCCTTGCCAGCATCTATTGTTTCTTGACATTTAATAATTGCCATTCTGACTGGTGTGAGATGATATCTCATTATGGTTTTGATTTGCATTTCTCTAATGATCAGTGATGTTGAGCTTTTTCTCATATGTTGGCTGCATGAATGTCTTCCTTTGAGAAGTGTCTGTTCGTATCCTTTGCTCACTTTTTGATGGGGTTGTTTTTTTCTTGTAAGTTTGTTTAAGTTCCTTGTAGATTCTGGATATTAGACCTTTGTTGGATGGGTAGATTACAGAAATTTTCTCCCATTCTGTAGGTTGCCTGTTCACTCTGATGTAGTTTCTTTTGCTGTGCAGAACCTTTTTGGTTTAATTAGATCCCATATGTCAATTTTGGCTTTTGTTGCAATTGCTTTTGGTGTTTTTGTCATGAAATCTTTGCCCATACCTATGTCCTGAATGGTATTGCCTAGGTTTTCTTCTAGCGTTTTTATGGATGTTGGTTTTACATTTAAATCTTTAATTCATCTTGTCTTAGTTTTTGTATAAGGTGTAAGGAAGGGGTCCAGTTTCAATTTTCTGGATATGGCTAGCCAGTTTTCCTAGCACCATTTATTAAATAGGGAATCCTTTCCTCGTTGTTTGTTTATGTCAGGTTTGTCAAAGATCAGATGGTTGTAGACGTGTGGTGTTATTTCTGAGGTCTCTGTTCTGTTCCATTGGTCTGTCTGTTTTGATACCAGTACCATGCTGTTTTGGTTACTGTTGCCTTATAGTATAGTTTGAGGTCAGGTAGCATGATGCCTTTCTTTTTGCTTTGGATTGTCTTGGCTATACAGGCTCTTTTTTGGTTCCATATGAAATTTTTTTTTTTTTTTGAGATAGTTTCACTCTTGTTGCCCAGGCTGGAGTGCAATGACGTGATTTTGGCTCACTATAACCTCCACCTCCTGGGTTCAAGCAATTCTCCTGCCTCAGCCTCCCAAGTAGCTGGGATTACAGGCATGTGCCACCATGCCCAGCTAATTTTGTATTTTTAGTGGAGACGGGGTTTCTCTATGTTGGTTAGACTGGTCTCAAACTCCTGACCTCAGCTGATCTGCTTGCCTTGGCCTCCCAAAGTACTGGGATTACAGGCGTGAGCCACTGTGCCTGGCCATGAAATTTAAAATATTTTTTTCTAATTCTGTGAAGAATGTTAATGGTAGTTTAATGGGAATAGCAATGAATCTATAAATAACTTTGGGCAGTATGGCCATTTTCATGATATTGATTCTTCCTATCCATGAGGATGGAATGTTTTTCTAATTGTTTGTGTCCTCTCTTATTTCCTTGAGGGGTGGTTTGTAGTTCTGCTTGAAGAGGTCCTTCACATCCCTTGTTAGCTGTATTCCTAGGTATTTTATTCCCTTTGTAGCAATTGTGAATGGGAGTGCATTCATGATTTGGCTCTCTGCTTGTCTATTATTGGTGTATAGGAATGCTTGTGATTTTTGCACATTGATTTTTGTATCCTGAGACTTTGCTGAAGTTGCTTATCAGCTTAATGAATTTTTGGGTGGAGACAATGGGGTTTTCTAAATACACAATCATGTCATCTGCAAACAGGGACAATTTGACTTTCTCTCTTCCTATTTGAATACCCTTTCTTTCTTTCTCTTGCTTGATTGCCCTGGCCAGAACTTTCAATACTATGTTGAATAGGAGTGGTGAGAGAAGACATCCTTGTCTTCTGCCAGTTTTTAAAGGGAATGCTTCCAGCTTTTGCCCATTCAGTATGATATTGGCTATGGGTTTGTCATAAATAGCTCTTATTATTTTGAGATATGTTCCATCAATACCTAGTTTATTGAGAGTTTTTTTTTTTTTTAACATGAAGGGATGTTGAATTTTATTGGAGGCCTTTACTGCATCTCTTCAGATAATCATGTGGTTTTTGTCATTGGTTCTGTTTATGTGATGGATTACGTTTATTGATTTGTGTATGTTGAACCAGCCTTGCATCTCAAGGATGAAGCTGACTTGATCGTGGCGGATAAGCTTTTTGATGTGCTACTGGATTTGGGTTGCCACTATTTTATTGAGGATTTTTGCATTGATGTTCATTGGGGATATTGGCCTGAAGTTTTCCTTTTTCACTATGTCTCTGCCAGGTTTTGGTATCAGGATGATACTGGCCTCATAAAATGAGTTAGGGAGGAGTCCCTCCTTTTCAGTTGTTTGGAATAGTTTCAGAAGAAATGGTACCAGCTCCTCTTTGTACTTTTAGTAGAATTCAGCTGTGAATTAATCTGGTCTTGAGTTTTTTTGGTTGGTAGGCTATTAATTGCTGCCTAAATTTCAGAACTTGTTATTGGTTTATTCAAGGATTTAACTTCTTCTTGGTTTAGTCTTGGGAGGGTGTATGTGTCCAGAAATTTATCAATTTCTTCTAGATTTTCAGTTTATTTGCATAGAGGTGTTTATAGTATTCTCTGATGATAGTTTGTATTTCTGTGGGATCAGCAGTGATATCCTCTTTATCATTTTTTACTGTATCTATTTGCTGCTTTTTCTTTTCTCCTTTATTAGTCCAGCTAGCGGTCTATCTATTTTGTTAATTTTTTCAAAAAAACAGCTCCTGGATTCATTGATTTATATGAAGGGCTTTTCGTGTCTCTATATCCTTCAGTTCTGCTCTGATCTTTATTTCTCGTCTTCTGCTAGCATTTGCATTTCTTTGCTTTTGCTTCTCTAGTTCTTTTAATTGTGATGTTAGGGTGTTGATTTGAGATCTTTCTTTCTTTCTTTTTTTTTTTTGAGACAGAGTCTTGCTCTTGTTCCCTAGGCTGGAGTGTAATGGTGCAATCTCGGCTCACTGCAACCTCCACCTCCCGGCTTCAAGCGATTCTCCTGCCTCAGCCTCCTGAGCAGCTGGGACTACAGGCGCCCGCCACCACGCTTAGCTAATTTTTGTATTTTTAGTAGAGATGGGGTTTCACCATGTTGGCCAGGCTGGTCTCAAACTCCTGACCTCAGGTGATCCGCCCACCTCGGCCTCCCAAAGTACAGGGATTACAGGCGTGACCCACTGCGCCCAGCCGATTTGAGATCTTTCTAGCTTTCTGATTTGGACATTTTGTGCTACAAATTTTCCTCTTAACTTCACTTTAGCTGTGTCCCAGAGATTCTGGTATGTTGTCTCTTTGTTCTCATTGGTTTCAAAGAACTTGATTTCTGCCATAATTTCATTTTTCACCCAGTAGTCCTTCAGAAGCAGGTTGTTCAATTTCCATGCAGTTGTGCGGTTTTGAGTAAGTTTCTTAATCCTGGGCTCTAATTTGATTGCACTGTGGTTATAATTTTAGTTCTTTTGCATTTGCTGAAGAATGTTTTACTTCCAGTTATGTGGTTGATTTTACAGTAAGTGCCATGTGGCACTGAGAAGAATGTATATTCTGTTGATTTGGGGTGGAGAGTTTTGTAGATGTCTGTTAGGTCCCCTTGATCCAGAGCTGAATTCAAGTTCTGAATATTCTTGTTGATCTTCTGTCTCATTGATCTAATATTGACAGTGGGGTGTTAATAACATGCTTAAGTTTATATGTCATATAAAAAGTAAATTAAATAATTTTTATTCACCCTGCACCTATTAAAATGTTCGCTTCCTATGTTTATTGCATGCAAAACATTATTAGCATTTTTCATCCACTTTTTTTACCCTTCACATAAATGATAATACAATTTATTCTTAATTGTTCCTTTAATATATGTTTCATACTGTATTTTATAATATTCATAGTGCTTCTGCACTTCGAAATAAAAGGCTTTTAGTTACTTCTTAAGGCTGGATTATAGCCTTTCCAGTTTGTGTAAGAAAAGCAGCAATATATTAATAACAAAGAAGTTTTTCTGGTATCATTTTATGCTTATTCTTTAAAATTTTTTTATCAAAGTTTTTACTAAATAATCATAATGCATTTTGGTGAAATGTTATTGCCATCACTGTGATATTAATAATTTAAAAACTGTGCTCTATTTTTGTTTGTTTGTTTTGTTTTTTGAAATGGAGTTTCTCTCTGTCACCCAGGCTGAAGTGCAGTGGTGCAATCTCGGCTCACTGCAGCCTCTGCTTCCCGGGTTCAAGTGATTCTCTTGCCTCCGCCTCCTGAGTAGCTGGGAATACAGGCATGCACCACCACACCTGGCTAATTTTTGTATTTTTAGTAGAGACAGGGTTTCACCATGTTGGCCAGGCTGGTCTTGAATTTCTGACCTTAGGTGATCCACCTGCCTTGGCCTCCTAAACTGCTGGGATTACAGATGTGAGCCACTACGCCCAGCCAAATCTGTGTGCTCTTTATGCATTACCAGTCATAGTGGAAAATTGTAGTTATCTAGAAAAATTTTTCTAGATAAAATCTTAAGTAGTACACTATTTTAATTTAGGTTTTTATAGTTTAAAGTTTCTTTTAAATTTGTTTTGCAATTTTATATTTCTGTGTTTCTAATTTCAGTGTGGGCCACCTTACATAATTTGTGTTTTAGTTTTTATTTATATATTATAGTTTTAATAGAAATATTCAACTTTGTATATTTTAAGAAAGTGTTGCTGGGCACGGTGGCTCACGCCTGTAATCCCAGCACTTTGGGAAGCTGAGGTGGGTGGATCACCTGAGGTCAGGAGCTCGAGACCAGCCTGACCAACATGGTGAAACCCCATCTCTACTAAAAATACAAAAATTAGCTAGGCTTGGGTGGCGAGCACTTGTTATCCCAGCTACTTGGGAGGCTGAGGCAGGAGAATCGCTTGAACCCGGGAGGCGGCAGAGGTTGCAGTGAACCGAGATCAAGCCATTGCACTTCAGCCTGGGTGACACAGTGAGACTTCATCTCAAAAAAAAAAAAAAAAAAAAAGGAAAAGAAAAAAAAGAAAGAAAGAAAAAGAAGGTGTTAAGAAAAAGTTAGATATGCATGTCATATGTCACTTGACTTATGTTCCTTGACTCAAATTGTCTGTTGGCAATTTAACTATCTATGTTTTTGTTTGCCTGTATAAATATCCTCTCTTTTTTTATAGTGTATTATTTTCGGTTGCTGATCAATGGTTGTTCATCCTGTCTAGGTAAGTAGTCATGAAAGTTGTCTTAGTTTCCACATCTGTTTATTGGACAATCCATATTATTTTTGTAGAAGAGAAATATTTTGTGATTCAAAGGTAATTTTTGAAAAGTTTCATAATTCTGTATCTTTTTAGTTTTTATTGTTTATTTTCAATAGTGTTCAAAACCATATAAAATTTATAATCTTAAATATTTTTAATGTGTAGTTCAGTCATGTTAAGTATAGTGACATTATCATGCAACATATCTTAGAACATTTTTATCTTCCAAACCAAAATTCAATACACGTGAAAAAACTACCCATTGTTTTTCTATTACCTAGACCTTTCCAAATATCATTTTATTTCTTGTTTATCGATATCTCTTATAAGTGGATTCAGACAATATCTGGTTTTTGTGACTACCTACTTTATTTAACATGTTAAGATTTATATTTTTTACGTTACCTTTTCTGCTTTTGAAAAGCTGAGTAATATTTTATTATTTTTATATTCCAAATTATATTTATTCATTCATTTGATGAGGAAAGTTTGGGCTTCTTTGACCTATCTCCTTTTGCAAATAATGCTGCAATAAATATGGGTATGCAAATAACTCTTGACTGCATATGGGAAGCTTTATTTCTGAGTACTCTGTTATGTTTTGTTGTTCTGGTTGTCTGCCTTTATGCTAGTATCAAACTGCTTTAGCTATTGTAGCTTCAGAATGTATTTTAAAATCAAGAATTGTAGGCTGGGCATGGTGGCTCACGCCTGTAATCCCAGCACTTTGGGAGGACAAGGGAGGTTGACCACTTGAGGCCAGAAGTTTGAGACAAGCCTGGTCAACACGGCGAAACCACACCTCTACCAAAAATCCAAAAATTAGCTGGATATAGTGGCACACGACTGTAATCCTAGCTACTCGAAAGGCTGAGGCATGAGAATCACTTGATCCTTGGAGGCAGAGGTTGCAGTGAGCTGAGATCACACCACTGTACTCCAGCCTCGGTGACAGAGTGAGACTCCATCTCAAAAAAAAAAAAAAAAGTGTGATGTCTCCAACATTGCTTTTGATTTTTGAAAATTGTTTGGCTCTTCATGGTCACTTCATATTCATATGATTTGGGGGTTGATTTTTCTATTTATGCAAAAATAAAGTGAGAATTTGAAAAGGATTGCATTGAATCTGTGGCTCACTTTAAGTAGTATATCATCTACCTAAAGACATCTTCATAATATTGTCTTCCCACCCTTAAAGAAGAGTATGCTCAAGAGTGTATTGTTTAACTTTTATATATTTGTAAATGTTTCATATGTCCTTCTCTTATTTTATTCCATTTTGGTCATAAATAATAAACAGTAAGTTTTCAATTTTTAAAAATTAGTGAAGACTTGTTTTATGACCTAACGTGTAGTATCAAGAAGAATGTTTAATGAGATATTGAGAAGGTTGTGTATTTTGTTGGGTGGAGTGTTTGCTATACATCTATTAGGTGTGATTTTACAGTGTTTCAAGTCTTCTGCTCCCTGTGTGTTTTGTACTTTAATTTTGTCAATGTTTACTTTATAAATTAAAAACCCTGATGTGAGATATAAATGTAGATATAGATATATGCTCACATAAACACACAGACAGACACAGATATACAATTGTCATAGGTTTTCAATGAATGAACTCTTTTATTAAAGTCTTTTTTGCCTCTTGTAGTTTTGAATTAAAGTATATTTTATGAAAGATGACAAATTTTGACTTAAAATGTATTTTGTCCAATTAATTGCGATCTCTTATGCTCTCATTCAGTTAACATTTGCATGAAATATCTTCTTGTTTGTTTGTTTTTGTTTTTTGAAATATCTGCCTTTTTTTTTTTTTTGAGATGGAGTCTTGCTTTTTCTCCCATACTGGAGTGTAGTGGCATGATCTCGGCTCTCTGCAACCTCCACCTCCCAGGTTCAAGCAATGCTCATGCCTCAGCCTCTCGAGTAGCTGGGATTACACACACTCACCACCACGCTCTACTAATTTTTGTATTTTTTGTAGAGACAGAGTTTTACCATGTTGGCCAGGCTGGTCTCGAACTCCTGACATCAGGTGATCCACCCACCTTGGCCTCGCAAAGTGCTGGGATTACAGGTGTGAGCCACTGAGCCCTGCCTGAAATATCTTTTTTTATACTGCCACTTTTAGTCTATTTTTGTCATTAGATCTAAAGTGAAACTGTTGTATGCAGAATATAGTTGGAGCTTTTAATGCAATTAAAAAAAATTTTTTTATAATATATGATTGTTATTTGGGAAAGTTAGTTCCTAAATATTTAAATAATATTCTGAAAGAAGATGACTTACTATTGCCATGTTATTAATTTTTTTATTTGATTATTGTAACTATTGTGTTCTCTTTTTCTTTCACTTTGTCTTCTTTGCTGTCTCATTTGTTTTCATATTGACAGATTTTAGTTCCTTTCTCATTTTTTATGGAATATCTTTCTAGGTAGTTTATTTATGTTTACCATGGACATTACATAAGACCTCTTAAAGTTACAACTATATATTTTAAACTGGAAAGATCTTCAGTTGCATCCAATTTTTTTTTTTTTTTTTGAGATGGAGTCTTGCTTCTTCACCCAGGCCGGAATGCAGTGCGATCTCAGCTCACTGCAACCTCCGCCTCCTGGGTTCAAGCAATTCTGCCTCAGCCTCCCGAGTAGCTGGCATTACAGGCACGTGCCAACACACCCAGCTAATTTTTGTATTTTTACTAGAGACTGGGTTTCACCACGTTGGCCAGGCTGGTCTTGAACTCCTGACCTCAAGTGATCTGCCCACCTTGGCCTCCCAAAGTGCGGGGATTACAGGCGTGAGCCACCGCGCCCGGCCCCAATTTTTTTTAAACTACATCTGCCCTCAACTTTGTTATTGATGTCACTAATTGTATCTTTTTATATTAACAGGTGTTTATAATTACATTTGTTCTTTTGTCTATCATGTTTATGAGTACAGTCAGTGTTTGCTGCATCATCATTTTATCACTGCACAGTTTTATATGTGTGTTACGTATATGGCTTTTCCAGAGAGTTATGTATTTTCATATGATGTGTTGTTTTCTAGCATTTTATTTTCAATGGAAGGGACTCCCTTTAGCACTTTTAGTAGGGCAGGTCTACTGGCGATGCACTTATTTATTTATTTATTTATTTATTTATTTATTTATTGAGACAGAGCCTTGCTCTGTCACCCAGGCTGGAGTGCAGTGGCACTATCTCTTCTCACTGCAAGCTCCGCCTCCTGGGTTCACACCACTCTCCTGCCTCAGCCTCCTGAGTAGCTGGGACTACAGGCTCCCGCCACCACGCCCGGCTAACTTTTTGTATTTTTAGAAGAGACGGGGTGTCACTGAGTTAGCCAGGATGGCCTCCATCTCCTGACCTCGTGATCCACCTGCCTCTGCCTCCCAAAGTGCTGGGATTACAGGCGTGAGCCACTGTGCCTGGCCAATATTTATTTATTTTGAGACTCATTTAAACCCGGGAGGCAGAGGTTGCGGTGACTCAAGATAGTGGCACTGCACTCCAGCCTAAGCGACAGAGCGAGACTCTGTCTCAAAAAAAAAGTTAAAATACAGAATTTATTTTTATGTAAGACTAAAGGAAGCAAGAGTTTGATTTTTGAAGAGTTGTAATTATATTTAAAGTTTATTGTTCAATAGCAAAGACTTGGAACCAACCCAAATGTCCATCAATGATAGACTGGATTAAGAAAATGTGGCACATATACACCATGGAATACTATGCAGCCATAAAAAAGGATGAGTTCATGTCCTTTGTAGGGACATGGATGAAGCTGGAAACCATTATTCTGAGCAAACTATCACAAGGACAGAAAACCAAACACCACATTTTCTCACTCATAGGTGGGAATTGAACAATGAGAACACTTGGACACAGGGTGGGGAACCTCACACACTGGGTCCTGTCGTGGGGTGGGGGAAGAGGGGAGGGATAGTATTAGGAGATACACCTAATGTAAATGACAAATTAACAGGTGCAGCACATCAACATGGCACATGTATACATATGTAACAAACCTGCACGTTGTGCACATGTATCATAGAACTTAAAGTATAATAATAATTTTAAAAAATAAAAAATAAAGTTTATTGTTTTACATGGAAAGAATTTTAGATTTTTTGAAATGTGAATATTAATGAGCATTTGGTTATCTTGTAATTTTTTTTTCATTTTGAAGAAGAATTTTTCTGGTTATAGTATTCTTCCTTGGAAATTTTTCTCTTTCAGGACTTTAACTGTGTTTCTCAACTTTTTTTTCTGGCCTGTAGGGACTCTGTGGATAAAACCACTGCCAATCTCATTGTAACAAACTTACAGACAACACGTTAGATTTCTTTTGCTGCTTCCAAGATTCCGTATTTGTCTATGACTCCTCTCCTCTCCTCTCCTCTCCTCTTCTCTTTTCTGACAGAATCTCATTCTGTTGCCCAAGCTGGAGTGCAGTGGTGCAATCTTGGCTCACCGCAACCTTCACTTCCCAGGTTCAAGCAATTCTCCTGCCTCAGCCTCCCGAGTAGCTGAGATTAAAGGTATTATTAGTAGAGACAGGGTTTCACCATGTTGGCTGGGCTGGTCTTGAACTCCTGACCTCAGGTGATCTGCCTGCCTCAGCCTCCCAAAGTGCTGGGATTACAGGCATGAGCCACCACACCCAGCCTATCTATGACTTTAAAATTTTTGTTTATAATCTGTCTTGTTATGAGTCACTTTGTGTTTATCCTAAAGTATGTTAAGCTTCTTGATTTTTTACAAGTGTTTTCTTTATGTTTGAGGATTTTTCAGTCATTATATCTTAATATATTCTTCAGCTCCGTAGTTTTTGTTTCTTTTTATACTTTTAATCTTTTGGCTGATATTCTCATTTTCCTGCTTTCATTTACTTGTCTGTTTTCCCATTTTATGCATTGAACATCACTCAGATAGTTATTTTGAATTTTTCAGGTAATTGGTATTTCTCCATTTCTTTAGGGTTGATATATGGATATTTATAGAGGGTTTTGAGGGCCATATTATGGTGAAACTTTGTATATGTTATAAACTTTTATTGAAATTTGTGCATTTACAAAAAGCTTTTTGTCACAGTATTTATAAAGTGGCTTTGTCATGAGGGAGTCTGATACCAGTTGACCAAGCTAGAGATTCTAGAACCCTCTCAAACTTGTTCTTCAGGATGTGTCTACCCTGGGATTGTTTGTACATTTTTTAAATTAATGAAGTTTGTCTGTGTTTCTTCTTAAGAGACTATAATCACTTGCTATACCTGTTGTTTATTTGTGATACTGACCTCTCTGTACTGCTGTGAGAATTATTTATCTTTGCTCTCAGCAGAAGCAGCCTGTCATTCAAAGTATAGCACCATTCCTTTTAGCACTTTATGTTATAGGAGACAAAAATCAGTCTTTAAAAAGTTCCCTAAAAGCTAGAAGTATGGACATCTCTGCCAGTATTTTCTTTCTCTCTTGAGGGAGAAGTCAGAAATTTACTTCTAGAGGCATCATGCTGCATTGGAGAGGAAGAAGGGTTGTAATGGGTAAATGTAATACACTTTCCTTCTTCTATTTGGCTCTTGGCATTGTGCTAACCTGTAGTGCTGCAAACTCTTAATTTTTAGAATTATTACAATGGAATTTCATTAAGTATATTCTTGTTACGTGTGTATGTATATAAAGACCTGTGGTATTTTATTATGCCATCTTGCTCAGGTACTTGGTAGAACTTTATACATTAGATGTGTAAAGCATATTCACCTGAGTCTAGTAAGTGGGATACTTTTTTTTTCTTTCTTCCAATGGTGTCTTCTATTTCACTGAAGATAAATTGCCAAAGCAAAGCAAAATACATTAATTCCAAAGTGTAATACTGAGAAGACATGGAAACTGCAATCTTCAGAATTTACATGTAAGAAAAGACTGAAAAAGTGTGGGTGAGTGTATGGGGCATGTTACAATGGACTTAACCAATGTTCATCCACTATTCATAGCAAAATCTTTCAATGTAATAAATGTGTGAAAGTCTTTAGTAAATCTTCAATAATAAATAGACATAAGACATGCTGGACATATTGGAGAGAAAGATTTTAAATGTAAAAAAAGTAACAGATTATTTTAAATGTCTTAAATTGTAAGTCAACATCAGAGAATCAATACCGGATGGAATCCCCACAAATGTAAATAATGTGCCAAAGGCTTTAATAAGTGCTCACACTTAACTGAAAATAAGGGAAGTCATATTGGAGAGAAACATTGCAAATGTAATGAATGTAGCCAAGTGGTTAAATCTTGCTCTACCCTTTCTATTATTAAGAGAATTTATGCTGAAAAGAAACCCAACGAATGTGAAAGATGTGGCAGAGTCTTTAAGTGGTCCTCATCCCTTACTCAACATAAGAGAATTCATCCTGGAGAGAAATCTATAAATGTGACAAATGTGACATAGTCACAGTCTTCAAATTTTACTAAACGTGTAATACTTTGTAGTGGAGAGAAACCCTACAAATGTGAAGAGTGTGGCCTTTAAATTGTTGCTATACTTTACTCAACGTAAGGACATTCATACTGCAGTGAAACCATATAAATGGGTAATATGTGGCAGAGCTTTTATATGGTTTTCATACCTTACTAGACATCAGATAACTCATCCTGGAGAGAAATTCTACAAATGTGAAGAATGTGGCAAAGCCTTTAATCAGAGCTCACACCTTAATGAACATAAGAACATTCATACTGGAGGGAAACCCTGAAAATGTAGAGTGGGACAAAGCCTTTAACACTCAAATCTTGCTAATCATAAGGCAACTCACACCAAATAGAAACCATACAAATGTAAAGAATGTGCCAAAGCCTTTTACCAGTTCTTACACCTTACTGTACATGAGGAAATTTAAACCTGAGAAAAATTTTACAGATGTGAAGAATGTGGCAATGTCTGTAATACCTGTTATCTTACTTGATATGGAAGAGTTCATACCGACTAGTAGTGTTATAAATGTAATTACTGTCTAAAGACATTTTACAAAATACAAGCCTTAGATTGCAAAAAGTTTTAGTGAAGAACAACATTGCAAATACAAAGACGAGTTCAATGCCTTCACTTATATCATTGATCTTCTTGTACACAGGAGAAATTATACTGGAGAGAAATCCTCAAACAGTTGCTCACACTTTATTCAACTTTAGAGAATTTGTATTGGAGACAGACACTACAAATACAATAAATGAAGAAAAGCTGTTCTAAAAATATCAGAAGACATCAGAGTGTTCACATTAAATGATGTTTTTAGAAAACAGCAAAATGTTCACATTAAATGAGATTTTTTTCAGATTCAGTAAATGTAAAAAAATAAATATAGCCAAAGTAATCATCAGATAATTCACAGTAGAAATCACTAAGGCACACACAACACTTTAGACATTAAGCAGAGTGTTGATTATAGAGATTAATCCAAAGTTAAGGCTGGGCTCGGTGACTCATGCCTGTAATCCCAGCACTTTCGGAGGCCAAGGCAGGTGGATTACTTGAGGTCAGGAGTTCAAGACCAGCCTGGCAAACATGATGAAATTCTGTCTCTACTAAAAATTAAAAAAATGTAGCCGAACCATAGTGGTGTGGCGCCTGTTCTCCCAGCTACTCGAGAGGCTGAGGCAGGAGAATCATTTAAACCCGGGAGGCGGAGGTTACGGTGACTCAAGATAGTGCCACTGCACTCCAGCCTAAGCGACAGAACAAGACTCTGTCTCAAAAAAAAGTTAAAATACATAATTTATTTTTATGTAAGACTAAAAGAAGCAAGAGTTTGATCTTTGAAGAGTTATAATTATATTTGAAGTTTATTGTTTTATATTGAAAGAATTTTAGATTTTTTGAAATGTGAATATTGATGTAATTAAACTCATCACTTGATGCTATGCCTTCATTTGTAGCATTTATTAAAAAGCATTCGATCAATTGTTGCTGCATTAAAGCTATGAGAAGTTCTTGGCATCATTCATATTCTTTTTCATGAAATATTATGGATACTGAAATTTAAGATGCATGATCTTTATTAAACACAAATGACAGAATAAGAAATATAATCATCAGATGTCATCAAATCACTGCAATGCATCAACAATTTATTAGAAATTAAACTTAGTATTGGGTCTAACTGAAAACACAATTCTTGCTGACAAACATATTGCTAATTTCAAAACACTTAATTCTCAGATGCCCTAGGAAAAAGCATAGGCAGGGGAAGTATCACTGCAAAAGTAGCACACAGAAAGACTCTGGAGGGGCTTGGTCACAAATACTGTGTTGCCAATATTAGAAAACCCTAACAATCCTAATGGAAGTTTCTCTCTCTCTCTCTCTCTTTTTTTTTTTTTTTTTAAGACAGAGTCTCACTCTGTCACCCAGGCTGGAGTGAAGTGGCTCAATTTTGGCTCACTGCAACCTCTGCCTCCCGGGTTCAATTGATTCTCCTGCCTCAGCCTCCTGAGTAGCTGGGATTACAGGCATGCGCCACCACGCCTGGCTAATTTTTGTATTTTTAGTAGAGATGGGGTTTCACCCTGTTGGTCAGGCTAGTCTCGAACTCTTGACCTCGTGATCCACCCGCCTCAGCCACCCAAAGTGCTGGGATTACAGGCGTGAGCCACCACACCCGGCCAGTTTTTTGTTTCTTTTTGTTGTTGTTGTCGATTGTTTTCTGGTCATCCCAACTAAGATATTAGTGAATAAACACTTTTTTTTTTTTTTTGAGACGGAGTCTCGCTCTGTCGCCCAGGCTGGAGTGCAGTGGGGCGATCTCGGCTCACTACAAGCTCCGCCTCCTGGGTTCACGCCATTCTCCTGCCTCAGCCTCCCGAGTAGCTGGAACTACAGGTGCCCGCCACCACGCCTGGCTAATTTTTTGTATTTTTAGTAGAGATGGGGTTTCACCGTGTTAGCCAGGATGGTCTCGATCTCCTGACCTCGTGATCTGCCCGCCTCGGCCTCCCAAAGTGCTGGGATTACAGGCGTGAGTCACCGCACCCGGCAATAAACACTTTTTTTTATCTAAAGCCTTCCAATATCCTTTGTCATCATATCCATGTGCATAACAGTAAAGAGATAATGAGAGTCATACTAACCATGTCAAATATTAAATTTGGAGAGATATTTCCAAGTTGGAAATGTACACTGAAAGTAGTTGAGGTTCTTTTCTCTCTGACATTACTATCTCTAAGTGCACAAAACAAAGACACACAGAATTAAAATGCCTTATCGAATATTAAGACGCTTATGTGATTACATAATTTTGTACTGTTTAATTTTCTTAACAATTTTATGCCCTCATTGGTCACAAATAAACAATTATTATCAATATTTTGTCTTTTGATTTCAAAGTACCCTTACTTCATACTGTCTTTCATTTTAAGAATCATAGACAATAAAAGGACACTATCCCTACTGAAATAAAACATTAACGTGTACATTTTATTAACAAAATTGAAACATACTTTTCAAATTTGTGAATATATCTTAAAAAGCAAATTGCAAATTTAAAATTTTATGAGACTGTATGAGTAAAAAATTCAGAGGTTTTTTTTTTGTTGTTGTTTTTGTTTTTAAGACAGAGACTCACTCTGTCGCCCAGGCTGGAGTGCAGTAGTGCCATCTCGGCTCACTGCAGCCTCTGCCTCCCGGGTTCCAGCGATTCTCCTGCTTCAGCCTCTTTAGTAGCTGGGATTACAGGTGTGTGCCACCATGTCCGGCTAATTTTTGTATTTTTAGTAGAGACGGGGTTTCACCATGTTGGTCAGGCTGGTCTCGAACTGTTGACCTCAGGTGATCCACCCGCCTCAGCCTCCCAAAGTGCTGGGATTACAGGCGTGAGCCACCATGCCCGGCCCAGAGTTTTTTTTAATAAAAAGGGGATGCTATCTTCTTCAATTTTTGCAGATTATTATTCTTTTATTGCTAAAAAGTGTTACCCAGCCGATTAATATGAATAATATTTTATAACTTAGTTTTGTGATGAGATATGAAATACTATAACTGAATTTATGTTTATAATTATGCTTACTATTAAAAGCTTCTATATCTGTTATTTAGTAACTAACTCCACAAAAATTTAGTAAATGCCAAATGCAGATATTTCTAGTTTATAAAAACTAGAACATTTTTGTATTAGCAATTGCTGTAACAGAATTAAACATTTTTTATGGTTATCTGCTACAAGCTAATAAATGAGAAAGGTTGAATAATAATCTTATGGTTTACTACATTTCAATTTTAGATGGTTGTAAAGAGTATAAATATACTAAAGTATTTCCAATTCTGAAAAAAAATGGGCGGGTGCTGTGGCTCACACTTGTAATCCTAGCACTTTGGGAGGCCGAGGCAGGTGGATCACCTGAGGTCAGGAGTTAAAAATACAAAAATTAGCCGGGCAAGGTGGCAAGCGCCTGTAATCCCAGCTACCCAGTAGGCTGAGGCAGGAGAATCGCTTGAACCAGGGAGGCGGAGGTGGCAGTGAGCTGAGATCACCCCATTGTACTCCAGCCTGGGCAACAAGAGCGAAAATCTGTCTCAAAAAAAAAAAGGAAGAAGAAAGAATGACTGAATTCTGAACAAGTTCCGCTATCTTTTATAATAACATTCAAAATTTTAGTTTTATATATACTGTAAATTAAAATTAGAAAAATGATAAAATGTAAAATGCAATTCTAATTCAAAGGTAATATTACAAATTCTTTCAAAATTTTTAAAATCCTTTCAAAATTTATAGCCTAATAAAATTCATGAAATTGATCTTTTAATTTGGAAACTTCTACTGCATTTAGCTATTACTCACTAAGATATATTACTGAAATTATTAGAAGGGAATTATTTTAGCATTTTATTGAGAAAATTCTACCTCATTCAATCACTTACCTGAGTCTTGAACTCTCACTTTTAATAATGCTGACAAATAGACATTTACCCAAATGAGTCCTGAAGTGAGTCTATGCATGAGGGATGAGGCCCCCAATATATACTTACAAGGAAGCCATGCCATTAGCTCATCCCCCTCCAGACCCATAATTTTAATGTAAACTCTATAAGAATGACAAGTCCTAGCTTTCTGATAATTAGAAATGGAGCCACAAAAGGAAAAACTGAACAGAATTACTGGAAAACACAATAGGAATAACTGGGTTTTAAATTATTCTGTGTGAGCTCACTTTTCCCGATAACTTTGGCCTGGTAGATTGTGTGGTCTTAGTCTTTGGCAGCAAAACCAATACCTCCCAATAACCAAAACATTACAATAAATAGAACACAATGCCAGATTTCCCAATGTATGCCCGTGGTTGAAGTGATTCAGGGTGTCTTCTACATATATTCTCCAGTGGTCTCTAGTTTTTTCACAGTCAGAATTAGACCAAAAGCACCTTTGTGGGAATTAGAAAAATGCTACCTCTATCAGACTTACATATGCAAAGTCCTCTGTCTTGCAGACAACACATCTGTAAGCCAGCGGACCAGACATGGGAGCAAAATACAGGCTGCTTTTCACCTCTTCTCTCAACTAACTTGTTGAGGTGCGTTTACTAAGAAGAGCAGAATGCCTCCATTTTAAGCTCCTTGAGTTTTGAGATAACCTGTCTTCAAGAGATCTTGGCTGGGTGCTGTGGCTCACGCCTGTAATCCCAGCAGTTTGGGAGGCTGAGGTGGACAGATCACCTGAGGTCAGAAGTTCAAGACCAGCCTGGCCAACATAGTGAAACCTATGTTGAACCTAAAAGTTAACCTTTTAGTCTCTACTAAAAATATAAAAATTAGCTGGGTGTGGTGGCGGGCGCCTGTAATCCCAGCTACTCGGGAGGCTGAGGCAGGAGAATCGCTGGAACCCAGGAGGTGGAGGTTGCAGTGAGCCGAGATTGCGCCACTGCACTCCAGCCTGGGCAACAGAGCTAGACTCCGTCTCAAAAAAATAAAATAAAATAAATAATAATAATAGCTCCTCATTTGACCTCAGTCAGAACTACTCACCTTATATACTTTTTCTTTTTCTTTGTTTTTTTTTTTTTTTTTTTTTTGAGATGGAGTTTCGCTCTTGTTGTCCAGGCTGGAGTATAGTGGCGTGACCTCGACTCACTGCAAATCCCGTCTCCCGAGTTCAAGTGGTTCTCCTGCCTCAGCCTCCCGAGTAGCTGGGATTACAGGCGCCGGCCACCACGCCTCGCTATGTTTTTGGATTTTTAGTAGAGATGAGGTTTCACCATGTTGGCCAGGCTGGTCTTAAACTCCTGACCTCAGACGATCCACCTGCCTCGGCCTCCCAAAGTGCTGGGATTGCAGGCATGAACCACCATGCCTGGCTCACCTTATATACTTTTATTGTCCACAAGTTTTATTCTCACTGCTCTCTCCAACCCAATTTAACATATTATCTTCTGCCATTGATAGGCTTTCCTATGTTAACCCAGTTGGCGTTTTTAGGTATTGATTTGTCCTCTTGAAAGGCCTTTCAAGTTTAACTGAAATTTGTTTCTAGTTTTCAAAGAAAAACTGTCATGTAAAAATCCTGTACTAAGAAAATATATTTATTAAAACTAAAGCCTTTAATAACTAAGCTCTTAGTTATTAAAACTAAAAGGCTTTAGTTAGTAAACTATATAAGCCTCAGTTATTAAGGCTTTAATTATTAAGACTAATCACTCTTGAAAGCCTTTCACGTTCAATTGAAATTTTCTTATTCCTCAAAGAAAAATTGTCATGTAAAAATCCTACATTGAGAAAATATATTTATTAAAACTAAATGTAAAATAAACACATTCCAGAGCAAAAAAACTGAGAAAATTTGGTGCTAGCCAGCCCATCTTACAGAAAATATTAAACGAAGATAAGGCTAAAATCAACTGACCACAGATAATAATTTGAATTCACATAAAATGACAGAGTATTGGTAAAGGTAATTATTACAAAAGAAAGTATAAAAGAATATTACTTTTTCGTTATTATCTTACTTCATTTCAGACAAACAATTGTATAAAAATATGAATATAGGCTGGGTGTGGTGGCTCATGCCTGTAATCCAGCACTTTGGGAGGCCAAGGCGGGCAAATCACGAGGTCAGGAGTTCGAGACCAGCCTGACCAACATGGTGAAACCCCGTCTCTACTAAAAATACAAAAATTAGCTGGGCGTGGTGGTGTGCGCCTGTAATCCCAGCTACTTGGCAGGCTGAGGCAGGAGAATCACTTGAACCTGGAAGGCTGAGGTTGCAGTGAGCTGAGATCACACCACTGCACTCCAGCGTGGGGGACAAAGCAAGACTCTGTCTCAAAAAAATAAAATCTCTTGATAATAAATTGATTCCACTGGAATAAGTAAATAAAACAACTAATAAAAGGATGATTATCAAAAAAGACGTAGATATGTAATTACCTTTTCCTTAAAATAAATAAAATTATATAAAATAAGTGTAAAAATGTGTCAAATTTATAACATGTGGATATAATAAGTGTAAAATTAATACAACAAAAATGAGAGGAACAAATAATATAGAACCAACATGTTTTGTATTTCATTAGTATTAAGTTTGTATAAATGTGAAACACATTCTAATGACATAAGATGTATATTGTGGGGCCGGGCATGGTAGCTCATGCCTGTAATTCCAGCACTTTGGGAGGCCGAGGCGGGCGGATCACCTGAGATCAGGAGTTCGAGACCAGCCTGACCAACATGGTGAAACCCGTCTCTATTAAAAATAGAAAAATTAGCTGGGCGTAGTGTTGGGTGCCTGTAATCCCAGCTACTCGGGAGGCTGAGGCAGGAGAATCGCTTGAACCCGGGAGGCAGAGGTTGCAGTGAGCCAAGATCGCACCATTGCACTCCAGCCTAGGAGACAGAGTGAGACTCCGTCTCAAAAAAAAAAAAAAAAAAGTATGTTTTAGGCTGGGTACGGTGGCTCACACCTGTAATTCCAGCACTTTGGGAGACTGAGGCAGGCGGAACACAAGGTCAACACATCGAGACCATCCTGGCCAACATGGTGAAACCCTGTCTCTACTAAAAATACAAAAATTAGCTGGGCATGGTGGCCCACGCCTGTAGTTCCAGCTACTCCAGAGGCTGTGGCAGGAGAATCACTTGAACCCCGCAGGCTGAGGTTGCAGTGAGCTGAGATCGTGCCACTGCACTCCAGCCTGGCGACAGAGCGAGACTCCATCTCTAATTGTAAGAATTAGAGAAACAACTAAGGGTATAATTCCAAAAATATGTGAAGAAAATTATGAAAGAAATTAGAATGTTACATAATAATTATGCTCTTAATGCAAAACAAAGCAGTAGAAGTAGAAAAATATAACAAAATGCATGAGATTATAGAAAAGAAAATAATATAACAAATATAAGCACAGCTATATAAATAATAACATTACATATAAAAAGATTAAACAGGGCCAGGTGCAGTGGCTCACGCCTGTAATCCCAGCACTTTGGGAGGCCAAGGCAGGCGGATCACTTGAGGTCAGGAGTTCGAGACCAGCCTGGCCAACATGGTGAAACCCCATCTCTACTAATAATACAAAAATTACCTGGGTGTGGTGCTGCACGCCTGGAGTCCCAGCTACTCAGGAGGCTGAGGCAGGAGAATCTCTTGAACCCGGGAGGTGGAGTTGCAGTGACCCAAGATCACACCAGTGCACTTCAGCCTGGGCGACACAGTGAAACTACGTCAAAAAAAAAAAAAAAATTAAACAATTAAGGAAAGCTGAGATTTAAAAAATTAAATATAGAAAAATCTAATTGAATGCTGTTCACAATACATGCACTTTGGATACAAAAGAACAAATACTATAAAAGTGAAAAGGCGGAAGCATGCAAATAGCTACCATAAGAAAGTTGTATTTGTTGGCTGGGCACGGTGGCTTATGCCTGTAATCCCAGCACTTTGGGAGGCCGAGGCTGGCGGATCATTTGAGGCCAGGAGTTTGAGACCAGCCTGGCCAACATGGTGAAACCCCGTCTCTACCAAAAGTACAAAAAAATTAATCAGGCTTGGTGGCATACGCCTGTAGTCTCAGCTACTCAGGAGGCTGAAGCAGGAGAATCGCTGGAACCCGAGAAGCAGAGGTTGCAGTGAGCCGAGATCATGCCATTTCACTCCGGCTTGGGCGACAGAGCGAGACTCTGTCTCAAAAAAAAAAAAGAAAGAAAAGAAAAAAGAAAGTTGTAGCTGTTATTTTAAAATTAGAATAAGCAGAATTTAAAACAAAAATATTTAATAGACATAAAGTAGGACATTTGATAGAGATAAAATGGATAATAAAAAAGATAATAAAAAGGATGGCATGACAATTATAAACATATATACACCAAGAAATAATCGGCAAAATACATAAAGTCAAAACCGAGAAAAATGAAGAAAAAATAGAGAATTCAACGATGATAATCGAAGACATACATATCTTTTAATAATCATTTAAAAAGCAGTAAGAAGATCAGCAAGAAAATGAAGCACTTGAAAAGAAAGGTAAAAATAACTAGACCTAGCAGACATGCTTAGTATGCCCCCAGGAAGCACCTGCAGGTTATATATTCTCCTTAAATGCATGTGGAATCTTCTCTAGGAGAGAATATACTCAATGCCATAAAAATAAAAAATGCAATTTAAGTATTTAACAAATGCAATGTGTGTTCTCTAACCAGAGTGAAAGAAAATTAGAAACTGATGATAGCTATAAATCTGTACAGATATGTAGACATTTCTCCTTGAAGGTGAAAAGAAAATTATCCTAAATAAAGTGTTTGTAAAAGTACACCCTCAGGTAAAGCAGGCTTGCTACTTTGTCAGATGTATCCATGCTTAGTCCAGCCTTAGAGAATTTTTTCTTTGCTCTATTTCTTAATAGGCTCCATGCTGAACTCAGTAATTATAGCCAAGGAACAGTAGCAAAGTTAGAAAGACCACCTTTTGAACTAAATTACGACTTCCTGAAATTTATCTTGAAATCCTTTTGTTTAAAAAAAAAATCTATGTCTGTAAAGGAAATCTCTATTTGTAAGGTGTCTGCAATACATTAAAAATATTTGGTCGAACGTTGTGGCTCATGCCTGTAATCCCAGCACTTTAGGAGGCCGAGGAGGGTGGATCACTTGAGCTCAGGAGTTTGAGACAAGGCTGGCCAACATGGTGAAACCCCATCCCTACTAAAAATACAAAAAAATAAAAAAATTAGCCAGGCATGGTGGCAGGCGCCTGTAATCCCAGCTACTTTGGAGGCCGAAGCAATAGAATTGCTTGAACCCAGGAGATGGAGGTTGCAGTGAGCCAAGATGAGGCCATTGCACTCCAGCCTGGGTGACAGAAAAAAAAAAATAGTATTGTTTTAAATTTACACAAGTCATACATTTAATATGCTTTTCTGACCATCTTCTCTTAACTAAACTTTTACTTACACTATATTTTCATTGGTCGAAAAAATAATACAACATTTTAGCCTAAATTGTTAGCTCTGTGCTTTAGAAATATACGTTTCTTGTTTCACCTAAGTTGTCCCATTAGAAACGCAAGCTTGTTGCCTAGACAAAAATTGCTTAGAGCAATGAAACAGGTAACTGGAAGTTTGATAGGCTAAATGGGAAAAATGAAAAGTATTTAAAAGCCAGCAGATGAAAATTGTTTAGAAAAGCTATAAGATCTGCTTCTATATGTTTGTCCTTATGTCTATACGTGTTATGTGTATGTGACCATACTTGGTAAATAAAGGTAGTTTTTAAATTGTTGGTTAAATATAAATGGCTTTGTAGGCCCGGTGCAGTGGCTCACACCTGTAATCTCAGCACTTTGGGAGGCCAAATCACTTGAGGTCAGGAGTTTGAGACAGACCTAGCCAACATGGTGAAACCCCGTCTCTACTAAAAATAAAAAAATTAGCTGGGTGTGGTGGTGGGTGCCTGTAGTCCCAGTGACTTGGGAGGCTGAGGCAGAGAATCACTTGAACCTGGGAGGCAGAGGTTGCAGTGAGCCAAGATCACACCACTGCACTCCAGCCTGGGCAATAACGTGAGACTCCATCTCGAGGAAAAAAAAAAGGCTTCATAATAATCATTTAAATATAATTCAATACTTGAGCAAATTTTTGGTTTTGAGCCTGTGGACTCAGGTGTCAGGTTGGGTGGCCGTGTTGAGGCCTGGCAACAAATTCTCAGTGCCTACACTGGCAGCTACCAGACAGAATCAAGCCCAATATGGCCCCTTCTTCTCTGTTCCAGCTTTGCTCCTCGCTTTTCTTTAAGAGGATGGAGGCCGGGCGCGGTGGCTCAAGCCTGTAATCCCAGCACTTTGGGAGGCCGAGGCGGGAGGATCACGAGGTCAGGAGATCGAGACCATCCTGGCTAACACGGTGAAACCCCGTCTCTACTGAAAATACAAAAAAATCAGCCAGGCGTGGTGGCCGGCGCCTGTAGTCCCAGCTATTCGGGAGGCTGAGTCACGAAAATGGCGTAAACGCGGGAGGCGGAGCTTGCAGTGAGCCGAGATCAGGCCACTGCAAAAAAAGAGGATGGATTTTTCTTCTGCCCTGTGCTCCACACTTGGTATATAAATTCACGACTTACTCAAAACCTGACTTTTATACCCATCTTGGGTGCCGCATGCTTACTTAAGAGCCAAGATGACTGCGAAATACAATGAGAATAATGCCTGTTTCATAGTTTCAAAATCCTTTTCTATAATTTAAAATATTAAAATCATATTACGGTAATTCAATAATCATCATAACATTTCTGAGTCATTTGTGTGTTAAAATACTAAAATATTGGCCGGGTGCAGTGGCTCATGCCTGTAATCCCAGCACTTTGGGAGGCCGAGGCAGGCAGATCACAAGATCAGGAGTTTGAGACCAGCCTGGCCACATGGTGAAACCCCATCTCTACTAAAAATACAAAAAAGTTAAAAAGGTAAAAACAACTAGACCTAGCAGACATGCTTAGTATGCCCCCAAGAAGCAACTGCAGATTATATATGTTACACCGTCTCAAAAAAACTAACAAACAAACAAACAAAACATACAATCCTGAGAAGAAAACTGAAACTTCGTGTACATTTCTGCTACATGGTGGGCCAGTTAAACGTTTGTACAGATATTTTACTGTAATTTTTAATGCATGTTTTCTGGTATTATAAAAGCTTTCTTATGCAAGAAGGCTGATGTTATAACAGTAGCTTAAAGGATATTAGGAAACATGTTTTCTTCACGGGACATTTCTGAAAAAGTCTCCAATGATAAGGATACTTATTTCATTAGAATAGTTGTAAAACGGTTAAATAAGGTATTATAGATCCACTAGTATTGAGCAAAGCTAAGTAAATTGATTGGATTGCTTTTGTAGTTGCAGATTGATGACAATCAGATCCACTTAGAGGGGAAAAAATGTGTTGACCCTTATAAAATAGTCATTGGAAGTCCTATGCACCTAATAATAGAACCTCATGCATCTTCTGCTACCGAAGTCTAATTATCACTAAATTCAGCAAGGCTTTAGGGCATTATGGCCAAGCATATTTTCACCAGGTAAAGAAAGCTAATAGTCTACTGACTGAGGATAGTAAAACCCTTTATACTCTAGAACCCAGAGATTGAGTCTGGTTGCCATCTGCACTGCAGCAAGACTTGAGGACCTTGAACCTTGATTTCATAATCTTATAACTCAGAAGGGGCCCTCCAATCTCTTGCAATTGTATACCCATTGGAGATTTTAAGGTAAAGTTAACCAGGGAAGATTCTCCTCAAAAGAAGATGGCAACCTTGATGTAAATAGCTGTTTACACAAGATAAAAAATCAAGACATCTCTGCTATCATGACACTCTTAGTTCACAGATTTTTTTTAATGGCTCTGTAAATAACAAAAATAAAAAAGGGGTCTCTTGTGTGCACTTATGGGGTATACTTTTATATGTAGAGAATTTTGCACCAAACCTTATATATGAACAAACTTATGCCTTGATAGGTAAAAGATGAAGGGCCAATGTAGGTGAGAAATTTTAATGGGACATTTGTTGCCTCATAATACCAGAAACAGAATATTGGTCCACTGCTCTTAACCTACTTCATAAGTTAAAGAGAACTTATTCAGAATTGGTTAGGGAGCATTGCCAGGAAGCCATTACTCCTCTGAATGGGCATAATTTTTAGGTCTTTTTTCCCATGGTTTAGAGTAAATGAGGCAATGGTTAGAAATTTATCCCCTATAATTGGGTCTGTAGCAGATTTTACTGTAAAGGCTATGGTTACACGATAGACTTTAAACTTTCTTATTAAAGTTGTGCTAAATGATGAATTTCTCTAGATTACTTACTGGATAAACAGAGAAGTATCTGTGCAGTTGCTAATACTTGTATTTGCACTAGAGAAATACATTGGATATTACAGAGATTCAGTTACAGGAGATTAATGAACAGGATGCTTGGTTGAAATGAATAGATCATTTATCTAGCTAATTATTTGATTTATTTAATTGTAGTTGGTTTGTTCATGGGGACCCTGGCTAAAAAGCGTACTTCAATCTCTTGGTATTACCCTCCTGATGTCAAAATAGTAGTCTCCCTACTGCACTGTATTCTCTCAAAAGTTATAAATGTTTGCATGCAGTCATCTCCAGAATGTCAAATGGTTTCTCATTAACTGGAATGACAAAAACTTAAAGACATATGTGACCATGAGGACACCATGACCTATGAATAACATAATAGATAAGGACAAAAACCCAAAACAATGGAAACTAAGTGGCACGAAGGCCCTGAGTTTTGGTCAAAATCTGACCCACATGAGAACTTAACCAAATGGAGGGAATTTTTAAAACAAAATTATCGGAGGCCACTATTCCTGACTGAGCTTGTGCACTAGGCCCAAACAGACCAAACCAAACCAAAATGGAGTCACTCATGCTAAATGTCACATAAACTGAAAATTTAAGGAAAGAGGTAGATCCTTAAGATCTATAGGCCAGGTTTTGTTTTTCATGTGTAAACAGTAGATTTCAACACAAGGAGGTCCTCTTACTGTAAGCCTTTAAAAAAATAACCTGAAGGCTTTATTTCCACTTTACGAAACCCACAGTTCTGTTACTTCACAGTGGGATTTGAAACTAAATAAGTACATTTTTAATGGTGACAGACTGATATCAGTGTCTAAAGTTTTGGTCTACATCTGAAAATTGAGAAGGTAACCAAAAGGGAAAAATTGTTAAATTAATTATAGCCTAAACCTGCCCCCTTTCCTGTATAAGTTTGGTCAATAGGTATTTTTCAAGATAGTAAACTGAAACCTAACTAGATATGTAAGTAGACTGTAACACATTCTTGTACCAACCACTGTGTTTTTGCCAATAAAAAAGTTAACTGTTCAAACAATGTTCAAATAAGGCAAATCCCAAGCTGTAATCAATCCGGCTGTTTCAGTACCTCACTTTCATTTTCTGTGTGTCACTTTGCTTTTTTTGTCCATAAATCTTTTTCTACCAGGTGGCTGTGCTGAAGTCTCTCTGAGCCTACTCTGGATCCACAGGCTACCTGATTTGCAAATTATTTTTTGCTCAATTAAACTCTGATAAATTTAATATCTCTAAAGTTGGTTGTTTTTAAGTTTTCAAATTTTTTACAATAAAAAATAATGTGTTGGGCTTTGATTTTCTAAACTCATCCCTCAGCGATTTTCCCAGATTATTCTACGTTCTTTCAAAATGCTTCTGCAATTTCTTTTTTTAAAAAAATTTTCGAGATAGGGTCTCACTGTATCACCCAGACTAGAGTGCAGTGGTGTAACCACTTATGGCTGACTGCAGCCTTGACCTTCCGTGCTCAAGCAATCCTCCTGCTCCAGCTCCCCGAGTAGCTGGGACTACAGGCATGCACCATTATGCCATTATGCCTGGCTAATTTTTTTAACTTTTTTCATGAAGACAGGATCTTACTATGTTGCCCAGGCTGCACTTGAACTCCTGAGCTCAAGTGATTCTCCCATCTCAGCCTCCCAAACTGCCAAAATTACAGACGTGAGCCACCGTGTGCATCTGCAGTTCTTGAGAGTATTAGCAATAATTAAACAGTACTATATGGGCATAAATTTGAAAGAATCTGGCATCTATTCTAGAAGGGTCACTCGCCAGGATTTCAAGGGTCTAAGGCAGTTACTTTGGTAGTGTTATTTATGGAGGTGCATTGGCTTTGGGGTCAGACAGAGTTGATCCTGAATCTCAGCCCAGCCACTTAGTAGATGTGGGTCTTTGGACAAGTTTCCTGATGTACAAGAGTTCTATAAACCACATATGCAAAAAAAGGTAGAATGATACTGATTGCAAAAATGGTAGCAATTTTTTATCCCTTCTATGTCCACGCCCGTTGCCAGGGATTTTTACAGCTGTTCCCATTGAGATCCAGAATCTGTTTTCCGAAACCTAGATCTGGCTGGCCTTGTTTGCTCAAGGCAGTAAAAACATGTGACCATGATAGCGTGCCAGTTTGGGGCTTAGCAGTCTTGAATGCTTCTGTTTTTCTTTCACAATGCTGCCATCTCTGTGAAAAAAAGCCCATGCTAGGCAGCTGGAGGATGACATACCATGGGGAGGAGAAGCAAGGTGTCCCTGTTGACAGCTCCAGAAGCGCACATCCAGAAGCACAGCTGCCTAGTTAACAAGCAGCTGATAACACATGTCTGAAGGAGCTCAGCTGAGATCAGAAGAATTGCTCCACTGAGCCCAGCTTAAATGACTGACCATCTCAATTGTGAGCTAAGAAGCCTTAGCTGGGTTGGGCGCAGTGGCTCACGCCTGTAATCCCAGCACTTTGGGAGGCCGGGGTGGGCGGATTACCTGAGGTCAGCAGTTTGAGACCAGCCTGACCAACAAGGAGAAACCCCATCTCTACTAAAAATACAAAATTAGCCAGGCGTGGTGGCGCATACCTGTAATCTCAGCTACTCAGGAGGCTGAGGCAGGAGAATCACTTGAACCCAGGAGGCGGAGGTTGCGGTGAGCTGAGATCGTGCCATTGCACTCTAGTTTGGGCAACAAGAGCGAAACTCTGTATTTAAAAAAAAAAAAAAGCCTTGGTTGGTTTGTTATGCTGCAATACCTAACTAATACGTGCACACAGTGCAGATAGGATGCCAGGATTTAATGACAGGTTGATTACTGGTTGTTATAGTTACCTTCCAACAGTTGGCACCCTAAAAGTGCTGATTTTTTTTTCTGCTCTAAAGTTGGATGTTTTGTAAGATAATATTGAGTAATGCAGAAAAATATGTAGGCATGTTTGCATGGGATTGGTACTTGTACTCACACAATCCCCACGCCACAGGAGAAAACAGATAAACACACTCTGGCCACTAGGGCCAGGCCAAATAGCAAAATAAGTTTACCTTTAATCTGTTTTCTCTATACTTAAACACTGGAAGTGATGACTGTGGAGAGATCTGAAGACATAGCGTTTAATCTCCTGTGGCCCCATCATCTTTTGGTTACTGTCTGATCTCTGGAAGAAAGGTGGGCAACAGGTGGCCAGCAGTGGTGTACCTGTGGTTATTTTATTCTTGCTGCCCTCTGCTCTTTCTATGGTGACTATCTTGTTCCACCCTCAAAACTGTAGAAAGATGTTGGTAAAGAGAGGCTGTCCCCTCACTTCTGGCAGAAAAGGGGTGTTCAGACCCTTCACCCTCCTGATGTCAGGGCTGCATTTCAATGTGGCAGCTATTGGCCATGTGTAGCTACTGGCTGCCTGGAATGTGGCTGGTCTGAATTGCAATGTGCTAGAAAGGTAAAATAGAGTTAATTTCAAAGATTCAGTTCCAAATAAATATATATACTTTATTAATAATTACATATCACTCACATATTAGAATAAGGTTTTAGATATATTGGGTTAAATTGTTACAATCAATTTCACCTGTTTCTTGTTTCTTTTTAAAGTTTGGCTGCTAAAAAATGTACAATTCACGTGTCGCCCACATTTTATTTTAGAGGATTGCCTTCTTTTTAAAATTTCAGGCTGCCTGCTTAAAAAAACAGAAGTTGGCCGGGCTCTGTGGCTCACACCTGTAATCCCAGCACTTTGGGAGACCGAGGCGGGCGGATCACAAGATCAAGAGATCAAGACCATCCTGGCCAACATGGTGAAACCCCGTCTCTACTAAAAATACAAAAATTAGCTGGGTGTGGTGGCGTGCGCCTGTAGTCCCAGTTCCTCGGGAGGCTGAGACAGGAGAATCGCTTGAACCTGGGAGGCGGAGGTTGCAGCGAGTTGAGCTCGTGCCACTGCACTCCAGCCTGGCGACAGAGCTAGACTCTGTCTCAAAAAACAAAAACCAAAAACAAAACAAAACAACAAAACCAGAAGCCAGGAAGGTCATAAAATCTGAAAATTTTGAATAATTGGTATTATATTCTTTGCATTTGTGAATAGACATATAATATACTATTTATAAATGCATATGGCCTTATTCACAAGGTTAAATGCAAATACTGTCTGGGGTGGGCCTGACTCAGCTCAGGGAGGAAGCCCCGTCTGAAAAGGCTGCAGCTTAGGCTGTCACTCTTCCTTCAGTCCAGCATCTGATCACATCTCCCGTCACTCAGGGCCCGAAGGGGCGGGGCCTTAAACGTTATCCAATCAGGAACGCTGGGCTGGGAACCATCCAATCAGGCACGCAACTGGAGCGGACAGCACAGCTTCCGGGATTTGGCGGGGCCTTTGTCTCTCGCTGCAGCCGGCGCTCCACGTCTAGTCTTCACTGCTCTGCGTCCTGTGCTGATAAAGGCTCGCCGCTGTGACCCTGTTACCTGCAAGAACTTGGAGGTTCACAGCTAAGACGCCAGGACCCCCTGGAAGCCTAGAAATGGTGAGCCTGCTGGGTCCCACATCCCGAGAGAGGGGGAGGGTCTGGCTGGAACCGATTGGAAGTGGCTGTGGCGGGCCTCGGGCCTTCCCGCAGTCGGCTCCGAGATCCGCGGCCCGAGTTCTCCTTGGCGCAGCTCGGCCCTCAGTCTCCTTCAGCCATAAGATGGCGGCTGGGCTGACAGCCGGGACCCCGGGCGTCCTGTCTCCTCCCTGCGCAGTGACTGTGCTTTGGCCTGGAGCCCTCCCTGGGCAGCTCTGCACCCGCAGCGTCGCATCTCTCGCCGAGTGTGCAGGGACGACGGGAGAATAGTAAAGAGAAGAATCCTGACTCGGGGTGCGGGGTTTATGAATGGGAAGAGCTTTGGTCCGTGTGGTTCTCAGGTCCTCTTTTTTCCTATTAAAAATTTATGGGAGTCAAGGTAAAAATATTGAAGAATTTAATCAAAGAGCGATTCAGGAATTTTAGAGCACCCAGCTATGATTTGTAGTTTGTGGTCCGTGGGAGGGGCTTGAAGGAAACACTTTTATAAGATGCATAATGAAAAAAAACAAGTTTAATAATTGGTTAGGTACAGTTACGTCGTTTTTTAATTTGTATGATTAAGGTAGAAATTTCCTGGTCATGTAATCAGAGATTGTCAGTTTATAGTTGGTTAAGCCTGAATTTTGTTCCCTCGGTGTTATTTACCCTCCCCTCCCCCCGCCAAAAATGCATTTGAATTATATTTTTTTTAAAGTAGGAACCCAGGGACTAGAGCCACCTCAATCTAATTGCCTGCCACTTAATTATTTTCACATCCACAGGGGACTGATTTTCCCCTGCAGTTTTCACATGTGTCCCAAGCAGGGTCTCAAGTCTACCCCCCATCCCTCATTCCTCCAGCTTAATTCTGGCTTGCAGTAAAATACTAAATTTCCAGTTCCTTCTGACATTCCCAAATGCCAACTTACCCTCCCTAATTCGCATTAGCAAGTGTGTTTCCTTTAGTGTACATTTTCGATGGCATATTTTAATTAATCATTTTTGGCAAAGCATTGGATGGCACGTTTTAAAAGATTTGTTTCCTGTTTGTAAATATTTCCTATGAGAAGAAAGCAAAGAATAATCCCCTAACATTGTATTGTAAATCTCTGTGCCTCTTTTCTTTTTATCTTCCTTAGGCACAGAGATCTTATCAGAATGTTTTTGGGTCATGGTTGCTTTCCCTTTGGAAACTTTATGGGGTGATGTGTTCTCAGCCACCCTTCAGTTCTTTTTCTGGTCCTGGGTTTTAGTACTGTCTGGGGCAAGATACCTACCATGGCAATGTCGCTAGAGTGTCTAGTAAATATCAGCTCCTGGGTCATTTTCTCTCGTAGAATAACCTGAAGTATGGAATGTAGCTTCTCAAGGGAGCAGGTGGATGCCCTGGGGCTGAGAAGCATCTCCTGGGCTACTCTTCCTTTGAAAAGCTTACCCCTTGAGATATTAAGATTGTCTTCACTCAACCCAGCTTTCATTTCTTGGAGAAACATTGCTGGTCAGCCAATCAGATGCTGGTACTGGGAGGAAAACACCAAAATTATTTCTGTCCCCAGGATTCTCTAAGATTTGTGGAAAAAAAAAAAGTATTCCAAAAGATACAACAAAACCTGACCTGGAGATCGAGACCATCCTGGCCAATATGGTGAAAGCCGGTTTCTACTAAAATACAAAAAATTAGCCAGGCATGGTGGTGCATGCCTGTAATCCCAGCTACTCGGGAGGCTGAGGCAGGGGAATCGCTTGAACCCGGGAGAGGGAGATTGCAGTGAGCCAAGATCATGCCACTGCACTCCAGCCTCGAGACTCCGTCTCAAACAAACAAACAAAAACAACCTGATCCCAGTGAGATGGTACAAGAACTTGCAAAGTAAAATACACCTGGGGTATAGTGTCTTCTGAGAGGGTGGTTATTGAGTCTCCCTCTATTGCCCAGGCTGGAGTGCAGTGGCGTGGTCTCGGCTCACTGCAACCTCTGCCTTCTGGGTTCAAGAGATTCTGCTGCCTCAGCCTCCCGAGTAGCTGGAATTACAGGCACGCACAACCACACCCGACTAGTGTTTTGTATTTTAGTAGAGACTGGGTTTCACTCTGTTGCCCAGGCTGGTCTCAAACTCCTGAGCTCAGGCAGTCCACCTGCCTTGGCCTCCCAAAGTGCTAGGATTACAGGCGTGAGGCACCACGCCTGCTGACAAATCTGTTTTCTGATCAGCACTGCTACTTCCTGGGTTTGTCACCTTGAAAATATTTTTTTTTACTTATTTTGACTTTCATTTTATTAGGGCTTGAAAGGTAAGACATATTTACAAAGGGCATAAAAGAGGTGAGTTTCAGGAAAAAATTAATATCTAATCACATATTCCATTTGCTAAAAATTCTTTTACCTTTTTTGTTTTTCCCAGAATGAGTTTAGGAATTTTCTCACTTGTTTTTGTTGTTTCTTGAGACAGACTCTTGCTCTGTCACCCAGGCTGGAGTGCAGTGGTGTGATCTCAGCTCACTGTGACCTCTGCCTCCCAGGTTCAAGCGATTCTGCTGCCTTAGCCTCCTGAGTAGCTGACATTACAGGTGCGTGCCACCATGCCTGGGTAATTTTTGTATTTTTGGTAGAGACAAGATTTCACCATGTTGGTCAGGCTGGTCTTGAACTCCTGACCTCGTGATCTGCCCACCTTGGCTTCCCAAAATGCTGGGATTACAGGCGTGAGCCACCGCGCCTAGCCCACTTGTGTTTTTTATGGCTGGGTAATTACAAACATAATTCTAAGGCTTAGCTTTTAGAATGCTACCAAGGAAAAGAATAGAGATAATCTCTCTTCCATTTTGGCTGTAGAAAATGAATACATTTCCACAAGAAAATATGGTAGATAATTGGTGAGTTACATAGATTCACTTTGCAGAGTAAATTTGTTACAGCGAATATGTCTGTTCTATACCATGTTATCTTGATGTCTGAGTTTCACGCTAAATTTTACGAGATTAAACTTGGTACCTACTAAAAGTGTTCCCATATGACTACGTGATTTTTAATGGAAATAATAAAATAATAAATCTGTTGTCTGAAGGTAATAGATACTTTTGCTTTTCTTATTGAGGTGTGAAATGTAAGCACCTTAAAATTTCCTTCCCTCGTATTTATACTGTGTTTGAGTAATTTTGCTGGATTTTTCAAACACTTAGTTTCAAAAACCAAGAGAATGACTCTAACATGGAAATTAAAGCTTCAGCCCAATGACTCCAAGCTATGGCTATTATTGAGCCTGCAAAAGGAGGTTATTAAAGGCCCAGTTAGGTTCTTTTTGGGGAGCCTCCCCTGAAGATGTCCCAGCCTGCTCACCCCAGCCATAGAAGAAGTCTTTATACTGAGAGAAGCTACAGAGCCCTGGAAAGCTGGGGACCCACAGGCAGATGGAGTTAACATTAAGATGGAAGGGGATTGGGAGGGTCTTACTGAAGATAAAGCTGTCATTGTTTTGAGGCAGTTTCTAGAGGCAGTTTGTTTTGAGGCAGTTACTTTTTATTTGTTTATTTATTTTTTTTGAGATGGAGTCTTGCTTTGTCGCCAGGCTGGAGTGCACTGGCGCGATCTAGACTCACTGCAACGGCGCGATCTAGACTCACTGCAACCTCCGCCTCCCGGGTTCAAGTGATTCTCCTGCCTCAGCCTCCTGAGTAGCTGGGACTACAGGCTCGTGCCACCACACCCAGCTAATTTTTGTATTTTTAGTAGAGACGGGGTTTCACCATGTTGGTCAGGATGGTGTCCATCTCTTGACCTCATGATCCACCCACCTCGGCCTCCCAAAGTGTTGGGATTACAGGCGTGAGCCACTGCGCCCAGCCTGGCAGTTACTTTCTAAAATAAAACAAAGTTAGAATTATGTAAAAACATTTGAATTCCAAAGGAGTATTGCAACAGGAGGAAGTACCAACTACAAGATCTTTAAGGATTGCAAAGTTTAGGCAGACAAGGGCTTTCTTTCATAGGAGCAAACAAGATTAGAAAGAAGGTAGGCGGGGAACTGCAAATGGAGGGAATCAAACTTTAGGCCTGGCATGGTGGCTCATGCCTGTAATTCCAGCACTTTGGGAGACTGAGGTGGGCGGATCTACTAAAAGTACAAAAATCAGCTGGGTGTGGTGGCGGGCGACTGTAATCCCAGTTACTCAGGAGGCTGAGGCAGGAGAATCCCTTGAACCTGGGAGATGGAGGTTGCAGTGAACTGAGCGTTACTGCACTCCAGCCTGGGCAACAGAGCCAGACTCTGTCTCAAAAAAAAAAAAATCAGATTTTAGATGAGAGAATGTTTTACCTTGAAGTCAGTATATTCTTAGAAGGGACATAAAGTGAGGTTGTATGTTGGCTCAGACTGAAGGTAGCTCAAAGCGCAGGAGTTGGTGGGAAGGAGATAAGTAAAGTCTGATTAAGAAGTATTTTTGGCCGGGCGTGGTGGCTCACACCTGTAATCCCAGCACTTTGGGAGGCCGAGGTGGGCGGATCACGAGGTCAGAAGACCGAGACCATCCTGGCTAACATGGTGATACTCCATCTCTACTAAAAATACAAAAAAGTAGCTGGGCGTGGTGGCGGGCGCCTGTAGTCCCAGCTATTCGGGAGGCTGAGGCAGGAGAATGGTGTGAACCCGGGAGGCAGAGCTTGCGGTGAGCCGAGATCGTGCCACTGCACTCCAGCCTGGGCGACAGAGCAAGACTCCGTCTCAAAAAAAAAAAAAAGTATTTTTCTTTTGACCACTGAAGCCAAATTCAGCTGATTTTTTAAATGAGAAAAATAAAATGTGCAGTCTTTATCTGACTATGTGATAGGTAAGAAAAGAGAGCACCATCTAAGTCATAATGGTAAGAGTGGTTCTTTCCATAAACTGTTCCTGGAGAACAGAAAGGATGGAGAATTTTGTTAATCACAGCTATTTACCAGGATTATCTATGTGCTTCATTTTTCCCTGCTTCTTTTTTTTGTCCTATACATTTTTTCCATTTGACTTTTCCCGGGTTGTATCATTTATAATAAACTGGTCAACATAACTACAGTGTTTTGCTGAGTTCTGTGAGCAGCTCTATCAAATTATTGAACTGGAGGGAGGTTATGGGAGTCCCCAGTTTTTAAGCAGTAGCTAAGAAGAATAGATGGACCAATGAGGTTTTTGACTGACATCGGCAGTGAAGACAGTGTTGTGGGACTGAATCCTGAATCAGGGTCCGTGCAGACTCTGGATGGTGTCAGAATTCAAATGTTAGAAAATGAATTGGTGTTGGAGAATTGCTTGGTGTTCACCAATCTACAGATCTGGGGACAGAAGAAAGATATCACGGAGGCCTGGCCTGGAATGGAACTCTGGGTGTCTGGGAATGGGAGACTCTGCTCTCCTGTACACAGGCTGTCACACTGCCCGTTGTCCTAGGATTCCAGGTCTCCTGCCATGGTGAGAGAGGACTGAAAACTTAGAGGAAAGAAGCTCTGATAACAGACATCCTTTCCCCACAGCTGCCACCACATGATTCCCACCCACTTACAAACATACTCACTAGACATTGATGTGCACACACTCCTCCCAGGACTAGGCACCACCCTCAGGAATTTCACCGCAGCATTTTTGAACCTGTTTCTTGCTCACAAAATTGTCTACAAGTCTCCTGGCATATCCCCACCTCCACACTGAATCTACAGCATCAGCCTGCTTTCTCCACCAACCTAGGGTTCTGCACCACCTGTTCATAATCTCATCTGCCTGCATGGACACAAATAAATGAGAGGACAGCCCCACGCCACTATCTGTAGCACAAACCAGTCTTTCCATCTACAGTGCACTCTCCCCCACCCATGGATCTTTTCTGTTTTGTTTTTGGTTCGGGAGTACACATGCAGGATTGTTCTATAGGTAAAATTGTGTTGTGGGTGTTTGGTGTAGACTATTTTGTCTCTGAGGTACTAAGCATAGAACCAAATGGGTATTTTTTTCCTGATCCTCTTTGTCCTGCCACCCTCTACCCTCAACTAGGCCTCAGTGTCTGTTTTTCCTCTTATTGTCTCCATGTGTTGTTGTTATTTAGCTCTTATAAATGATAGCATGCATTTGGTTTTCTGTTTCTGCATTAGTTTTCTAAGGATAATGGTCTCCAGCTCCATCCATGTTGCTGCAAAGAAAATGATCTTGTTCTTGTTTTATGGCCACACAATATTCCACTATTTTTATGTACCATATTTTGTTTTTATTAAATCTTTATTTTATTTATTTCTGAAGACAGGGTCTCACTCTGTCGCCCAGGCTGGAGTGCAGTGGTGTGATCTTGGCTCACTGCAGCCTCAATCTCAATCTCCTGGGCTCAAGCAATCCTCCTACCTAAGCCCCCCAAGTAGCTGGGACTACAGCGTGCACGACCACGCCTGGCTAATTTTTCTTTTTGTATTTTTTGTACAGACAGAGTTTTGCCATGTTTCCCAGGCTGGTCGCCAACTCCTGAGCTCACGCAATCCACCTGCCTCACCCTGCCAAAGTGCTGGGATTACAGGCGTGAACCACTATGCTCAACCACAATGTATTTTCTTTATCTAGCCTACCATTGAGGGTATTTAGGTTAATTCCATGTCTTTGGTACTGTCACTAGTGCTGCAATGAAGATGCATGTGCATGGGTCTTTATGATAGAATAATTTGTATTCTTTGGGTATATACCTAATTAGGAGGTGGGTCAAATGGTAATTCTGTTTTTAGTTTTGTGAGGAATTGTCACACTGCTTTTCACAATGGTTGAACTAATTTACACTCCCACCAGCAGAGTATAAGCATTCTCTTTACCCTGCAACTTTGCCAGCACATCTATTATTTTTTTGACTTTTTTGGTAATTGCCATTCTTACTGGTGTGAGATGGTATCTCATTGTGGTGTTTTTTTTGTTTGTTTGTTTGCATCTCTCTAATGATTAGTGATGAGCACTTTTTTAATATGCTTGTTAGCCACATGTATGCTTTCTCTTTTTTTTCTTTTCTTTTTGGAGATGGAGTCTCGCTCTGTTATCCAGGCTGGAGTGCAGTGGCACGATCTCGGCTCACTGCAACCTCCATCTCCTGGGTTCAAGCAATTCTCCCTCAGCCTCCCAAGTAGCTGGGATTACAGGCACGCCCCACCATGCCTGACTAATTTTTGTATTTTTTTTAGTAGAGACGGGGGTTTCACCATATTGGCCAGGCTGGTCTCGAACTCTTGACCTTGTGATCCACCCACCTTGGCCTCCCAGAGTGCTAGGATTACAGGTGTGAGGCACCACACCCACCTGCTTTCTCTTGAAAAGCGTGTGTTTATGTCCTTTGCCTACTTTTTAATAAGGTTTTTTTTTTCTTGTAAACTTGCTTAAGTTCCTTATGGATTCTGGATATTAGACCTTTGTCAGAAGCATAGTTTGCAAATATTTTTCTTTATTCTCTAGGTTGTCTGTTTACTCTGTTGATAGTTTCTTGTGGGTTTTGTTTTTGTTTTCTGTGAAGATGCTCTTTAGTTTAATTTGGTCCCATTTATCGATTTTTGCTTTTGTGGCGATTGCTTTTGGTATCTTCATCATAATATCGTTGGCAGTTTCTATGTCTGGAATTGTATTTCCTAGGTTATCTTCCAGGGCATTTTATAATTTTAAGTTTTACATTTAAGTCCTTAATTTATCTTGTGTTTATTTTTGGATATAGTGTAAGCAGGGAGTCCAGTTTTAATCTTTTACATAGTGCTAGCTATTTATTACAACACCATTTATTAAACAGGGAATCTCTCCTACATTTCTCTTGTCAGCTTTGTCAAAAATACGATGATTGTAGGTGTGCCACATTATTTCTGGGCTCTCTATTCTGTTGCATTGGTCTCTGAGCCTGTTTTTGTACTGGTATCATGTTGCTGTGGTAGTGCTCAGAGTAGAGAGCTATTGCTTTAAAATGCAAATAGCCAAAAAGAGAGCACTATATTCAACCATTTCTATAGGAGAGTGAGAGCCTACCTTCAGCAGGCACCTGGCTTCAAATTGCAAAACTACCTCCTGTCACGAAGATGTGAAAAGTTTATTTTGTCATTGAATATAGCCAATTAGCTTACACGGATGGCCTCCCCAGTTGCCAGGTGAATTTAGGATGAACTATGTATAACATGGTACTGTAAATTCTTCTACTTATGGACTAATTATTGTGACCGTCTTTCTGTCTTTGCAGTCTCTTAAGCAGATTGTGATGCGTGTCACATTCTGGTGTAATTGTGTAATAAAACAGTTTTCTTTCTGTTTTATCATTGTGGAGTTACTCTGGGGCTGGAGAAAACTTTCCTTTTAATTATATTTTCCAAACACTGTTTAAACTTACCACACATGATATAAACATATAAGGTGCCAACCAAGCTTTAATCTAGATGGGCCTTTTTGTCTCAGGCTTCCAGTCAACTCATGATTGTGCTGCAAAATGCATGCTGTCCCCTGAATATGCAGGCAGAATCGTGCCTCTGCCTATTTGGTATCTAGTCCTGTATAATCACATCTAGAGAGGCTAGACCAAATTTCTAAATACTTCACAGAACAGCAATTAACCATTTTACCTCTTTCAATGACTCTTGTATCTTTAGACCTGAAACTGATTCAGAGACTGTGGGGCCCGTTAGAGTAACATGCATGCATTGAGTAGACATGTAGGCATGAGAATCTCCACTTTCCCCTTCCTTCTCTTTTTAAAATGCCCACAAATGTGCAGGTAACACTTACTGCTATTCTACCCATCCAGGACCTAAACTAGCGGCTCCACATTCTGAATCTGGGTCTTGCAGTAAACCTTTTATCTGAGAAATGCAAATCCTTTTAGTTATAAGGCTCAAAGAGACATTAAAACGAGACCACAATTGTGTCTTTCTCTCTCCTTTGAGCTATGTATTTATCTCTTGAAACTGCTTGCTATTGCCACGAGTAGCTATAAATTAAACTAATAATGCTACGCTGAACACTATAACCCACACCCTATACAGCTTAGAAATGTATGTCAATCAGTAATCAAGGTTGTTTTTAGTAAATAAGTAAGATTTCCTGACAATTTTGTATCAGCCCACTCTCTATCTCTTTTTGCCTTTAAAAATCCACTTGTAACTGCTGCTAGATTCCAGGCAACTTGAATCTTTGCTCCCAGTTTACAATCTTCAAGCTTGGCCCAAGTGAACTGTCTACTTACATTTGTGGTTCCTCAGCTTTTTCCTATGAAGGAGGAAATTAAGGACATATTATTTAGAATGTGCCAGAGCAGCCTTTATGAGGGGATCTCTCCTTTGGTTGTACTTTTGCTGTAACACCCAAGAATGCAGAGCCAGGTTGACCCCATCTAGAATCTTCACATGTCTGGCCTGGGATTTGCAAGACAGGAGCAGACTTTGGATTGAAAATGTACAGAAAACCAAGAGGAGGCATTCTCTGCATTGTGAGATGTCAACATAGACATCTTAAAGCTACCTCCTTTGAGAGTGTGGCTATTTGAGCTTTTCAGATCTTGTTCAGTGACCTGTTACTGTTACGTGAGAGGTGCCAGGTATAAATAGAATCTGATGGCAGAATCTGTAAATGTAAACAAAGCATCTTAGGAGTGAGAGATCAAGGCCACAAAGTATCCAGAGCCATGACTACAACTATACCTACCTGTAAAAAATGTGATACTGGAGTAGAGTATTCTTGTCCTTTCTCTTACCCAAAGACTACCTGATCAGGACAGGTAATCCAGGTTCTGGAGCTCCACCAGGGCAGTTCTGTTTTCTATTTAGAATCAGCCTAAGTCTCTACTGCCTGGCTTACTACTGGGCCATCAGCCCAGGATCACTGAGAACCCTCTCACAATCACCTAGGCATCTTTGAAACATTTGAGGATGTCCAGAGTAAAACTGTGTTAGGCTGACAAGAGTGGTTCATTCTGCTTTTGTCTCAGTGTAAGAGAAATGAGTCACGCCAAAAAATGGGGGCTTCATTTGGGCCGCTTCTTTATATTGTTGTGACTTCTGAGGTCATCATTTGAATGGATGTTTATGGACAGAAGAGTTGTTATTATTATTTCTGTTTCTTTTACCTTGTTAAGAATACATATTTATCTTCTAATACAATTATGCTAGAAAGCCCTAAGAGATTTGTTTAAATTGCTTATTAGTATATGTTATAAAATTGACAGGGCAGTGGCTAAAAAAGATTAAAATTACACAAACTGTGGGATTTAAGTTTCTCTTAGGTAAGCTTAGGAAAAACAGAACGGAAATACCCCAGTGGCATAGAGAGCAGAATTCTACATAGTGTCCTCTCCCTGCCCCATTTCTGTTCAGATTCACCCTTTTTGGAGGCCTTATTGAAGTCTGGCTTCACCTTGGAGTCTAGCCTTACAGAACTGATTGAAAGAGAAGTGTTTTGGGTGATGAATTCGGCTGCCTTTCTAGAGCTGTTGCTCAGGATTTCTTGAAATCTAAAAGCAGATAAATGGGAAAAATAAAATAATATTTTAGGGCCTTAATTTCTTAATTTTGTATTAAAATCAGTGCATGCAGAAACATGCCATTTAGCAACTTATTCCTTATTCTATTCCTGAAGACCCAGTAGTTGCTCCACAAGCCACAAACAAGTAAATATAAACACAATAAAAATTCCTCCAAACTACGTTAAACTCTTTTCTTTATTCCTCTCATCTGTCTATATGTAGCTTTTATTCTGTACATTTTTCACAAAAAAAATGACAAATATAAATGCTGGGCCCTTTTTCTAAATTCTGGCAATTATTAAACAAAACCAACTCCCAGGGTGTTACGAGGATTAAATCACGTAATGTTTTATTCCTAGCAGTACTCTGTAACATACTCTTGAGGACATAGTACCTGTTTAATAAACATTGCATTAGTGCATGTGTAAATGTTGTTTTCCAAATGCAGACTTATTTGGACATTGCTGGCCTCTGTTTCCTCTGTAAACTTTAAAGAGCCAACAAAGAATATACTTTAGGATGAAGATTGGTTGTCTTTATTTGTACCAGAAGTATTTGTATTTTGACAAGAGTGCTGAGTGTAAGGGATTCTGTGATGTGCCTGCTTTGTCTAACTAGTGCTAATAATGAGCGCAGGGGGAGCAACATCAGCATCTATAGAGGACTTGTTTAAAATACCCTTTCATGGACCATTTTCAAACCTGCAGAATCACATTACATAGAGTGGGGCCAAAATCACCAAGTGATTTATAAGCTTATCAGTGCTTGAGAGATAATAATTAGCTAAGCGTTTATCAGCCCAGGCTTCTGATTAAGATTACATAGCCAGTTTGCAGAAATCTCTATTTGTGCCCTCCCCACAGGTTCTGTTCTATTGTTCTGGAAACATCCATATTGCTTTAAGGGCCTCATGTGACTCTAAGGTGAGGCCAGAATCAAGTATGAGGGATTCAAGATACATTCGTGAGTGTTAAGTTCTATCTTCGCACTAAAGGGTGGTCACAAGGCCTGTTTTCTTTGGGTTTGGTAGGGACAGGGCAGAGTGCCCCATATTTCCATTACTTTAGCAAAAATTGTTGGTGTCTGTGGTAGCAGAGGGCATCTGAGGACGGGAAAGGAGATATCATTATCTCCATAGAGCAGCTTATTTTTCCTGAATCTCTTCTGTTATAGAGGACAGAAATGGGTGGACTTTTTCTGCAGGTCTTGGACCTTCTGCCTGTGGGTGTGGTGGTAGCAGGTAAACAGGTGGTGCCGACACCTTTAAAGCCATATTCTTAAGATTCAGGTGTAATTTCTCCAGAGAATCATCTGAGAAAGAATCCCAGAGCAGGAAGAGAAAGAGGAAAAAATGGCTATTTTTCCGCTAAAAGTGTCTCAGATCAAGAGCTGTGTCCACTGTGCCTCCTGGAATGCCATGTGTTTAGTACTTATAAACCTTCTCTACTTGTGCTTTTCCTCCCTAATGAGTTTGTTTTAACTACTGTAAAAAATTTTCATTATAGTCAAGTATCTGAAAAATTTTTATTTATTTATTTTTGAGAAGGAATCTCACTCTGTCACCCAGGCTGGAGTGCAGCGGCATGATCTTGGCTCACTGCAACCTCTGCCTCCCGGGTTCAAGCAATTCTCCTGCCTCAGCCTCCTAACTAGCTGGGATTACAGGCGCGTGCCACCATGCCCGGCTAATTTTTGTATTTTTGGTAGAGACGGGGTTTCACCGTGTTGACCAGGCTGGTCTCGAACTCCTGACCTTGTGATCTGCCTGTCTTGGCCTCCCAAAAGTGCTGGGATTACAGGCATGAGCCACCGCACCCAGGCAAATATTTCTTCCTATATACTGGAGCCTTCTCTACATCATGGCTTCTTATATGCCATGTAGAATTCTCACCATGAATTTATGATCTTAAAAATGTTCCCTTTGTGACTATTGAATATGGGAGGATGAATATACTCAAGATTCCTATTGGGGAAAAGCTGGGGTCCTTAGTCAAGGAGAACATGTAATATTGAGGTTTCATCTGTCTTCTCCATTAGCTCTATGCAGAACAGGATTAAGAAAATGCTTTTTGAAACAGGATGGCATTTACTACCCAGAAAGTTCTGAAGAAAATTATTAGGAGATATATGTTGTCTAGGGTGCTAAAGAAAGACTATTTAAAATTACTATTAAAAATTGCAGAACATGGGAGATATCTGTATCTCAAACTTTGCATAAAATGGATGTTTCTTTATGGTTAAATTCAGGCTATAATTTACTTTTTGGGGAAGTAATATCCCAGCAGTGATGCTGTGTCCTTCTGTTCATCAGCACATTATAAAAATTTGTCCTAGTTCAGTTGATATTAATGATTCACTTGGTTAAAGAGCTCTCTGACAGATTTTTTCACTATAGAGTTAGTAATTTTTCTCTCGATTATTAAGTATCTGTTTTCTTTCTTCTTTTTTTTTTTTTTTTTGAGACGGAGTTTCACTCTCGTTCCCCAGGCTAGAGTGCAATGGCGCAATCTCGGCTCACTGCAACCTCCGCCTCCTGGGTTCAAGCAATTCTCCTGCCTCAGCCTCCTGAGTAGCTGGGATTACAGGCACGCGCCACCATGCCCGGCTAATTTTTTGTATTTTTAGTAGAAATGGGGTTTCACCATGTTAGCCAGGCTGGTCTCTGAACTCCTGACCTCAGGTGATCCGCCCACCGCAGCCTCCCAAACTGCTGGGATTATAGGTATAAGCCACTGGGCCCAGCCAGTTATTAAGTATCTTTATGCAGCTGATGTGCATAAACCATTACAGTTAATCTGGCAGCTGCCCTTCTTTATTAGGTTTTCTTTGCATATATCTGTCTTTGGAAAATGAAGGCTCTCGTCTTTGTTTATGGGTCAGAAAAACTGGGAAAACCCACACTCCTCCCCCTTACTGGATGCTTGACAAAATAATCTTCTTGGGCAAAAATCATTGGCATTATTGGTGATCTTCTTAGAAATTAAGAAACTCAGACTTTATTCCAGATGTTCTGAAAAAATATATGCATAACAAGATCTTCAGTTTATCATACACATTAAAATTTGAGAGGTCACTTCTAACTCCATGTCTTTTCCATCTGAAACATATACACTCAGAAATGTACGTTTGTGTTCATGCCCTTAATTTTATACTTTATCATCCAGAAAAGTATCATGTATACACTGGTGTTATGGATCTTATGTCATTCTCTTTTCTCAGAGTTAGAGAATACATTAGAAAATATTTCTGTATTGAAAATTATTTTATTGGATCATTTCAGTCACTCCTGTAAGTCAGAACTTGTTCTCTTTACTCTTTCATTTCACCTTAAGTCAAATAAAAAATTCTGCCCATGGCCACTTAGTAAACATATGTGTGTTTGTGTGTGTGTGTGTGTTTTTCAGGGACCACTGACATTTAGGGATGTGAAAATAGAATTCTCTCTAGAGGAATGGCAATGCCTGGACACTGCGCAGCGGAATTTATATAGAGATGTGATGTTAGAGAACTACAGAAACCTGGTCTTCCTTGGTGAGGATAACTTCAATACACAATACACAATGCTCTAAAAGTTTCATTTCTCCTCTTTGTAAAATGTTTTTTGGTAATTTATGCTTTGCATAAATGAGTTTCAGATCCCAGTTTTCAAGAAAACAGAGATTTGTCAGTATAGAAAAGAACTTCTTCAAGATGTTTCATTTTGACCTGAACTCTCCACATTCCTGAGCTGATCTATATCCTTCACTCTAAATTAGTGGTAATTCCAGAAATTTATTGGCATAAAATATTGTTGCTACCACCAATTTTTCATTTAGTAGTACTGGGCAGTATTAAATAAAATTAAAGATCTACAAATGTAGGCTGGGCGTGGTGGCTCATGCCTGTAATCCCAGCACTTTGGGAGGCTGAGGTGGGTGGATTACCTGAGGTCAGGAGTTCGAGAGCAGCCTGGCCAACATGGTGAAACCCTGTCTCTACTAAAAATAAAAAAATTAGCCAGGCGTGTTGGTGGGCGCCTGTAATCCAACTACTCAGGAGGCTGAGGCAGGAGAATCGCTTGAACCCGGGAGGCAGAGATTGCAGTGAGCTGAGATCGTGCCATTGCACTCCAGCCTGGGTGACAGAGTGAGGCTCTGTCTTTAAAAAAAAAAATCTACAAATTTAAAATATTTAGATATTTGTCATAAATTAGTATTTGGGGATTAATTTACTAGATTAATCTATTGCATCCTCTTTACTGAGCATATTACTATGTTGGTAATTGGAGAATATGAGCAAGATTTATGTTATTTATTTTTAATAAAACAGGTATTGCTGTCTCTAAGCCAGACCTGATCACCTGGCTGGAGCAAGGAAAAGAGCCCTGGAATCTGAAGAGACATGAGATGGTAGACAAAACCCCAGGTAGGTGACAGTTAATACAACAGACAACACAAATGAGAGGTCCAAAAGTCAAGGAGAAGGCCAGTCATTTTTTCTTAGTCGGAGTTTTGACCTTGTTGTCCAGGCTGGAGTGCAAGGGTGTGATCTTGGCTTACTGCAACCTCTGCCTCCCAGGTTCAAGCGATTCTCCTGCTTCAGCCTCCCGAGTAGCTGGGATTACAGGCACCCACCACCATGCCTGGCTAATTTTGTATTTTTAGTAGAGACGGGGTGTCTCCATGTTGGTCAGGCTAGTCTCGAACTCTCGACTTCAGGTGATCCGCCCGCCTCAGCCTTCCAAAAGTGCTGGGATTACAGGCGTGAGCCACTGCGCCTGGCCTCAGTCTTTAAAATGTAATTTGGGAAGCTGTTTCCAAAAAAAATAGTTTCTGGGAAGCCTGAAACTTTTATTTTGCTCTCACATAGGGGCATCTTCTGTCTAATGCTTTTAAATTTTCTAAGGTGATCTTCTTCAAGTTTACAGTGAGAGCCAAAGTCCTTTTCATGGGAGGAAGAGACTGCACAATCTGACTACTTTTCCATTGCTTTTGAGGACACACAAATAGCTGCATAATTTTGAGAAACTCTGTTAAACTACTTTTCTTTTTGTTTTTTTGAGACAGAGTCTCGCTCTGTCGCCAGGCTGGAGTGCAGTGGCGCGAGCTTGGCTCACAGCAACCTCTGCCTCCTGGGTTCGAGCAATTCTCCTGCCTCAGCCTCCCGAGTAGCTGGGACTATAGGCATGCACCACCACGTCCAGCTAATTTTTGTATTTTTAGTAGAGATGGGGTTTCTCCACGTTGGCCAGGATGGTCTTGATCTCTTGACCTTGTGATCCGCCCGCCTCGGCCTCCCAAAGTGCTGGGATTACAGGTGTGAGCTACTGTGCCTAGCCCAGAAATTTATTATTAATATTACTATTATTTTTCTGAGACGGAGTCTTACTCTGCTGCCCAGGCTGGAGATCAGTGGTGCAATCTCGGCTCACTGCAAGCTCCGCCTCCCGAGTTCACACCATTCTCCTGCCTCAGCCTGCCAAGTAGCTGGGACTACAGGTGCGAACCACCATCCCTGGCTAATTTTTTGTATTTTTAGTAGAGATGGGGTTTCACCATGTTAGCCAGGATGGAGAAATGTATTATTTTAATGGTATTACAAATAAGATTGTTTTTTTCCTCTTTTATATCATGTAGCTTATTTTAAGTGTATGGAACCATAACTTGTATGTTAATTTCATATTGTGCTGATTTATTATTAGTTTAGACATGTTTAAATGTTTATGATTTTCTCTATATAAGATTATGTGATCTACAAACAGCAACTTTTTACCTATCTGTCTTCAATGTCAATGGCTTTTTAAATTTTTTAAATTCTTTTGCCACATAATTCCAGTGCTATGTTAAAATGGAAGCATTGACATTGGCACAATATAGTTTTGCATTGGTGTCTGTAAATTTGAAGGAGCAAACAGCTCTTCAGGTTTTTATAAACTGGTTTTAGAAGGTAAAGATCTTTTGTTGGGTTCCCACGGTGATGGGATGCCCTCTGGGTTTGTAGTGGAGAGGGGTGTAGCTTGGTCACAAGGCTGCTGGGTCTACACTAGGGTCCACCTTTACTGGCTTATTACAAGGGGCTTGGGTATTTGTAATTTCCATTTTATTTTTAGACAGACTGAATATCCTCCAGGACTTTGCTCTGTCGGGCAGACACTAGGGCAGGTTTCTGTAGTCGGGTCTGCATATAATGGACCTTGTATCAGGATGTGGATGAGTGTGGCTTTCACTGAGTACCAGAGAGGATTTCCCCAGGCCACTGTGTAGGTTTCTGTGTAGATATAACTGGCCATAAACTGTGGCTCAGAGAGTTGGAACTGAGTCATTAAACTGCTTCAGAGACCACAGTAAAGGCCAAGGTCTGCAAGCCGGCCTGCCTGCATGGCTATAAATGGTTGTCTTCCTCCAGGCCGCTGGAAGGGCAGGACCTTTTCCAGACTGTGGCTGGGAGAAGTTTGGGATGGTTGCAGAGTAAGTTCAGAATTCTCAGTGGGACCAAGTTTGGTGGGCCATTTTCTGGTCTGTAGCCAAGAACAGGAGTCCTTTAGTTTGCCGCCTGAATGAGGGCCTGCCTTCTAAAAACAACACTCCTCAATCTTGGGTTTAGCATTTCACAACTCCCTCCCTGGATCTCAAAGCTCTCTTAAAGGCGCTTATTTTTGAGATGGGGTCTTGCTTCATAACCCATTCTGGTCTTGAAATCCTGGCCTGAAGCAATCTCCAACCTCAATGTATGATAAAGCTTTCATTACAGGTGTGAGCCATGATGCCTGGCTCTCTCAAAAGGCCTTTTTATGAGGGATGGCTGACAAATTTTCTTGCTGTTGGAGGATAACAAAATAAGGCAACTTTTATTGTCCTATCTTCCTGATGTCACTCTTCCTATACATTTTTACTTTCTATTTTCTATTTCAAATTTGTCTGTAACTTTAGAATCAGACCTTTGGGACAATATGCTAGAATTTACATGTTATGCCTGAAGTAAATTAGATAATTTACTCCATAATTACTAAAATAGTTACTTATAAATTTAAGTTTGCGGCAGGCAAAAAGGAATAGTATTTTCACCCACTTTTTAGCCTATATCTAAGTAATAACATAATGTATCCCCCAAATATTTGTTTTATCTATCAGAGGCACTAACCATATTCAGCAAAATAAAAATTTTTTCTTTATTTGGCAACGTAAGGCTATTCTTTGCTTCTATAGTTGGATTGCAGCAGTTTCATCTAGTGTAAGAATAGCATATATTTAAAACATAAAAATTATCTCAATTTTTAAAAATGCTTACTTATTAAGTTTTTTATTAGAATCTTCTATGTATGGTTATACTGCATTTTCTCTGAAATTTTACTGCCATACAGTGCATGCCAGTGATTCAAATACTTGCCTTCCATGAGTACACAGTTACACTCAAATATTGCAGTTATCTAGACAAATTCTTTTTAATGGTACATCAATATTGCAAACCAGGTTTTATGAGTAAACATTTCTTTTAATGTTTTACAGTTCCATATTAGTGTTTTTTGTTTAGTGTAGGTTTCTTATCAGTTTTTGTTTCTTGTTTTTACGGTTTTAGCAATTTGCACTTCTGTTTGTACACTTTAAGTGAATGTTGGGTTTAACTGGGAAATAAGTCAGCCATATGTCCATCATAGTCTGATTATATATGTGTGTGTTTTTATCTATTAATATGACTTTAATTTTGGTTATGGCATATCTTGTGTATATTCTTTCTTAGCTGATTTTCAATGGTTGTTTTGTCTAAGTGAGTAGTCATGGAAATAGTCTTTCTACCATGTGTTTAATGATAAATATTGTATAATTTCCTTTGGGTAAGAGAAACATTTTTGTAATTTGAAGGTAATTTTTGGAAATATTTGTAATTCTATTTTTTTTTTTTTTAGTTTTTCTTTTAAAAAATAATTGTTGTAAAAACACATAACCTAAAATTTACCATCTTAAATCTATTTAAGTTTACATTTCATTGCCAGGCATGGTGGTGGCTCACATCTGTAATCCTCAGATTTTGGGAGGCCAAGACAGGAGCATCACTTGAGCCCACATTTTTTTTTTTTTTTGAGATGGAGTTTTGCTTTTGTTGCCCAGGCTGGAGTACAATGGTGTCATCTCAGCTCACCGTAACCTCCGCCTCCTGAGTTCAAGTGATTCTCCTGCCTCAGCCTCCTGAGTAGATGGGATTACAGGCATGTGCTACCATGCCTGGCTAATTTTGTATTTTTAGTAGAGACAGGGTTTCTCCATGTTGGTCAGGCTGTTCTCCACCTCCCGACCTCAGGTGATCCACCCACCTCAGCCTCCCAAAAGTGCTGGGATTACAGGAGTGAGCCACCGTGCCCGGCCAGAGCCCAAATGTTTGAGGCCAGCTTGGACAGCATGTGGAGACCCTCTCTCTACAACTTTTCAAAAAAATAGCCTGACATGGTGGTTGTCACCTGTGGTCCCAGCTACTTGGGAGATTGAGGGGAGAGGATTACTTAAGCCTGGAAGTTTGAGGCTGCAGTGAGCCTTAATTGTGCCACTGCACTGCAGCTTGGGTGACAAGTGGGACCCTGTCTCCAAAAAGCTGTACATTTCAGGCATGTTGACTATATTCACATCATTATGCAAAAGACTTCTTGAAATTTTACATCTTGTAAAACTAAAACTCAGTACCCGTTAAGCAATAACTGCCCATTTTACCTTCTCTCCAGCCCTTGACAAACACCCTTCCACTTACTATTTTTATGAGTGTGACTGTTTAAGATATCTCATATAAGTGGGATCACACAGTATCCATCATTTTGTTACTGGCTTATGTCAGGTGACAAAATATTCTCAAAGTTTATCTTAAAATGTGACAATTTTCTTTTTTAAGGCTGAAAAATATTCCACTGTATTTGTATGTTATATTTTTTGATGTGTTTATAAATCAAGAAGACAGTTGGGTTGCTTCAGCCTTTTGGCTTTTGTGAATACTGGTACAATAAACATAGATGTTCAAATATATTTTTAAGATCCTATGTTGCATAGTTTGGATATAGATTCATAAATGGGATACAGTAATAACAATTCCATCTTTAATTATTTGAGAAACATGTATATAATATTTTAAAATAATGGCTACATCCTTGTTTTTCACCAAAAAATAACATGGGTTTTATTTTCATTGCATCAACAGATTTGGTGCCTTTTAAAAAATGTATAGTGGCTATTCTAACTGGTATGAGGTGATTTTGTTTTTCATTGTGCTTTTTATGCATTTCTCTATAAGTTAGTAATTTTGTCTGTCCTTTCAAATGCTTTTTCCCATGTATATATATCTCTTGATAAAGATTCAATTATTTAAAATTCAATATTATTGAACTTTATATGATACTTTATATGATAAACTTTATATGATAAAGTTCAATTATTTCTTCATTTCTGTTCTTCATATCTTCATTTCTCATCAAGTTATTCAACTTTATTGTTCAGTTTGAAGAGTTGTTTATATATTCTGAATATTAGCTCCTATCACATGTGATTTGCAAACATTTTCACTTATTTCCTAGGGGACGTTGTCACTCTCTTGAATGTTTTCTTTGATGTGTAAAAATTTTGAAGTATAGCGTAATTCAGTTTTTCTGTTCTTTTCTTTGTTGCTCATGCATTAATATCATAAGTGGTGCCAAGACCAATGTAATGTCTTTCCTCTATATTGTTCCTAAGAGATTTGTTAGTTTTTTTTATGTCTAAGTATTTTATTTAAAATATTTTTTGTATATGGTTCAAGGAAAGGATCAAACTTTATAAGTGTTAATGTCCAGTTTCACCATTATTTTTTGAAGAGACTATCTTTCCTCTATTGTGTGCTCATGGCAACTTTGGAAGATCATTTGATCATATATAGAAGGGTTCATTTCTAGGCTCTCTATTCTGTTCTTTCATCTCTTTATCTGTCTTTGTGTCAGTACCACATTGTTTTTGTTATTGTAGATTTTAATATGTTGTGAAATCAGGAAGTATAATGGCTGTTTGTTCTTTTTCATGGGTGTTTGGATAGTTATAGATTTTAATCAAATTTTAAAAATTTAGACAATATTTCTGTTAAAAACTGTGCTATAGTATTTTTATAGAGATTATGTTGAATTTCTTTACCACTGTAGGTTGTATTGACATCTTAACAAAATGAAGTTTTTTTGTTTGTTTTTTGAGACGTTGTTTCGCTCTTGTTGCCCAGGCCAGAATGCAATGGCTGGTGCGATCTGGGCTCACTGCAACCTCTGCCTCCCAGGTTCAAGCGATTCTCGTGCCTCAGCCTCCCAATTACAGGTGCCTGACTCCACGCCCAGCTAATTTTTTTGTATTTTTAGTAGAGACGGGGTTTCACCATGTTGGCCAGACTGGTCTCAAACTCCTGACCTCAGGTGATCCACCCGCCTTGGCCTCCCAAAATGCTGGGATTGCAGGCATGAGCCACTGTGCCTGGCCCAAAATGAAGTTTTTTGACCCTTGAGCAAAAATATGTTGAAGAATGTGTTTTATTTTCACATTTCTTTTAATTCCTAGTTTCTTTCAGTTTTGGTCAGAAAACATACCATTTATTATTTTGGTCTTAAGTTTATTTATTGTTGTTTCTGAGACAGGCTGGAGTGCAGTGGCATAATTTTGTCTCACTGCAGCCTCAGTCTCCTGTGCTCAAGTGATCCTTTTCCTCAGCCTCCTGAACAGCTGGGACTACAGACATGCACTACCATGCCTGGCTAATATTTTGATCATTTGTAGGGACAGATTCTCACTGTGTTGCCCAGGCTGGCCTCAAACTTCTGGCTTTAAGTCATCCTCCCACCTTGAAATCCCAGAGTGTTGGGTTATAGGCATGAGCCCCTGCACCCAGCTGGTATTCTTATATTAATAAGACTTGGTATGTGTCCTAACAGAATACACCAGCTGCAAATAAGAATATTGTGTATTCCCTTGCTTTTGACTAGAAAGTTTTGTACATGTCTGTTAAGCCTAGTTGGTCTATGATATTGTTTGGATGTTCATGTTCTTCAAACCTCATGCTGCGATGTAATCCTCAATGTTTGATGTGGGACCTGGAGGAAGGTGCTTGGGTCATGGGGGCAAATTCCTTATGAATGGCTTGGCACTATCCTCTTGGTAATCAAAAAGTTTACACTCCATCAATTCAAGTGAGAGCTAGTTTATTAAAAGAGTAGACAGTTATGGTAGTTATAGATTCCTGGTAAATTGACCCGTTTTACAATTATATAATATCAGTCTTTATCTCATGCTGGTACTTGACTTAAAGCATATATGTCTGATATAATTATGACTGCCTCACCCAATTGTGGTTGCAATTTGTATAGATATAGATCTTTTTCATTCTGTTACTTTCAGCCTATTTGACTTAGTGCCAAAATGGATCTCTTTTAGGCAGTATATTGTATGCTTTCTTATTTATTTATTTTTGAGATAGGGTCTCACTCTGTCAACCAGGCTGGTTTGCAGTGGTGTGATCATGGCAATGAGCTGCAGCCTCAACCTCCCAAACTCAGATGATCTTCTCATTTCAGCCTGTCAAGTAGCTGGTTACAGGCATGTGCCATCATACCCAGCTAGTTTTTTGTATTTTCTGTAAAGACGGTTTTGCCATGTTGCTGAGGCTGGTCTCAAACTCCTGCAGTCAAGTGATCAGCTCACCTTGACCTCCCAAAGTCCTGGGATTACATTTCTTTTTATTAACTAGTTTATATTTAAAATGATTTTTTAAAGAAATGATGTTACTATTACCAGTTTCATTGTTATTGTTTCTTGTGTTTTTTAGATATGTTTTTTCTCATTTCCTGTTTTACTCCTTGAATTTTTGTTTAATCTCATAGTGACCTGCTTTATTTTTTGTTTTGCATAGTTTCTATAAATATTATCTTTGTAATCATCTTGAAAAATGAAGATTATATAAAACATCTTAAAGTTAAAACATTTTCTAGTTTGTTACTAATACTACAAATTATATTGTGTTTCTATTAACAGATTTATTCAGATTTATATTTTGTTTCTCATATTCTATAGGAGAACTTTAAGGGTTTGATGCTCCATCATTATGATAGTAAAGAATTCTGTGTGTGTCTATATTTACATTTAATAGAGAGCTTTATATTTATATATGGTTTTATGATGCTGTGCAGCATTATTTTATTTTTCAACATAATGGAGTCATTTTAGCATTTCTCTTTTTGTATATGCAATGTCTCACTATGTTGCTCAGGCTGATCTTGAACTCCTGGTCTCAAGTGATTGATTGCCTTGGCCTCCTAAAGCTGTAGGATTACAGGCATGAGCCATGGTGCCTGCTCACCATGTAGCATTTCCTGTAGGACTGTGCAAGGGATAATAAACACCCTTACCTTTTATTTTGGAAAATCTATTTTTTTCTTGTTTTTAAAGTAAAACAATTTCTAACCAAGTTATTGGTTAGGAATATTTTTTCTCTTATTACGTCAAAATTTGAAAGTTCTCAGCCTTTTTTATCTTCAAGTATCCTCTGTACTACTTTTTTTTTTCTATATTCTTCTAAGATTTCTCCCATGAATATATTGATTTAATTGATGGTGGCCAGTAAGTTTTACCTTCTGTGTTATAATTTTGTTTTGGACTTTGACTACATCACACAGTTTCTTTATGGCCTGCAAAATTTTTGTTGACAGTTCACTGGTTATCTCGTAAGAGTATGCACATAAATGATGCATTACTTTTATCTTGCAGCTCCCAAGACTCTCTTCTTGTCTGTAACTTCTGAAATTGTGCTTATATATGTGTTTGTTATAAGTATCTTTTTGTGTATCCTAGTTTGTCTAGCTTCTTCATGTTTTATTTTTCAGTTTCTTTTTGTATTTTTTACCTCCACAATTTCTGAGGGGGTGTCGATATTTTGAATATTTTTGTTATCCTCATTTATCTGATTTTCAGAAATCGTCTGTGTTTCTGTTTCACTCATTGAATATTATTCAGTTTATTTTCAATTTCTTTATAACTTTATTTTTTATGGTTGCTTTCTAAAAATTTTATATTTTTTTGACAGGGCCATGTTGCCCTAATATTTTGTATACATTGTAATGTTTGATTGAGATTTGGACATTAAAAAAAAGCTGCCTATTACAATCTTTATTATGTAGCCTTGTCCTGGCATAGTCTTAAACCAATTGTCTTGGCTAGAGATTCCGGGAGTCTCTCAAACATGTTCTTAGGATGTGCCTTGTCTGAAATTTTGTGTTTACTTTTTAGTTAAAGGAGTTCATTTGTGTTTTTTGTTAAGTCGGTAATCAGTTGCTACACGTGTTCGCTGTCTGTGGTGCTGCTGCATTCTCTCTGCTGCTGTAATGTTTACCTTTGGTCTCAGCAGACAAACTGTCATTCCAAAGTATACCACCATTTCCTTCAGCACTTTATGGCATGGGAGACAGAAACCAGTGTCTTGAAAGGCCCCTAGAGGCCAAAAATAAAGATGTATGTGCCAGTATTTTTCTTGTCTTTTAAAAAGAAACCGGGAGTTGGCAATTTGTTGCTGAAGACACTAGGTTATTGAGGAGCAGGAAGAGCTGTGTTGGGTAAATGTAACACAGTTTTCTTTTCCTTCTATGTAGCTCTTTGCATTGTTCTCACCTGGGGCACTGTACACATTTAACTCATTTATAGCTTTTCCACAAATGTATTTTGGTCAGTATATTTTTGTTACATTTATATTTCTGTAAGGAATTAGGGCTTGCATTTTGCTATGCCATCTTGCTTATGTTGTAGTTTGTACAATTTTATAGGTTAAATTTGTAAAGTATATTCATCTGAGTCTAGTAAGTGAAGTAACTTGTTATTTTTATTTTTTTCAGTTATGTGTTCTCATTTTGCCCAAGATGTTTGGCCAGAGCACAGCATAAAAGATTCTTTCCAAAAAGTGATACTGAGAACATATGGAAAATATGGACATGAGAATTTACAGCTAAGAAAAGACCATAAAAGTGTGGATGCATGTAAGGTGTACAAAGGAGGTTATAATGGACTTAACCAGTGTTTGACAACTACTGACAGCAAGATATTTCAGTGTGATAAATATGTGAAAGTCTTTCATAAATTTCCAAATGTAAATAGAAATAAGATAAGACATACTGGAAAGAAACCTTTCAAATGTAAAAACCGTGGCAAATCATTTTGCATGCTTTCACAATTAACTCAACATAAGAAAATTCATACTAGAGAGTATTCTTACAAATGTGAAGAATGTGGTAAAGCCTTTAACTGGTCCTCAACCCTTACTAAACATAAGATAATTCATACTGGAGAAAAACCCTACAAATGTGAAGAATGTGGCAAAGCTTTTAACCGGTCCTCAAATCTTACTAAACATAAAATAATTCATACTGGAGAGAAACCCTACAAATGTGAAGAATGTGGCAAAGCTTTTAACCGGTCCTCAACCCTTACTAAACATAAAAGAATTCATACAGAAGAGAAACCCTACAAATGTGAAGAATGTGGCAAGGCCTTTAACCAGTTCTCGATTCTTAATAAACATAAGAGAATTCATATGGAAGATAAACCCTACAAATGTGAAGAATGTGGCAAAGCCTTTAGAGTATTCTCAATTCTTAAAAAACATAAGATAATCCATACTGGGGAAAAACCATACAAATGTGAAGAATGTGGCAAAGCCTTTAACCAGTTCTCAAACCTTACTAAACATAAGATAATTCATACTGGAGAGAAACCCTACAAATGTGATGAATGTGGCAAAGCCTTTAACCAGTCCTCAACCCTTACTAAACATAAAAGAATTCATACGGGAGAAAAACCCTACAAATGTGAAGAATGTGGCAAAGCTTTTAAACAGTCCTCAACCCTTACTGAACATAAGATAATTCATACTGGAGAGAAACCCTACAAATGTGAAAAATGTGGCAAGGCCTTTAGCTGGTCCTCAGCTTTTACTAAACATAAGAGAAATCATATGGAAGATAAACCCTACAAATGTGAAGAATGTGGCAAAGCCTTTAGTGTATTCTCAACCCTTACTAAACATAAAATAATTCATACTAGAGAAAAACCCTACAAATGTGAAGAATGTGGCAAAGCCTTTAACCAGTCCTCAATTTTTACTAAACATAAGATAATTCACACTGAAGGGAAATCCTACAAATGTGAAAAATGTGGCAATGCTTTTAACCAGTCCTCAAACCTTACTGCACGTAAGATAATTTATACTGGAGAGAAACCCTACAAATATGAAGAATGTGACAAAGCCTTTAACAAGTTCTCAACCCTTATTACACATCAGATAATTTATACTGGAGAGAAACCCTGCAAACATGAATGTGGCAGAGCCTTTAACAAATCCTCAAATTATACTAAAGAGAAACTACAAACCTGAAAGATGTGACAATGATTTTCACTACACCTCAAACTTTTCTAAACATAAACCATATTGGTGCCCTAGAAATGTGAGGAATATGACAAGGACTTTAAATGGTTGTCACGCTTGATTGTAGGTAAGATAATTTATATTGGAGAAAAATCCTCCAAGTATGAAGAATGTGGCAAACTTTTAACCAATCCTCACACCTTATTGCACAGGAAAGCATTTATACTTGAGAAAAATTGTATAAAGAATATGGAAAAGCCATTTATATCTGCTCACATGTAAAAACATCAGTTCATACTTAATAAAATGCAATTACCGTCAAATCTTTCAGAAAATATAAGCCTTTAATACGAGGAAGAGTATTCTTAAGATGAACATTACAAATAGAAAGAGGGTTGTAGTACCTTTAGTTTTATGATAGATCTTATTGTACACATTTTGTACCAGAGGAAAACCCTAAAGCATTAGTTGCTCAAACTTTGTTCGACATCAGGGAATTTGTATTGGAGAAAAACCCTGCAAATGTAATAAATATGGAAAAACATTTTTTCAAAAACTACAGCTTGGAAAACATCAGAGAGTTCATACTAAAATATATTTTTGCAGATGCAGTAAATATGAAAAATATTTAATCCCAAATTAAGTCTATGTAAATATCAGAATTCACAGTAGAAATCATAAGGCATAAGGCACTGATACTTCAGACATTACACTAAATTAGAGTGTTGAGTATAGGAGATCCAAAACTAAAATTGTTAGGTAAGTTATTTATATATAACTTTAAAAGAAGTAGAAGATTTTTTGGAGATTTATAATTACATTCAAAGTATACTTTTTTCTTGAAAAAAATTACAGATTTTTTGAAAAGCAATTGATGTAATTTAACTCTCAAATTCATGTTTTTCTTCATTCCTATTATATTCACATGTGAAAGCAAGTGATCTGTTGTTGCTGAATCAGAGATATGAGAGATTCTTTTTTATAGGTGGGCATTATTTATGCCCCTTTCTGTGGAAGAGTAAGAAAATTAAAATACAAGATGCATGAGGAAAATGTAGAGATGCTCTTTGTGATTAACTTAGAATATTAAGTGCTACTTGAGGTACATGTTCAGACTAACATTCTTTTGCAGTATAGTGAGAAAAAAACATTTTAAAATTAATTATCATTTTGTTGATTGTGCTTTTATGTAATAAAATGCAGTACTTTAAAACATTTAGATTGTGTGTGAACTTAATTTTGTAATTAAACATTTTTTTTAGCATGCTAAGACTAGTGTATTCGATGAAGTGTTATTATGCCACTAACTTTAACCTTATCCTACCTTACTCAAGGGTGTGGGGTAAAAGATGGTAACAGTATATTATTTGGTAACATAGTGGACTTACATCTGTGGTAATCTTTTCCAGTGGCTTAAACTGCAAATACATTAAAGAATATTGTTCCCATAGGTTAAATTTTTATCTTTTTAAAATTTAAATTTATTTTTCTTAATTTTTGTGGGTACATAGTGTGTGTATATATTTATTGCCATATATGCCATATTTTGATACAGACATACAGTATGTAATAATGACATCAGGGTAAATGAGGTCTTCACCTCTAGCATTTATTCTTTGTATTACAGACAATCCAGTTCTATCTAAAAATGAGGAAAAAATTATTTTAATAAGGTGACTAATTTACTAGAAAACTAAAAACCTCAAATATGTGTAAGGCAAATCTATACACTGCTTTGTATTGAATTCATGACTATAAGATCTTATGGCTTATGGTTCATAACCTCCCCAGGCAATTTCTCTGTTTTACTTGCCTGGTGCTCATGCTAGACCCATAATTTTTTTGTTTCTTATAATTATTTTGTTTTATAGTTTTTGAAGTATTCATTATGTGAGCTCATCAGGGATTATAAGAATTATTTTTATAAAATTTAGCGCATGCAAAATTTTTAGATGTAATTGCACAATTAGTGTATTTTATTTAGTTAGAACATTCCATTTTGTTATTTTACTTGGAGAACCCTATATAAGCCTACTTTTGAGACGGAATTTCGCTCTTGTTGCTCAGAATGGAGTTCAATGGTATGATCTCGGCTCACCGCAGCCTCCGCCTCCTGGGTTGAAGTGATTCTCCTGCCTCGGCCTCCCGAGTAGCTGGGATTACAGGCATGTGCCACCATGCCTGTCTAACTTTGTATTATTAGTAGAGACAGGGTTTCTCCATGTTGGTCAGGTTGCCTCGAACTCCCGACCTAGGTGATTCGCCTGCCTTGTTCTCCCAAAGTGCTGGGATTCCAGGTGTGAGCCACTGCACCCGGCTGTAAGCCTACTTGTATTTAGTTATTGCTGCTTTCAGATTTTTTTTTTTTTTTTTTTTTTTTGAGACGTAGGCTTGTTCTTGTTGCCCAGGCTGGAGTGCAATGGCATGATCTTGGCTCATTGTAACCTCCACCTCCCGGGTTCAAGCAATTCTCCTACCTCAGCCTCCTGAGTAGCCAGGATTACAGGTGCCCACCACCACACCCTGCTAATTTTTGTATTTTTAGTAGAGACAGGGTTTTGCCTTGTTGGCCAGGGTGATTTCAAACTCCTGACCTTGTGATCTGCCTGCCTCGGCCTCCCAAAATGCTGGAATTACAGACGTGAGCCACTGTGCCCAGCTGCTTTCAGATTTTTTAATTGACATAAGTAAATTTATGTATTGAGCCAATTTGTTCAGGTATGTACTAGGGAGGCTTCATAAGTCAGGATTTTTTTTTTTTTTTTTTTTTTGAGACAGAGTCTTGCACTGTTGCCTAGGCTGGAGTGCAGTGGCATGATCTCGGCTCACTGCAACCTCTGCCTCCCAGGTTCAACTGATTCTCCTGCCTCAGCCTCCCAAGTAGCTGGGATTACAGGCACCCACCACCAAGCCCAGCTAATTTTTTGTATTTTTAGTAGAGATGGAGTTTCACTATGTCAGCCAGGCTGGTCTCAAACTCCTGACCTCGTGATCTGTCCCCCTTGGCCTCCCAAAGTGCTGGGATTACAGGCGTGAGCCACTGCACCCGGCCAGGATGATGTTTTTATACATAAGTGCAGCAAACAAACATGACAGTGCTTGCTGTATAACAGTACACTCGTCTTGGCTCACTGCAACCTCTCACCTCCCAGGTTCAAGCAATTCTTCTGTCTCAGCCTCTGGAGTAGCTTGGTCTACAGGCACACACCATTACACCTGGTTAATTTTTTGTATTTTTAGTAAAGATGGGGTTTCACCATGTTGGCTAGGGCCTGGTCTTGGACTCCTGATCTTAAGTGATCTGCCCACCTCAGCCTCCAAAAACACTGGGATTACATGCATGAGCCACTGTGCTCAGCCTTCAGTGCCATTTTTTATAGATTTAGAAGTAAACTATTTTAAAATTCATATGGAATAATGAAAGAGCCCAAATAGCCACAGCAAGTTTAAACAAAAACAATAATCCTGGATGTCTCACATTACCTAACTTCAAATTGTACTACAAGCTACAGTAACCAATACAGCATGGTTCTGGTACAAAAATATAGGCTAATGAAACAGAGGAGAGAGCCCAGAAAAAAAAGCTACACTTCTACAATCAACATATTGGTGACAAAGTCAACAGAAATAAACCAAGGGAAATAATCCCCTATCCAATAAATGGTACAGGGGAAAACTGGTTAGTCATATTCAGAAGAAAACTGGACCCCTACCTCTCACCATATAAAGAATATAACTCGAGATTAAAGGCCAGGTGTGGTGGCTTACGCCTGTAATCCTAGCACTTTGGGAGGCTGAGGTGGGCAGATCACGAGGTCAAGAGATCGAGACCATCCTGGCTAACATGGTGAAACCCCCATCTCTACTTAAAGAAACAAATACAAAAATTTAGATGGGAATGGTGGCAGGCGCCTGTAGTCCCAGCTACTCAGGAGGCTGAGGCAGGAGAATGGCATGAACCCGGGAGGCAGAGCTTGCAGTGAGCTGAGATAGCACCACTGCACTCCAGCCAGGGCGACAGAGCAGATTCCATCTCAAAAAAAAAAAAAAAAATTGTACTTAAATAGTAAGGGGATTTTATGTCCAGAAGTTTAACCAGAGTCCCTGCCTAAGAATAAATACTGTAGTCCAGGCCATAATAGCAGAATATAGAGTTCAATCCAGTACATTTCCTCCATTAAAGGAGCCTTGCCCAAATACAACTGGTACATAGTCTTTCCTGAGATTTATCTATTGGGGAGCCACACAGATCACATAAACCAAGGAAGTCAAAGGCAAATCACCAATAAAGGACTAGAATTGTATGGGTAAGCATGACTTACCCCATTGCTTAGTTCCTCTGGATCCATGGCTGAGTGTCACACCTGCATCCATGGGTGACACCTTTAACAAGTGCTGTGGCTCAGGGGACAAAGGAGGACAAACGGGGGACACCCCACTGTCTTCCCCTCCATACTGGGCCATTCCAAAGAAAAGGAGACTAAAAAGAAGAATTTTTCTCACTTATCTTTCTAGATGGGTAACAGATCATCCTTGACCTGCACTACTCTGGAGTGCATTCTGAAGCATTGGGATGCCTTTGACCCCAAGAGTTTAAAAAAAAAAAAAAAAACCAGCTGATTTTCTTTTATGCAAGGGTTTAGCCTTCTTACCATCTTGAACTAGCCTGGCCCATGGAGGGAAGCCTTGGTTTTAATACCACCTAACAATTAGATCTTTCCTGTAAATGGGAGGGGAAATGGTCCAAGATCCCCTATGTACAGGTGTTCTTTTCCCGGCAAGACAACCTAGACCTTTGCAAACATTGAACAATCAACTCACCTCTTTTAGCAGTCATATCAGGCAGGCCCAAAAAAGAGATTCCCCAAAACTAGAGAATAAACTTCCAGGGGAATCATCTGAGGCAGCTATAGAGTGTCTGGGCCCTTCTTGTTCCCCTCATTTTGGGCCCCCTCCAACCATGCCATCAGTTCCTCCAGCTCCACCATTTCCAAAACTCCCCACTCCCCCAGCTTCAATCTTATCCTTACAGAAAGTGCCCAATGGAGGTGATGCCACTAGGATTCAAATTCCTTTCACATTGCAGGACCAGGACCTTAGGCAAATAAAGGGAGACTTAGGCCAATTTTCTGATGACCCCAATAGGTATATTGAAGCTTTCCAAAATTTAACTCAGGTGTATGACCTCTCATGAAGGGATGTTATGCTGCGCCTAAGCCAAAACCCTAGCCACAGCTGAAAAATAGACAGCTCTGAAGGTGGCAGAGAATTTTGGAGACGAGCAATGTGTCTCCTGTAGTAGTCCAAAAAGAAAAAGAGAAAATAGGAAAGGTGAAGATTTAGGGGAACCATCATATCCAATAGTAAGAAAGGCAGTACCTCTTTATAACCCTGATTGGAACTCCAATGAGTGCATAGATGAATGGAAAAGAAAACATTTTGTAATGTGTGTATTGGAGGGCCTACAAAGAACTAGAGCCAAACTTCTGAATCACTCTAAACTGTTTGTGATAGACCAAAAGCCAGATGAGAATCCCTCAGGCTTTATGGAAAGGCTGAGAGAGGCACTAATAAAACATACCTCCTTATCCCCTAATTCAGTTGAGAGACAGTTCATCCTCATCCTAAAGGGCAAGTTTATTACACCGGCGGTTCCCAATATTCGAAGAAAACTGCAAAAACAAGCTGTAGGACCAGATAGCACCTTGGAAAACCTCCTGAGGATAGTCACCTCAGTCTTTTCTAATAGGGACAAGGAGGAGGCTCAAGAGAAAGAGAGAAAGCAAAAGAGAAGGATATAGCTGCGTTGCAGACTTGCAAAGCCCAGGATCCCCAAGGCGCATCTACTAGTTGCTACTGGTGTGGCAACTCAGGGCACTTCAGGAAGGAGTGCCCAGGCAGCAAGAAGAAGCCATCTTGACCTTGTGCAGCTTGTGGTGGGAATCACTGGAGATTGGACTGCCCCCAGAGATGGAGGTCACTGGATTCAGAACCAATCTCACAGTAGTCCAATGGGACTGACAGGTCCTGGGGCTCAAATTCCTGGCTCCAGTGGCTCAAAATGCCATTACTGCATAAGAACCCCAGGTGATTATAGAAATTGAAGAAAGGAGGGTGGACCTCATAGACACTGGAGGTAGCCTTTCTCTTCTCCTCTCTAGTCCAGGCCTCCCCGTCCTTGTAGCATAACCATGATGAGTGTCTCAGGAAAGGTGCTAACCTCATATTTTTCTCAACTTATTAGTTGTAGTTTGGGGGGCCTATTATTTACACATGCCTTTTTAATCATGGCTGAAAGTCCTATTCCTTTATTAGGTAGAGATATTTTAGCGCACTTGGGGGCCAGCATCTTTATAGCCCCAGGACAAACTCTTTGTCTCCTCCTGGTGGAAGCTAATCTTAATCCAGAAGTGTGGGCAACACAAGGAAGAATTGGTCAAGCTATAACTGTTTGGCCAGTCTGGATCCATCTTAAGGATCCCACCTCTTTTCCTAACAGAGACAATAGCCCCTAAAGCCAGAGGATAGGAAATGGCTAGAAGCCATTATTAATAACCTGACAATGTGGGGCCACCTCAAACCCTGTAACAGTTCCTGCAACACCCCAATATTAGGAGTGCAAAAACCTAGAGGGAATGAAGGCTAGTTCAGCACCTTGCCTCATTAATGAAGCTGTAGTTCCAATCCATGCAGTGGTACCTAATCCCTATACCTGAGGGAACTAAATGGTTCTCAGTATTAGATCCAAAGGATGCGTTTTTCTGTATAACATTACATCCTGACCCTCAATAATGATTTGCTTTCGAAGATTCCTCTGGCCAAACAACCCAGTTAACATGGATGGTGTTGCCGCAGGGATTTTGATACAGACCTCACTTATCTGGCCAGGCACTGTCAAAGGACCTCTCTGAGTTTTCCCATTCTCAGATCAGGGTCTTGCGATCTGCAGATGACCTACTGCTCTGCTCATTTTAGTATGCAACCTGCATTGCTTTAATATATTATTCCTTCAGTTTTGATCCTCCAGGATATGATTCATTTCTTCAGGATATGATTCAGTTCTTCAGGATATGATTCAGTTCTTCAGGATATGATGGTGATGTACAGATGGGGTTTTGGTGAGGATGTCCTTTCTGTTTGTTAGTTTTCCTTCTAACAGTCAGGACCCTCAGCTGCAGGTCTGTTGGAGTTTGCTGGAGGTCCACTCCAGACTCTGTTTGCCTGGGTATCAGGAGTGGTGGCTGAAGAACAGTGGATATTGGTGAACCGCAAATGCTGCTGCCTGATCGTTCATCTGGAAGTTTTGTCTCAGAGGAGTACCTGGCTGTGTGAGGTGTCAGTCTGCCCCTACTGGGGCGTGCCTCCCAGTTAGGCTACTCGGAGGTCAGGGACCCACTTGAGGAGGCAGTCTGCCCATTCTCAGATCTCAAGCTGCATGCTGGGAGAACCACTACTCTCTTCAAAGCTGTCAGACAGGGACATTGAAGTCTGCAGAGGTTTCTGCTGCCTTTTGTTTGGCTATGCCCTGCCCCCAGAGGTGGAGTCTATAGAGGCAGGCAGGCCTCCTTGAGTTGCAGTGGGCCCCACCCAGTTCGAGCTTCCCGGCTGCTTTGTTCACCTACTCAAGCCTTGGCAATGGTGGTCGCCCCTCCCCCAGCCTCCCTGCCGCCTTGCAGTTTGATCTTAGACTGATGTGCTAGCAATAAGTGAGGCTCCGTGGGCATAGGACCCTCCGAGCCAGGCACGGGATATAATCTCCTGGTGTGCCATTTGCTAAGACTGTTGGAAAAGTGCAGTATTAGGGTGGGAGTGACCCGATTTTCCAGGTGCCGTTTGTCACCCCTTTCTTTGACTAGGAAAGGGAATTCCCTGACCCCTTGCACTTCCTATGTGAGGCAATGCCTTGCCCTGCTTTGGCTCATTCTTGGTGCACTGCACCCACTATCCTGCACCCACTGTCTGACACTCCCCAGTGAGATGAACCCAGTACTTCAGTTGGAAATGCAGAAATCACCTGTCTTCTGCATCACTCATGCTGGGAGCTGTAGACTGGAGCTGTTCCTATTCAGCAACCTTGGCTCCACCCCACCTTAACCTTCCAGTTTTATGGATGCTGGTAGAAGGCATGAGACACTGAAGTATGACAAAATCCCTACTATTTACTGTATAACTGAAGGCCAAACTTCATGTTTGTATTTGTCCATGCTACTTTTTTTTAGAGGGATTTCAAAAAGCTCAAGTGGACATTGCACATGGGAAAGATTTGTGTCACAGCTGAGCAATCTTAATATTAAGAAACCCCAATCTTTTTAAAGTAGGTTACATGCAAACCTGTCCAACTTTTGCCTCACAGAGAAAAATTGTCTTTATTACATTAGTTGAGTAATTTATCTGTCATTTACCTGAAGATAAAAACGACTACCCTTCTTTCCAGGCTATTTGTGTACAAAAATCTTTGAAAAATAACCTGGAATAGGACAGATATGTCATGTAATAAATAACAAAACAACAACTCTAAGAGACTTTTGGAGAATTATATCTCAGCAGCATGCATCTTTTCCGTTAAATGTTGCACTAAATAATCCTCTGATGAAAAAGATCCGTTGAAGATTTTTGACATGAAGACTAACTTTGGTTGTTTTGTGTTGTGGGATTGCTAAAGATTGAAAGATACAGGGAGAAATAGAATTACCAGGGACTTTACAGAAATGGAAGTTCTATGTGTGGAGTAATGTAATTCTGGGTGAGTGAATGACAGGTGAGAGTTAGTGAAAATAAAACACAATTTAACATTTTTACATATTAAGAACATGCTGAAATTGGTTAGCTTATTGGAAAAATTTAAATGACTACCTATGTATACAGCATATTTATTCTGAATGAATTGCTAATCTAGATTTGAAAGACAAAATAATTATTTTTACAACATCAACTGCATTTCCATATACCAACAATGAGCAATTTAAAAGGAAATTAGGAAAACATTTTAAGGTTTGCAACAACCTTAAAAATATAATGTTTAGCAATAAATTTAATAAGGAGGTAAAAAAAACTGTGCAATGAAAACTACAGGATCAGACTATTTCTGAAATAAACTGAAAAAGACTTAAATAAGTGGCAAGGAATTCCGTGTTCATGGACTGGAAGACTTAATCATGTTAAGATGACAACACTACCCAAAGTAGTGTACAGATGTAAAGCAATCCCAATTTTTAATTTTGTCCAACTATTTTCTCTCTATAAACAGAATAGCCCATTCTAAAAGTCATATGGAATTTGAAGGTACCCTGAATGGCCAAAATAATCTTAAAAAGAAGAACAAAGTTAGGGGCTCACAATTTTAAATTTCAGAACATACAAAGCTATTATAATTAAAACAGTTTGATACTGGCAGAAGAACAAGTATAAAGACCAAAAAAACCCAGAATAGATAACCCAGAAAAAACCCTGGCATAAATTATTAATTGTCTTTTGACAAGGGTGCCTAAACCATTATGTAAAGGAAAGGACAGTTTGTTCAACAAGTGATACTGGGAAAACAAGTCCGCATTTAAAACAGTAAAGTTGGCTGGGCACAGTGGCTCTCGCTTGTAATCTCAGCACTCTGGGAGGCTGAGGCAGGCAGATCACCTGAGGTTAGGTGAAACCTGAGGTTGGCCAATGTAGTGAAACCCTATCTCTACTAAAAATACAAAAATTAGCTGTGCGTGTTGGCAGGCATCTGCAATTACAGCTACTTGGGAGGTTGAGGGAGGAGATAGCTTGAACCACAGAGGTGGAAGTTGCAGTGAGCCAAGACTGCACCATTGCACTGCAGCCTGGGTGATGCAAAACTCCATCTCAAAAAAAAAAAGTTGAATTTTTATCACATTCCATGTACAAAAACCAAATAAAATGCATTCCAGACATAAAAATAAGTGTTAAAACTTTAGTGGTTTCTGATGGTTGTCTTATTTCTGTGGGGTCAGTGTTACTACTATGAACACCTCTATACACACAAACTGGAAAATTTAGAAGAGATAGATACATTCCTGGACACACAAGCCCTCCCAAGACTGAGCCAGGAAGACATTGGTTCCCTGAACAGGCCAATAACAAGCTTTGAAATTGAATCAGTAATAAATAGCTCACCAATCAAAAAAAGTCCCAGACCTTATAGATTTACAGCCACATTCTATCAAATGTACAAAAAGGGCTGGTACAATTCCTACAGAAACTATCCCAAAAAATTGAGGAGAGTCTCCTCCCCAACTCATTCTATGAGGCCAGCATCATCTTGACACTAAAACCTGGCAGAGACACAACAAAAATAGAAAACTTTAGGCCACTTGATGAACACCAATGCAAAAATTCTCAACAAAATACTTGCAAACCGAATTCAGCAGCACATCAAAAAGATAATCCATCATGATCAAGTAGCTTGCCTCCTTAGGATGAAAAACCACAAAGAGATATCACTTTACACCACTAGAGTGGCTATATAAAAAATAAAACAACAAAAATGAAAACAAGTATTGACTAGGATGTGGAGGAAGTGGAACCCTGGTGCATTGCTGGTGAGAATATAAAATGATTTATTGACTGAAAAATAGCTTGGCAGTTTATCAGAAAGTTCTATGTAGAATTACCATATGTTCCAGCAACGCCATTACAGGTGTATATCCAAAATAATTAAAAGCAGGGACTTAAGCTGCAACCTCTGCCTCCAGGGCTTAAGCAATTCTCGTGCCTCAGTCTCCCGAACAGCTGGGACTACAGGCATGCACCACTATACCCAGTGAATTTTTGTATTTTCAGTAGAGACAGGGTTTTGCCATGTTGCCTAGGCTGGTCTCAAACTCCTGAGCTTAAGTGATCTGCCCTCCCCAGCCTCCCAAAATTCTGGGATTACAGGCGTGAGCCACCATGGCTGGCCTGATATTCAATCTAAGAACTGCATGCAGAGATGTGTTCAGGTTTTAAAATTTTATTCGCTTATGCACTGATACTTTCACATCAATTTTTATGGAAGCATCATTTACAGTACAAAATGTAAAAACAAACCCAGACATCTTCTAAGAAATAAGCAGATAAAATATGGTATATACACACAATGTAATATTATTTAGCCTTAAAATGATTACAATGCTGATGAGTGCAGTGGCTCATGCTTATAATCCCAGAACTTTGGGAGGCAAAGATGAGAGGATCTCTTAAGCCTAGGAGTTTCAAACCAGCCTGGGCAACATAGCAAAATCTCATCTCTACAGAAAGTACAAAAATTTGCTGGGCTTGCTGGTGTGTGCCTGTAGTCCTAGCCGCGGGGGAAGATCATCTAAGCCTGAAGAATCACCTGAGCCTGGAGAGTTTGAGGCAGCTGTGTCATGATTGCATTGCTGTGCATTCCAGCCTGAGTGAGACTCCATCTCAAAAAAAAAAAAAAAAAGCAATGCTGATACATGCTGCAACATGGATGAACCTTGAAGACATTGTGTTATGTAAAATAAGCAAAATAAAAAAGGATACATATGTAATGTCAAATTTTGTGTGTAGGGGAATGTCATATGGGGCTGGCCCATTCTGAGCAGGAACAGATTGTTGGGAGGTTAGAGTCCTGGTGGCTCATGATGTTTACACATGAGGTCATGGCTGGCAAAGTAGGGAGGCAAGTGCTGGTGTGGTACCCATCCACACCAGTGACTGTTCTGAGCCCTAGAACTGTTATCTTGTGCCTTCCAAGGCTGAAGGTCTGTGTAGACATAAGTCTATGCTTGATCTGGGGGGCAGAAGGCTGCATGGGGTATAAGGAGCAGCAGTGATGGCCAGGAATAGCTCTGAGGCTTCCAGGTCTGTCTGCCACTTACTGTCTTTGCAGAGCTCCACACAGAAGATTGGCAAAAAGGTGTTAATGGGGTAGCGCTCTGTTTCCTTTGGTGAGGGGCAGAAGCTTGCTGCTGCCAACAAGGGCCAGCATTGAAATGAGGTGAATGGAGGAGCAGAGGGTTTTCCAAATCAGCCCAGAGAAGGCTGACAAGGGCCCCCTGCCCAGACACCACCATGGCAACTGTAAAGGACTCTGTCCCAATATTAACATATGTACATAGATGAACAAACATACCAAGATATAGTATAGATGTAGATGTTTATTCTGTTGCTTCTATTTCTCTGAATAACTTGAATGCAAACTGTAGCAAGTAAAAGACTGCATAAGTAATAAAAAACACACTAACGAAGAAAAGTCCAGAACCAGATGGCTTCACTGATAAATTGTTTTAAACATTAAAAGGTGTAACTCCAATTTTTCTGAAACTCTTTAAAAATTGCAATAAATCAATGCAATATACCAACTCAATAGAATTAATTTTAGAAAAATACATGATTATCTCAATTGATAGAGAAAAAATTTGAGATAATCCAAAAGTCTATTATATTAGTAAACTAGATATAGACTAATACTTCCTCAACATAATAAAAGGTACATGTAAAAAAACTCAAAACTACCATTATATGCAATGATGAAAGACTAAATGCTTTCTCCATAAAATCAGGAATGAGACAAGGATACCTGCATTCATCACTTCTGATCAACATTGTAACAGAAATCAGGCCAGAATAATTGGGCAATACAAAAAAAGAAATGCTTCAATTGGAAAAGAAAAAGCTTATTTTTATATACAGATGATATAATTTCATACATATAATTAAAATCCTAAGTAATAATCATAAAACTGTTAACACTAATGATCAGATTCTGCAAAGTTGTAAGATACAAGATCAATACATACACATTAATGGAATCTAATTAAGGGTCAGGAAATAAATCCATACATGTAATTTTTTGACATGGACTTGGCAAAGCTGCAGGAATTATTGGAAACCACTTATTTCATGTATTTTAGCCCCATTTTAGGAGATCCTTCCTTATTGGGGAATAGTTAATAACTTTCCATCCGTGGGCAGAAAGCCTATTACTAGAATATGTAATTTTCAAAGAAAGCTTCCATTTTAAGATAAAAGTGAATTTAAGACAAAGTTTGAAAGATACAAACAAACTTTCTTTACTACTTTAATGAAAAAACAGTGTTTGGTGTTTTATTTTGTCCAAATTTGAAATTAAATGTTCATTTCAATTCTTCCAATAGGCATAAAAAATAAACAGGTTATTGAAAAAAATTCTTAGAACATGTTCAAATGTTAATTTAGTATTAAATAAGTTTACAAAATATGACCTGGGTCCTGATCTATTTATATTTCTAGTGAACCCAGGGAAGCATAAATGAGCTGGAACACATTTATCTATCAGGAAAATAACTTCGGCCTAGTTGCACCAAGACTAGCAGCAATACTGACTACAGGTGTGCACCTGCCACCAGGTACAGATACTACTCTCATGATTCCACACGGTGGAGGTAAAATAATGTTATCTTTGGTGATGTTGATCAGCTCTTTCACCTGCAACCTTACTAAAGCCAGCATCTCCATTTTGTTCACAGAGGTAATGTAGCTTTTCATCTTGTCTTCTTTCCTTGCAGAAACAGATATGAAGAATTCTGTGACAATAAACTGGGGACACAGAGTGATTTTTTTTTTTTACATAGAGTCTCACTCTGTCACCCAGGCTGGAGTGCAGTGGCTCAATCTCGGCTCACCGCAACCTCCGCCTCCCTGCAACCTACGCCTCCCAGGTTTAAGCGATTCTTCTGCCTCAGGCTCCTGAGTAGCTGGGACTACAGGTGTGCGCCACCACGCCCGGCTAATTTTTGTATTTTTAATAGAGTTGGGGTTTCACAATTGACCAGGCTGGTCTTTTTTTTTTTTTTTTTTTTTTTTTTTTGAGATAGAGTCACGCTCTGTCACCCAGGCTGGAGTGCCGTGGCACAATCTCGGCTCACTGCAAGCTGCGCCTCCCGGGTTCACGCCATTCTCCTGCCTCAGCCTCCCGAGTAGCTGGGACTACAGGTGCCTGCCATCATGCCTGGCTAATTTTTTTGTATTTTTAGTAGAGACGGGGTTTCATTGTGTTAACCAGGATGGATGGATCTCCTGACCTCGTGATCCGCCCGCCTCGGCCTCCCAAATTGCTGGGATTACAGGCGTGACCCACTGCGCCCAGCCCAACCAGGCTGGTCTTGAACTCCTGACCTCATGATCTGCCCACCTTGGCCTCCCAAAGTGCTGGGATTACAGGCGTGAGCCACCGCGCCTGGCCCAAAGTGAATGTTTTACAGTTCCACCTGTGTACAGACAGAGATCTCTTTTTAGTTTACAGGCCAGTCTCTCTCAAGCACTTGAAACCTCTCTGCAAATGACTCTTGACACTGGCTAAACTGAGACAAATGGGATATTAAATTCTATGAAGGCAGGAGTTCCTGAGTTCCCGAATGACCATGTAGAGAGGAGGTGCCTTTTCAACTTGGTCTCCCAACAGCACTGTTATGTGTGTTAAAATATGCTGTTAATCTACTGCAAATTAGGGTGCGGTAGTATTTGACACTTCAGTATAACCTAAACCATGCACTTAAAAACCTAATCACTGAATTAATTTAAAAGGCATTCTTATAGTATATTTAAGATGACAAATGTTAAGTTGGTCTTGCAATTTTTACCCTTCCATTTTGACCATACTATGTTATGTTAGAGAACTTGAACCACACAAAATAAGTGCTGGGATACAGGTGTGGCTTCCCAAAGTGCTGGGATTACAGGTGTGAGCCACCATGCCCACCTAAAAACTGTTTTTATACTCAAACATCCTGTTGGGCAAATGCCAAATTAAAAAATTGTGACATTTGTTAAAAATTGGGAAGAAAGACTTTAATACAATTGCAGTAGATGTTATGGCCATTGTAATAGGATTCAGAAATTGATCATAACTCTGAACACAGATGACTCAAGATTTATAGTCAATAAGCAGATAAGTCAGTGGATAAAAACTTACTGAAGGGGTGGAGCCAAGATGGCCAAATAGGAACAGCTCCAGTCTACAGCTCCCAGCGTGAACGATGCAGAAGACGGGTGATTTCTGCATTTCCAACTGAGGTACCGGGTTCATCTCACTGGGGATTGTCGGACAGTGGGTGCAGGACAGTGCGTGCAGCACACGGAGCATGAGCCAAAGAAGGGCGAGGCATTGCCTCACCCGGGAAGCACAAGGGGTCAGGGAATTCCCTTTCCTAGCCAAGGAAAGGGGTGACAGATGGCACCTGGAAAATTGGGTCACTCCCACCCTAATACTGTGCTTTTCCAGTGGTCTTAGCAAATGGCACACCAGGAGATTATATCCCGTGCCTGGCTTGGAGGGTCCTGCACCCACAGAGCCGCACTCATTGCTAGCACTTCAGTCTGAGATCAAACTGCAAGGCGGCAGTGAGGCTGAGGGAGGGGCGCTCACCATTGCTGAGGCTTGAGTAGGTAAACAAAGTGGCCAGGAAGCTCAAACTGGGTGGAGCCCACCACAGCTCAAGGAGGCCTGCCTTCCTCTGTAGACTCCACCTCTGGGGGCAGGGCATAGCCAAACAAAAGGCAGCAGAAACCTCTGCAGACTTCAATGTCCCTGTCTGACAGCTTTGAAGAGAGTAGTGGTTCTCCCAGCATGCAGCTTGAGATCTGAGAATGGACAGACTGCCTCCTCAAGTGGGCCTCTAATCCCTGAGTAGCCTAACTGGGAGGCACGCCCCAGTAGGGGCAGACTGACACCTCACACAGCCGGGTGCTCCTCTGAGACAAAACTTCCAGAGGAACAATCAGGCAGCAACACTTGCTGTTCACCAATATCCGCTGTTCTGCAGCCTCCGCTGCTGAGACCCAGGCAAACAGGGCCTGGAGTGGACCTCCAGCAAACTCCAACAGACCTGCAGCTGAGGGTCCTGACTGTTAGAAGGAAAACTAACAAACAGAAAGGACATCCACACCAAAACCCCATCTGTACGTCGCCATCATCAAAGACCAAAGGTAGATAAAAACCACAACGATGGGGAAAAAACAGAGCAGAAAAACCGAAAATTTAAAAAATCAGAGTGCCTCTCCTTCTCCAAAGGAATGCAGCTCCTCACCAGCAATGGAACAAAGCTGGATGGATAATGACTTTGACGAGTTGAGAGAAGAAGGCTTCAGATGATCAAACTACACTGAGCTAAAGGAGGAAGTTTGAACCCATGGCAAAGAAGTTAAAAACCTTGAAAAAGGATTAGATGGATGGCTAATTAGAATAACCAATGCAGAGAAGTCCTTAAAAGACCTGATGGAGCTGAAAACCATGGCACGAGAACTATGAGACAAATGCACAAGCCTCAGTAGCTGATGCGATCAACTGGAAGAAAGGGTATCAGTGATAGAAGATCAAATGAATGAAAAGAAGTGAGAAAAGAAGTTTGGAGAAAAAAGAATAAAAAGAAATGAACAAAGCCTGATTGGTGTACCTGAAAGTGATGGGGAGAATGGAACCAAGTTGGAAAAACAGTCTGCAGGATATTATCCAGGAGAACTTCCTCAATCTAGCAAGGCAGGCCAACATTCAAATTCAGGAAATACAGAGAATGCCACAAAGATACTCCTCGAGAAGAGCAACTCCAAGACACATAATTGTCAGATTCACCAAAGTTGAAATGAAGGAAAAAATGTTAAGGGCAGCCAGAGAAAAAAGTTGGGTTACCCAAAAAGGGAAGCCCATCAGACTAACAGCTGATCTCTTGGCAGAAACTCTACAATCCAGAAGAGAGTGGGGGCCAATATTCAACATTCTTAAAGAAAAGAATTTTCAACCCAGAATTTCATATCCAGCCAAACTAAGCTTCATAAGTGAAGGAGAAATAAAATCCTTTACAGACAAGCAAATGCCGAGAGATTTTGTCACCACCAGGCCTGCCCTACAAGAGCTTCTGAAGGAAGCACTAAACATGGAAAGGAACAACCGGTACCAGCCACTGCAAAAACATGCCAAACTGTAAAGACCATTGAGGCTAGGGAGAAACTGCATCAAGTAATGAGCAAAATAACCAGCTAACATCATAAAGACAGGATCAAATTCACACACAACAATATGAACCTTAAATGTAAATGGGCTGAATGCTCCAATTAAAAGACACAGACTGGCAAATTGGATAAAGAGTCAAGACCCATCAGTGTGCTGTATTCAGGAAACCCATCTCACGTGCAGACAGACATAGGCTCAAAATAAAGGAATGGAGGAAGATCTACCAAGCAAATGGAAAATGAAAAAAGGCAGGGGTTGCAATCCTAGTCTCTGATAAAGCAGACTTTAAACCAACAAAGATCAAAAGAGACAAAGAAGGCCATTACCTACTGGTAAAGGGATCGATTCAACAAGAAGAGCTAACTATACTAAATATATATGCACCCAATACAGGAGCACCCAGATTCATAAAGCAAGGCCTTAGAGACCTACAAGGAGACTTAGACTCCCACACAATAATAATGGGAGACTTTAACACCCCACTGTCAACATTAGACAGATCAACGAGACAGAAAGTTAACAAGGATATCCAGGAATTGAACTCAGCTCTGCACCAAGTGGACCTAATAGACATCTACAGAACTCTCCACCCCAAATCAACAGAATATACATTCTTTTCAGCACCACACCACACCTATTCCAAAATTGACCACATAGTTGGAAGTAAAGCACTCCTCAGCAAATGTAAAAGAACAGAAATTATAACAAACTATCTCTCAGACCACAGTGCAATCAAACTAGAACTCAGGATTAAGAAACTCACTCAAAACCGCTCAACGGCATGGAAACTGAACAACCTGCTCCTGAATGACTACTGGGTACATAGCGAAATGAAGGCACAAATAAAGATGTTCTTTGAAACCAATGAGAACAAAGACACAACATACCAGAATCTCTGGGACGCATTCAAAGCAGTGTGTAGAGGGAAATTTATAACACTAAATGCCCCCACAAGAGAAAGCAGGAAAGATCTAAAATTGACACCCTAACATCACAATTAAAAGAGCTAGAGAAGCAAGAGCAAACACATTCAAAAGCTAGCAGAAGGCAAGAAATAACTAAGATCAGAGCAGAACTGAAGGAAATAGAGACACAAAAAACCCTTCAAAAAATCAATGAATCCAGGAGCTGGTTTTTTGAAAGATCAACAAAATTGATAGACCGCTAGCAAGACTAATAAAGAAGAAAAGAGAGAAGAATCAAATAGACGCAATAAAAAAATGATAAAGGGGATATCACCACTGATCCCACAGAAATACAAACTACCATCAGAGAATACTATAAACACCTCTACACAAATAAACTAGAAAATCTAGAAGAAATGGATAAATTCCCCAACACATACACCCTCCCAAGACTAAACCAGGAAGAAGTTGAATCTCTGAATAGACCAATAACAGGCTCTGAAATTGAGGCAAAAATTAATAGCTTACTAACCAAAAAAAGTCCAGGACAAGATGGATTCACAGCCTAATTCTACCAGAGGTACAAAGAGGAGCTGGTACCATTCCTTCTGAAACTATTCCAATCAATAGAAAAAGAGGGAATCCTCCCTAACTCATTTTAAGAGGCCAGCATCATCCTAATACTAAAGCCTGGCAGAGTAACAACAAAAAAGAGAACTTTAGACCAATATCCCTGATGAACATCGATGCAAAAATCCTCAATAAAATACTGGCAAACCGAATCCAGCAGCACATCAAAAAGCTTATCCACCATGATCAAGTGGGCTTCATTCCCGGGATGCAAGGCTGGTTCAACATATGCAAATCAATAAACGTAATCCAGCATATAAACAGAACCAATGACAAAAACCACATGATTATCTCAATAGATGCAGAAAAGGCCTTTGACAAAATTCAACAATCCTTTATGCTAAAAACTCAATAAATTAGGTATTGATGGGACGTATCTCAAAATAATAAGAGCTATCTATGACAAACCCACAGCCAATATCATACTGAATGGGCAAAAACTGGAAGCATTCCCTTTGAAAACTGGCACAGGACAGACAGGGATGCCCTCTCTCATCACTCCTATTCAACATAGTGTTGGAAGTTCTGGCCAGGAAAATCAGGCAGGAGAAGGAAATAAATGGCATTCCATTAGAAAAAAGGAAATGAAATTGTCCCTGTTTGCAGATGACATGATTGTACATCTAGAAAACCCCATTGTCTCAGCCCAAAATCTCCTTAAGCTGATAAGCAACTTCAGCAAAGTCTCAGGATACAAAATCAATGTGCAAAAATCACAAGCATTCTTATACACCAATAACAGACAGAGAGCCAAATCATGAGTGAACTCTCATTCACAATTGCTTCAAAGAGAATAAAATACCTAGTAATCCAACTCACAAGGGACGTGAAGGACCTCTTCAAGGAGAACTACAAACCACTGCTCAATGAAATAAAAGAGGATACAAACAAATGGAAGAACATTCCATGCTCATGGGTAGGAAGAATCAATATCGTGAAAATGGCCATACTGCCCAAGGTAATTTGTAGATTCAATGTCATCCCCATCAAGCTACCAATGACTTTCTTCACAGAATTGGAAAAAACTACTTTAAAGTTCATATGGCACCAAAAAAGAGCCCGCATCGCCAAGTCAATCCTAAGCCAAAAGAACAAAGCTGGAGGCATCACGCTACCTGACTTCAAACTATACTGCAAGGCTACAGTAACCAAAACAGCATGGTACTGGTACCAAAACAGAGATATAGACCAATGGAACAGAACAGAGCCCTCAGAAATAATGCTGCACATCTACAACTATCTGATCTTTGACAAAGCTGACAGAAACAAGCAATGGGGAAAGGATTCCCTGTTTAATAAATGGTGCTGGGAAAACTGGCTAGCCATAAGTAGAAAGCTGAAACTGGATCCCTTCCTTACACCTTATACAAAAATTAATTCAAGATGGATTAAAGACTTACATGTTAGACCTAAAACTGTAAAAACCCTAGAAGAAGACCTAGGCAATACCATTCAGGACATAGGCATGGGCAAGGACTTCATGTCTAAAACACCAAAAGCAATGGCAACAAAAGCCAAAATTGACAAATGGGATCTAATTAAACTAAAGAGCTTCTGCAACAGCAAAAGAAACTACCATCAGAGTGAACAGGCAACCTACAGAATGGGAGAAAATTTTCACAACCTACTCATCTGACAAACGGCTGATATCCAGAATCTACAATGAACTCAAACTAATTTACAAGAAAAATACAAACAACCCCATCAACAAGTGGGCAAAGGATATGAACAGACACTTCTCAAAAGAAGACATTTATGCAGCCAAAAAAACACATGAAAAAATGCTCATCATCACTGGCCATCAGAGAAATGCAAATCAAAACCACAATGAGATACCATCTCACACCAGTTAGAATGGCCATCATTAAAAAGTCAGGAAACAACAGGTGCCAGTGAGGATGAGGAGAAATAGAAGCAGTTTTACACTGTTGGTGGGACTGTAAACTAGTTCAACCATTGTGGAAGTCAGTGTGGCGATTCCTCAGGGATCTAGAACTAGAAATACCATTTGACTCAGCCATCCCATTACTGGTTATATACCCAAAGGATTATAAATCATGCTGCTATAAAGAGACATGCACAGATATGTTTACTGTGGCACTATTCACAATAGCAAAGACTTGGAACCAACCCAAATGTCCAACAATGATAGACTGGATTAAGAAAATGTGACACATATACACCATGGAATACTATGCAGCCATAGAAAATGATGAGTTCATGTCCTTTTTAGGGACATGGATGAAGCCGGAAACCATCACTCTCAGCAAACTATCGCAAGGACAAAAAACCAAACACCTCATGTTCTCACTCATAGGTGGGCATTGATCAATGAGAACACATGGACACAGGAAGGGGAGCATCACACACTGGGGCCTGTTGTGGGGTGGGGGAAGGGGGGAGGGATAGCATTAGGAGATACACCTAATGTTAAATGACTAGTTAATGGGTGCAGTACACCAACATGGCACATGTACCCATATGTAACAAACCTGCACTTTGTGCACATGTACCCTAAAACTTAACGTATAAAAAATTACTGAAAAAAATTGATAACATATCAAAGGAAGAGGCCTTTTTAAAAACAGAATTCTGTCTACAGGCAAGTTAAGGACTTAAATATTAAGGAAGAGGAATTCGAATTTTAATAGATGTAAAGGATATGTTGATTTTTACTGAGCAATCTTAGCAGGATTTCTGAAAATGAGCTTCTCAAATCAGGAGCTGGGCAACAAGTCAAGGTTGGCTTAGTCAAAGAGAGAGTTCAGTTAAGCCTGACTAACCTTTGGTCATAAAGGGAGTGCTTGTCAGAACCAAGACTTTTTCCCATCTGGTCTGAAAATAAATATACACCAAAAGAGGCTTTGTTTGGAAAATAAGTGCCCATTTCACCTGAGAAAAAACTCCACCTTCTCCTGTTTATCTTTGAATTTAGTGTAGAAAAAGAGAACTCATCATTGCCACAATTTTTACTTTGCTTTCATTCTTAAAAACAGAGATTCAGTTTTATTCAAACAGCAACTTACCAAGCACAAAAATTATAGTTTCTGACCCCTATTGAAGCTAACAATGACTAGAAGATGTTCAAGACAATTGGGTGTAACCAGAAGTATTGATGGGACTTCAGGGAGACTCCTCAGATGGAGCTGACTCAGCTGTGTGAGCCACTTCGGCCTTGCATCTTTCCTCCTTCCTGCTCTTTGAAAGGCACATGGTTGCTGGTACAGGCTGGTGTTCCTGTAGACATCTTGGGTCATGAGACAACCTACAGGGTAAAAACCATCTATGGAAATATTGTAGCAGAGAAGGGTGCCAGGATGGCTGATTGGAAGCAGCTACCATATGTGGCTGTCATGGAAAGGAACAAAGGGGGATAGTAAATACAACACCTTCAACTGAAACACGTAGGTATTTGCACTGGGACTAATGAAGGAAACAGCTCAACCCACCGAAAATGGAGAAAAGCAGGGCATGGCAACCACCCACCCTGGAGTGACACAGAGCCAAGGGAACCTACCTTGCTCAGGAAAGTGGTGACTGAATATGTGACCCTGGGAAACCACACTTCTTCCATGGATCTTTGCAACCCTCAGCTCAGGAGATCTTCTCATGAACCCATTCCACCAGGGCCTTTGTTCTGACACACAGAGCTGTGTGGTCTTGGCAGAGCAACTGCTCAGACACAAAGAGAATCTCAGGAGCTTTACACACTCTGGCTCCAGGATCTCCAGCAAAGGTGACTGCAACTCAGACAAGGCAGGAAGTTGGACCTCCATAAACACCGCTAGAAAGGAAGCTGAATCATGTGGCTGAGCAGCATCAGTCTGTGGGCCCCAATACCATGGCACCTTATAGGATAAGACCCACTGGCTTGGAATTCCAGCCAACCCCTAGTAATAGTATTGCACCTACCTGGGATGGGACAGAGCTCCTGAAGGCAGAGGCAGGGTCGATATCTGTTGTTTGGATGACTTAGCCATTCCAGTCTGTAGGTTTAGGAGAGTCCAAACAAAGCTGATGGCAGATAAAAGGAACCCCAAGCACAGCACAGTGGTTCTACCAAAATGTGGACAGACTGCTTCTTTAAGTGGGACCCTGACACATTTTACATCTCAGGGTGGGGCCTCCTACTGGGGACTCCAGCTAGCCCCTTCCATATTCTCCAGCAGACAGAATTTTGATTTCTCCCTGGATGCAGTGCCCAGTGGGAGGAGTAGGCCACCATATTTGCTGTTTGGATAACTCAGCCATTCCAGCCTGTGGGCTTAGGAGAGTCCAAACCATCCAGGGGCAGAAGAGATCCCTCAGCACAGCACAGTGGCTCTACTATGATGTGATCAGACTGCTTCTTTAGATGAGACCATAATAAGCTCCTCATCTCTGGGTGGGTCTTCCCAACCAGGGCCTCCAGCCACTCCCACTGATGTTCTCTGGCCAACAGAGAACTTGAAAACTTTCTGGGACAGAGTTCCCAGAGAGGTTGACCACCTTCTTTGCTGTTTCAGCAATTTAGCTGTTTCAGCAATTTAGCTGTTTCAGCCTCCAGGCTTTGAAGAGCCCAATCTGATGAGAGGCAGAAATGGTACCCCAGCACAGCATGGCTGCCCTATGAAAGTGGGGCTAGACTGTTGTGGGAAGTCAGGGACCCTGAATGGAGGGACCTGCTGAAGCCATGTCAGAAGAATATAAATTGTGAAGATTTCATGGACATTTATCACTTCCCCAATCAATACCCTTATAATTTCTTATGCCTGTCTTTAATCTCTTAATCCCATCATTTTAGTAAGCTGAGGATATATGTCACATCAGGACCCTGTGATGATTGCGTTAACTGCACAAATTGTTCATAAAGCATGTGTGTTTGAACAATATGAAATCTGGGCACCTTGAAAAAAGAACAGGATAACAGTGATGTTCAGGGAACAAGGGAGATAACCATTAGGTCTGACTGCCTGGGAGCCAGGCAGGACAGAGCCATATTTCCCTTATTACTGAAAACAGGTAAGAGAAATATTGCTGAATTCTTTCCCCAGTAAGGAATATTAATAACAGCCCTGGGAAAAGAATGCATTCCCAGGGGGGGCCTCTAAAATGGCTGCTCTGGGGGGTTGTCTGCCTTATGCAGTTGCAGATAAGGGATGAAACATGCCTTGGCCTCCTGCAGCGCCCCCAGGCTTGCTAGGATTAGGAAATTCCAGCCTGGCGAATTCTAGTCAGACCGGTTCTCTGATCTTGAACCCTGTTAAGATGTTTGTCAATGACAATGCATACACAGCAGGACATGCAACTTCATTAGTAATTCTAGTTTTGCCCTGACCTTGTGATCTCACCCTGACCTTCTGCCTTGTGATCTTTTGCTGCCCTTGAAGCATGTTGTCTCTGCGACCCACATCTTATTCATACACTCCCTCCCCTTTGAAAATTACTAATAAAAACTTGCTGGTTTTATGGTTCGGGGGCATCACAGAACCTGCCAACAAGTGATGTCTTCCCTGGACACCCAGCTTTAAAATTTATCTCTTTTGTACTCTTTCTCTTTGTTTCTCAGACCGGCTGACACTTAGGGAAAATAGAAAAGAACCTACGTTGAAATATCAGGGGCTGGTTCCCCTGATACTAGACTGCTTCTTTAAGTGGGTCCCCAATTCTGTTCCTCCTGGCTGGGTGAGACCTCCCAACTGGGGTCTCCAGTCACAGCCTACAGGTGTGTTCAAGCCAGCGGCAGGTCTGCACCTCCCCTGCAATGGAGCTTCCAGGGAAAGAGGTGGGCTGTTATCTTTGTTGTTTCACAGCACTCACTGGCAAACCCTCCAGATACTGAAAAATCCGAGATGACTAGAGACTGGGGCAGATGCCCAACAAACTGCAGCAGCCCTGCACAAAATGGCCAAACAGTTAAAAGGAAAACAAGCAAACAAACAAAAAACCCCATTCAAAGGTCAGCAACCTGAATGATTAAAGGTAGATAAGCACACAAAGGAGAGAAAGGATCAGCAGAAAAATACTAAAAACTCAAAAAGCCAGAGTTCTCTCCCTCCTCCAAATGACCACATTACTTCTCCAGCAAGAGTTCAGAATGGGGCTGAGGCTGAGATTGCTGAAATAACAAAAGTAGACCCCAGAATGTGGATAAAAATAAACTTCGCTGATGTAAAGGAGCATGTTCCAACTCAATGCAAGAAAGTTAAAAATTACAGTATAACATTGTAGGAGCTGACAAACAAATTGGCCAAGATGGAGAAGAATCTAAGCAACTGAATAGAGCTTAGAATTCAAGCTCTGTCTGCAGTGAAGCTCTATCTGTATTTCTGAAATAAGACAGGCAGACAAAAATAGAAAAAGAAAAGAATGAAAGAAAAAGAAAATAATGAAAAGGAATGAACAAAACTTCTGAGAAATATGGAATTGTATAAAGAGACAAAAATCTATAACTGATTAGTGTATCTGAAAGAGCTGTGGAGAATGGAACAAATTTGGAAAACATATTTCAGGATATCATCCATGAGAATGTCCTCAATCTTGCTGTACAGGCCAACATTAAAATTCAGCAAATGCAGAGAACCCCAGTAGGATACTCCATGAAAAGATCATGCTCAAGACATATAATCATCAGATTCTCCATAGTTGAAATGAAAAAAAAAGGGCAGCCAAAAAGAAAGGCCAGGTCACCTACAAAGGGATGCTCATCAGACTACCAGCAGACCTCTCAGTGAAAACCCTACAAGCCATGAAAGATTGGGGGCCAATATTTAACACTCTTAAAGAAAATAAATTGTAACCCAGAATTTTATATCTGGCCTACCAAGCCTAAGCTAGGGATAAATAAAATCCCTCTTAGACAAGCAAATGCTGAGGTAATTCATTACCACCAGATCTGCTTTTCAAGAGCTTTTGAAAGAAGCACTAATTTGGAAAGAAAAATTTATTACCAGCCACTACAAAAACACCTGAATGACACAGATCACTGACATTATGTCAACCACTTAAACAAGTCTGCAAAATGAAGAGCTAGCATCAAGATGACAGGATCAAATCTATATATAATAATACTAACCTTAAAAGTAAATAGGCTAAATGTCCCAATTACAGCACACAGAGTGGCAAGCCAAGACCCATTGGTATGCAGTCTTTAAAACATCCATCTCACATGCAATGACACACATAGGCTAAAAACAAAAGGATGGAGGAAATTTTACCAAGCAAATTGAAAACAGAAACAATCAGGGATTGCAATCCTAGTTTTCAACAAAACAGACTTTAAACCAACACAGATTAAAAAAAAGAGAGAGGCATCACATAATGGTAAAGGGTTCAATTCAACAAGAAGAACTAACTATCCTAAATACATATGCACCCAACATGAGAGTACCCAGATTCATATAACAAGTTCCTAGAGATCTTCAAAGAGACTTAGACACCCTCACTTTAATAGTGAGAGATTTTAACACACCACTGACAATATTAGACAGATCATTGAGACAGAAAATTAACAAAGATATTCAGGACCTGAACTTAGCTCTGGATAAAATGGATGTGATAGATATTTACAGAACTATCTACCCCAAATAGCAGAATACATTCTTCTCATCACCACATGGCACATTTGCTGAAATCAGCCACATAGTTGGAAGTAAAACACTCCTCAGCAAATACAAAGAACTAAAATTATAATAAATAGTGTCTCAGACTGCAGCACAATCAAATTAGAACTCAAGACTAATAAATTTACTGTAAACCATAAAATTACACGGAAATTGAAAAACCTGCTCCTGAATTAATTTTGAATAAATAATGAAATTAAGGCTAGTATCGAGAAGTTCTCTGAAACCAATGAGAACAAAGACAAAACATACCAGAATCTCTGGGACACAGCTAAGGCAGTATTAAGAGGAAAATTTATAGCACTAAATGCCCACATTAAAAAGCTAGAAAGATCCCAAGTTAAGAACTTAACAACACAACTAAAATAACTACAGAAAAAAGAGCAAAGAAATCCTAGAGCTACCAGAAGACAAGAAATAACTAAAATCAGAGTTGAACTCAAGGAAATAAAGACATGAGAAACCATTCAGAAGATCAACAAATTCAAGAGCTGATTTTTTTAAACCAATAAAGTAGATAGACCACTAGATAGACTAACAAGAAAGAAAAGATAAAAAATTCAAATAAACACAGTCAGAAATAATAGAGGTTACCACTGACTCCACAGAAATAAAAATAACTATTAGAGAATATTATAAACAACTCTATGCACATAAGCTGAAAATCCAGTAGAAATGGATAAATGTCTGGCCACACACACCCTTTCAAGACTAAACCAGGAATAAATTTAATCCCTGAAAAGACAAAAAACAGGCTCTGAAATTGAGGCAGTAATAAATAGCATAACCACAAAAAGCACAGGACCAGAAAGATTAATGGTTGAATCCTACCAGATTTACAAAGAACTGGAACAATTCCTACTAAAACTATTTCAAAAACTTGAAACAGAGGGTTTTCTCCCTAACTCTTTCTATGAGACAAGCATCATCCTGGTACCAAAACCCGGCAGAGACACAAGAAAAAAAGAAAACTTCAGGCCAATATTCCTGATGAACATTGATGCAAAAATTCTCAAAAAAGTACTGGCAAACCAAAACCAGCAGAATATCAAAAATCTTATCCACCACAATCAAGTAGGCTTCATCTGTGGGATGCAAGTTTGGTTCAACATCTACAAATCAATATGTGATTCATCACATAAACAGAACTAAAGAAAAAAATCCCACATGATTATCTCAATAGATGCAGAAAAATCTTTCAATAAAATTCAACATCCATTCATGTTAAAAACCCTCAATAAACTAAGTATTGAAAAAACATACCTCAAAATAATAAGAACCATATATGACAAACCCACAGCCAACATCATACTGAAAGGGCAAAAGCTGAAAGCATTCCCCTTTGAAACCCCTATAAGATAAGGATGCCCTCTTCCACCACTTCTATTTGAGATAGTATTGGAAGTTACTGGCCAGAGCAATCAGGCAAGAGAAAGAAATAAAAGGCATTCAAATTGAAAGAGAGGAAGTTAAACTACACCTGATGTTACATAACATGATCCTATATCCAGAAAATCCTATCGTCTCAGCCCCAAAGCTTCTTAAGCTGATAAACATCTTTAGCAAAGTCTCAAGATACAAAATCCATGTGCAAAAATCACTAGGATTCTTATACACCAACAACAGTCAAGCTGAGAGTAAAATCGTAAATGAACTCCCATTCACAATTGCCACAAAAGAATAAAATACCTAGGAATGCATCTAACAAGGGAAGTGAACATTTCTACAAGGAGAACTATAAACTCAGATAAATCAGATATGACATAAACAAATGGAAAAACATTTCATGCTTACAGATAGGAAGAATTCATATTGTTAAAATAGCCATGCTAACCCCCAAAATTTATAGAGTTAATACTATTCTCATTAAACTACCACTGACATTTTTCACAAAACTAGAAAAATCTATTTTAAAACTTATATGGAACCAAAAAATTGCCTGAATAGTCAAGACAATCCTAAGGAAAAAAGAACAAAGCTGGAGACATTATGCTCTCCAACTTCAAACTACACTACGGGGCTATAGTAACCAAAACAGCATGGTACTGGTACAAGAACAGACACATATACTAATGAAAAAGAATAAAGAATGCAGAAATAAGACTGCACAGCTACAACTATCTGATCTTTGACAAACCTGACAAAAACAAGCAATGGAAAATGACTACCTATTCAATAAATGGTGCTGGGATAACTGGCTAGCCATATGCAGAAAATTGAAACAGAACCCCTTCCTCCATCATCCTCAGCAAACTAACACAGGAACAGAAAACCAAACAGCACGTTCTCACTCATAAGTGGAAGTTGAACAATAAGAATACATGGACACTGGGGTGGGGGGAAAACAATACACACCGGGGGCTAGTCGGGGGTTGGGGGTGAGGGGAGGGAGAGCATTAGGACAAACAGCTAATGCATGCAGGGCTTGAAGCCTGGATGATGGGTTGATAAGTGCAGCAATTCACCATGGCACACATATACCTATGTAACAAACCTACACGTTCTGCACTTGTATCCCAGAAATTAAACTAAAATTAAAAAACAAAAAAGAAACTGAATTCCTTCCTTACACCCTATAGAAAAATTTACTCAAGATAGTTTAATGAGTTAAATGCAAAACCTAAAATTATAAAAATTTTAGAAGACAACCTAGGCAATACCATAGGCATGGGCAAATATTATATAATGAAGATGCCAAAGCAATTGCAACAAAGGAAACATTGACAGATGGGTTCTAATTAAACTAAAGAGCTTCTGCACAGCAAAAGAAACTATCAACAGAGTAAACAGACAATATACAGAATGGGAGAAAATTTTTGTGAACTATGCATCTGACAAAGATCTAATTTTCAGCATCTATAAGGGACTTAAATTTACAAGAAAAAAACAACCTTATTAAAAAGTGGGCAAAGGACATGAAGAGACACTTTTCAAAAGAAGACATACATGCAGCCAATAAAATTTCACCATCACTGATCATTAGGGAAATGCAAATCCAAACCACAATGAGATACCATTTTATAACAATCAAAATGGCTATTACTAAAAAGTCAAAAAATAACAGATGCTGGCAAAGTTGTGGCGAAAAAGGAACGTTTTTACCCTGTTGGTGGAAGTGTAAATGAGTTCAACCATTGTGGAAGACAGCGTGGTGATTCTTCAAAGATCTAAAGACAAAAATACCATTTGACCAAGCAATCTCATTACTGGGTATATACCCAAAGCAATATAAGTCATTCTATTATAAAGACACATGCACACACAAATTCATTGGAGCCCTATTCATAATAGCAAAGACATCAAATCAACCCACATGTTCATCTGTAATAGACTGGATGAAGAAAATGTAGTACATATACACCATGGAGTACTATGTAGCCATAAAAAAGAACAAGATCATATCCTTTGAAGGGACGTGAATGGAGCTGGAGACCATTATCCTTAGCAAATAAACACATGAACAGGAAACCCAACACCACATGTTCTCACTTATAAGTGGGAGCTAGATGATGGGAGAACACAGACACATAGAAGGGAGCAGCATGCACTGGGGCCTATCAGGAGGTGGAGGGTGGGAGGAGGAAGAGAAACAGAAAAAATAACTGATGGTTAGTAGGCTTAATGCCTGGGTGATAAAATAATGTGTACAAACAACCTTTATGACACGTTTAACACACACATTTAAGTTACGTGTCAGGTGGCACAGACGTGTCACACGTGTCACTCACATGTCGGTGAAGTGTCTCACATGTCACACATGTGTCAGTCATATGTCACACGTCAGTCACTTGTTAGTCACGTGTCATACATGCATCACCCATGTATTATTCACGTGTCTGTCACATGTTGGTAATGCGTGTTACACAAGACTGTCATGTGACTCGCATGTGACATGACTGACATGTGTGATGTGCGTGACACATGGGTGATACGTGACTGACATATGTGTGAATGGGCTTGACAAGTGACAGACACGTGACTGGTATGTGACTGACGTGTGTGAATCGTGACAGACGTGACAAACACGTGACTGACACGTGATAGATGTGTGTGACATGTGACTTAGACGTGTGACACATGACTGATACGTGACTGACACCTGTGAGACAAGTGACTGACACATGATCAACACATAAATGATATGTGACACATGACTGACACGTGACTGAGACCTGTGTGACACGTGACACTTGTGTGACACCTGATAGGCACATGTGTGAAACCTGATTGACGCGTGTGACACCTGTGTGACACGTGACTGAAATGTGTGTGACACCTGACATGACTTACAGGTGTGTGACACCTCTGTGACATGTGACCAATATGTGTGTGACACATGATGGACATGTGTGTGACACGTGTTTGACTCGACCAAATTTTTTCACACCTGGCTGACACTGTGCGAAACCTGACGGACATGAATGAGACATGTGTGTGACATATGACTGACACGTGTGTGACATGTGACCAACACGTGGGTCACAAGTAATTGACGTGGTGGACACGTGTATAACGTGACATGTGACTGACAGGTTTGTGATGTGACCAACACGTGACTGACATGTGTGACATGTGATTGATGTGACACGTGGCTGACATGTGTGACACGTGACTGACACATGACTGACGCGTCTTTTAAAAGTAACTGACGTAATAGACATATGACTTACACATGTGACACGTGAAAAATTAACACGACTGACACGTTTGCGACATGTGACTGAAACGTGATGGATACATGTGTGACCCCTGACTGAAGTGACACACATTTGTGACACGTGACTGATACGTGACATGAGTGACACTTGTGTGACATGTGACCAACGTGTGTAACACAGGATGGACATGTGTGATACACGTGTTTGACTCTTGACCAAATTGTGTCACACCTGACTGACACTTGTGTGAAACCTGACATGAGTGAGACACATGGCACATGACTTACAAGTGTGTGCATGTGATCAACGTGTAACTGACATGTGTGACATGTGATAGACAAATGTGTGACATGTGTCTGACTTGTGTGACACGTGACCAACGTTACTGACACATGTTTGACATGTGACTTGAGATGTGACTGATGTGTGTGACATGTGACTTACACCTGACTGACACGTGTGTGACACATGACTGTGTGACACTCAACTGACATGGGTGTGACACATTAGTGACAACCAGTTTTTAAGTTTACATGTGATTGCCATTTTATATACTCACCACTTCTTGCATCTTAGAAAGACCATTAAAGCATATATTCTAAGTTTTTATTTAGTTAGTTATTTTTATAGAGACAGGGCCTCTCTATGTTGCCCAGGCTGGTGTCGAACTCCTGATTTTGTTTTTAAATTTAACTTTCATTTTAAGAAATTCTATTTTTCCAAAATCTACCTGTTTATTCCTAATAGTACCTTACTGCTTCTTCAGCTTAGTTATTATCTTTTGTTCTATAATCTGTATCTAACAATTGCAATATCTTTTTCCTTAGGTAGCTAGAACTCTTTTGTATTTCCTGGTTCCTAGTTGACCCTTTCTTATAATGTCTTACCTTCTTGTGTAATTTTAATTGTGAGCTCATTATTGATCTTAAACTGTGGGGGTCCCATGGATCTAAATTTGGGAAACTTTTCTCTGGAGTGGATATGATTATCCTTCTGCATGTGGTCATTGGACACTATTCTCTCAGAACAATTCAGCCCATTGGATCTCAGGTGAAAGAATGCCAGGCTCAAACTTTTCTACTTGCACTGGCCAAGGCTTAGTATCCCGATCACAGTGCTGCTGCAGCTATCTTCTCTAGTGGGGATGCTATAAATCCTGGATGTCCATCGCTCAGGCCCACGTTCCCAGTTCCTTTGTATAATCTATTGGCTAATCTACCAACATGTTTTGGTTTTTATTCTATTGTGTTTTTCATTTCTGTATGCTCTATGTGCTTCTTTTTCAAATCTGTTTATTTCCTTTCAAACTTTTCTTTTTAAAGATAAATAAAACATTTTCAATTGTTCCCCTTTCCCTTTCTTTCCCCAGGCCCCTGACATTTATTACGGCAGCTTTTTAACCAGTCTCCCTATTTATATGTTCAAGGAATGACCAGTGGAAAATAAGATAGGTAAGATAGGTTGTGGTTAGATTAGGGAGGGCTTTAAATGCAGGTTTTAAGAGGTTGGCCTTTACTCTAGAAGCAAAGAGGAGCTATTGACTCTTGTTGAGCTGAAGAGTCATATAACCAGAGCTATGTTTTTAGGACATTTGTTCTGGGTAAGATAATTTGGAGAGGGGTAACCGCTTTCTTTCATACATCATGTATAAAGAGTTTTAAACTACTTAAACATCCATATTTCATTGATTCTCAAATGCATATTTTCCTTACATGTTTGAAATTGGGATGAGCCTTACAATCACTATCACCCTTGCTGCATTCGTGATGTAGTTGTCATGTGCACATGAGTAAACTTAATCCAAATATCCTCTGGGACGTTCTGGTAAGATCAAGAAAGCACTAACATCCAGATTTGCAGAATAAGTCTGAACAGCTTGGAAGATAATTCTAGAGAAAATAGTAAAGCATTCCTTTAGCCTCCTCAATGCTCTTGATGGGACAGAGGATGATACCATGTGGAAAATCACAGAACTCAATGGCTATGAGTCAAAAAGACTCAAGGAAGTTGGACTTAATGAAAAGGAGTTTTAGAAATATAATAACTTTATTTTGCTTTGTCTATGTCTAAAGTCTAAAATAACTCTTTCATTAAATATAGAATAAAAATTCTGTGTGAATAGAAAGCATTGAGTGTTTGTTTCATTGGCAGTCTTTATCTTTTCTTAGTGTTACATAAAGGTAAAATGTGTCTTATAATCATGGATGTCCTAGATTCTCTGAAATTTAGTACTTGCTATTCTTTTTTTTTTTTTTTTTTGAGATGGAGTCTTGCTCTGTTGCCTAGGCTGGAGAGCAGTGGTGCTATCTTTGCTCACTGCAAGCTCCGCCTCCCAGGTTCACACCTTTCTCCTGCCTCAGCCTCCTGAGTAGCTGAGACTACAGGCACCTGCCACCATGCCCGGCTAATTTTTTGTATTTTAAGTAGAGATGGGGTTTCACTGTTTTAGCCAGGATAGTCTCAATCTCCTAACCTCATATTCCGGCCAACTTGGCCTCCCAAAGTGCTGAGATTACAGGCATGAGCCACTGCACCTGTCTGTACTTGCTATTCTTATATACTCCTCAGTGAACTTTCCATGCAGTGGGCCATGGAGTTCAAGACCAGCCTGGCAACACGGTGAAACCCTGTCTCTACCAAAAACACAAAAATTAGCCGAGTGTGGTGGTGGGCACCTGTAATCCCAGCTACTCGGGAGACTGAGGCAGGAGAATCGCTTGAACTCAGGAGGTGGAGATTGCAGTGAGCTGAGATTGTGCCACTGCACTCCAGCCTGGGTGACAGAGTTAGGTTCTGTCTCAAAAAAAAAAAAAAAAAGTTGAAGGGGTTGAAATTATTTGGTTTGGGGCCTGCCCATCTCTCACATGATCTCTCATCACTTCCTGCTTTGCACTTTGTTACAGGAATACTGAAATGCTTGTAGCATTTTACATCCCTTCCAATCTTTCTGTGGTATTTCTCACCATCATGCCTATGTATCATGGTATCACTCTACTCATAGCACCTCTTTCCCCACATATCCATCCTTTACTAAGAGTCAGCACTGCCTGGGCTCTTACTTGCTATCCAGCTCCATGTTAAATATCTTAAATCCAGTAGTTTATTTAATGCTCACAGCAACCTTCTAAGGTGGATACTGTTACCCTCATTTTACATATGAGTGAACTGAGGCTTAGAGAAAGTATGGTAACTTGCTTAAGGCTGCACAGCTAATAAGGGGAACCAGGATTTAAATTATGATATTTCTGATTTCAGAGTCTAACTTCTAATGTTAGTCTGGGTCCTCTGAGAAGCAGAAAGCAAAAAGGAATTAAATGTTCAAGGATTTCAGTAGGGGAAACATCGATATGAGAGCAAATGGTGGGGGGAGCCAGAGAAGGCAGAGACAGCCATTAGACTGATGTAAATCTGACACCCCTGGTGAAGCGGGAAGGAAGAAATGGTGGGTGGGAGCATCCTAGCCTGCCACACAGTCAAAGAAAGGTTTGGTAAGGTTAAGTCCTTGAGCCAAACTCTGCATCTCCCCACAATAGTACTGCCTTAGTATCCCTGCTCTGCTCAGTCCCTTGGCTAGAAGCAGCCCACGGGAAGTGTGGCATTGTGCAAAAACAGTGATGAATTTCAGACCACAGCAGTTGGGGCTCTTGATCAATGATGCTCCTGTAATTTAGTGGTTCTCAACCAGCCGGTTTTTCCCCGCAGGGGACAGTTGGCAACAGCTGGAGACATTTTTGCTTGGCACAGGTAGGGGAAGGATGGCTCCTGGCATCCAATGAGTAGAGGCCAGGGATACAATGAGTATCCCTGGCATCCGATGAGTAGAATTGTATCCTACAATGCACAGGCCAGCTCCCCACATCAAAGAATAATCTTGTCCAAAGTGTCAATAGCGACAAGGTTGAGAAACCCTGCCACAGTTGGAGGCTTGCATGGTGTGTTCTCAGGGCCACTGTAGTTCTCCACCTCTCTGTCATATTGCCTCTACCAGTAAGCTTTCCCTGCCTTTCTCCTTTACACTCATTCCAAATTAGATGTCCTTCCTCTCTTGCCTTCATAGCACTCTGCATACCTCCATCATAGCACTTATCAAACTGCATTATTGCATATTGACTTGTCTGTCTCCCTCTAAGGATTGTGAGAACCTTAAAGGCAGGAGCTTTGTCTTACTTTCCTTTGTATCCTTTGCACCCACCATAGGTGCTGGCACCTAGTAAATGCTTATTAAATGAATGAAAGTGAGAGAAGACTCTGAAACAGTTTAGCACCTTTCTACACTAGTGGCTCCGATGACCCTCTGCTTAATGTCTACCAGTAGGGAAAATTCCCTACTGACGTTTTCACTTGAAAGTCCCATAGTAGCTGAAACTCAGCATGTTCCTTACAAAATGTGTGCTTCTCTTCAATTCTGTGGAGACTTGCCATGTTCTCTTTATCTGTGAGTGGCCCCATAATTTATCCTATTATTGAAACTAGAGGCCAGGCACAGTGGCTCATGTCTGTAATCCCAGCACTTTGGAATGCCGAGGTGGGAGGGTCACTCAAGCTCAGGCGCTCAAGACCAGCCTGGCCAACATAGTGAGAGCCCTGGTTTTTTCAAAAAATTTTTAAATAAATTATCTGGGTGTAGTAGTGCACACTTGTGGTCCTAGCTACTCAGGAGGCTGAGGTGGGAGGATAGCTTGAGCCCAGGAGTTCAAGGCTGCAGGGAGCCATGATTACACTTCTGCACTCCAGCCTGGGTGACAGAGTGACACCCTGTCTCAAAAAAAAAAAAAAAAAGACTCAAGCCTGTAATCCCAGCACTTTGGGAGGTCAAGGCAGGTGGATCACCTGAGGTCAGGAGTTTGAAACCAGCCTGGCCAACATGGTGAAACCCCATCTCTACTAAAAATACCAAAAACAATTAGCCGGGCATGGTGGTGCCTGCCTGTAATCCCATGTAATCCCAGCTGCTTGGGAGGCTGAGGCAGGACAATCGCTTGAACCCAGGAGGTGGAAGTTGCAGTGAGCCGAGATCGCACCACTGCACTCCAGCCTGGACAACAAGAGTGAAACTCCATCTCAAAAAAAAAAAATAGAAAAGAAAAGAAATTACAAACCTGAGAGTCACACTTTTTTCCGTATTCCCTAATATCTTTAAATCACTAACTTGTAAGCATTTGGTTTTTCCTAATATCTCTTAAACCTTCTTCCTTCACTCCATTCCCACTGTCATTGCCTTAACACTGCATCTCATTGCTTCTCTTGTAGATGATTTCAAGAGTCTCCTAGCTCATCACCCTGTTTCTAGTCTCGCTACACAACCCCTTCAAACTTATACTCTGCACCGCTGCCAGAGTGATATTCCTAACACATATCTGAGTATATTATCCTCTTGCTTGAAATCCTTCAAGGGGTCCTTGTGATCTTTAGGATAAAGTCCAAACTTCTTATCACAGCACACATGACTCCCATGACCTGGACCCTGACTGGCTTTCCAACCTTATTTTTCATCACTTTCTCACACATATCTTTGGCTCTATTTCTCAACTGGGGGCAATTTTGTCCCCTAGGGAACATCTTGCAATGCTGGTGGTATTTTTGGTTGTCACAACTCAGAGAAGTAAGGTGCTACTGACATTTAGTGAGTAGAATTCAGGTATACTGATGGTAAACATGCTGCAGTACACAGGACAGCCTCCCACAACAAAGAATTATCCAGCCCCAAATATCAGCAATAACTGTATTAATACTTTGTATTAATACAAAGCATTAATACTTTGTATTAATTAATAAACTATTAATTAACAATTAATAAATGATTAATTAATAATTAATAAACAATTAATTAATAATTAAATAAAATACTGTAATAATACTTTGGAAGCATGCTGCTTTTACTTGTGTGTGTCCAAAATGTGCTTGGAATGCCTTTCTCCCCCTTTTGCATTAGGCTCACTCCCACTTGCCCTTCAAAACAACATTAAATTCTCACCTCTTTTGGGAAGCCTTCCCTGACCTCCCATCATAAATTAGATGTCCCTCCTTTGTCTCTTATGGCCCTCAGTGCCTGCCCTCCCATAACAATTATTAGATAGCGTTGTAATTATTGTAATTATTTTATTGTCTCTTCCCTGGAGAGACTGAATTCCTTGACAGCAGATATCACAGTTTATTCATCATTGTATCCCCTGTATGTGGCACATGGTACATGTTTCAATAAATGTTTGTTACATGAATGGCCACAGAACCCATACAAATGACTGCTTAGATCCCAAAGAGTAGAATTTGTTGCTTGTCATCACCTTCACCACTGGTGTGTCTTTAAAATGATGCCTAAAATATTTACGGTGTTGCCGGGCTAACACCTGTAATTCCAGCACTTTGAGAGGCGGAGGCAGGCAGATTGCTTGAGGTCAGGAGCTGGGGCAACAGTAGAATAATGAAAAGCTCACTAATGCAGAAACAGTTAAGGTTCATAGAAACAGTTAACATTAACTTTGGCACTGTGTGTCAAGCGAGGCCTAGGCCTGTTATCTCCTTCCCAAGAGTCTCTCAAACTCAACTGTAACACTAAGGTAACCAAATGCAAAGAGGTAAATCTCTACATTTTAAAAAGTGTTCTAATGATATTTATTCTACCTAATTGAATCGCTTTAGGCTGAACCAATGCTAGGAAAAGACTCATTTAGACTGCGATTGGAAAAAATGTTATGAGAAAGATAAACTTTTAAACTTCAGTATGAGAGACCATGCGAGGACAGTATCCTCCAGATGCCCAGAGAAATTTCCGATTGAGATAACATCAGGAGGCTGGGCGCAGTGGCTCAAGCCTGTAATCTCAGCATTTTGGGAGGCCGAGGTGGGTGGATTATCTGAGGTTAGGAGTTTGAGACCAGCCTGGCCAACATGGTGAAACCCCATCTCTACTAAAAATATGAAAATTAGCCAGGTGTGGTGGCATGTGCCTGTAATCTTAGCTACTTGGGAGGCTGAGACTGGAGAATCACTTGAACCTGGGAGTCGGAGGTTGCAGTGAGCCGAGATCGCCCCATTGCACTCCAGCCTGGAGAATAAGAGCAAAACTTAGTCTCAAAAAAAAAAAAAAAAAAAAAAAAAGGAGATAACATCGGGAGATTTTATGGAGTCTCTGGGCAGCAGAGGAAACCTCCCATTTCATTGATCTATTAATTTAACAAGTATTTATTGAGCACCAACTAAACACCAAGCACCTGGGTACTAGACATGCAGCACTGGGGAGGAGAGGAGCAGACAAAAATCTCCAATTTAATGGAGATACTGTTGGGTGCACATTTGGTGAACAAAAGTAAACTGCTCTGCATATGTGTGGGAGTGCCTACTCTGTTCATGTTCAGCTCCCCAAGGAAGATCTGGCAAGTAGAGATGCTGGGTGCCTTCCAGATTCTGTAACTTGTGGGGAGCTACGCTAGATGGATATATCAAATCACGATGAAACTGCTTTGACCCTTAGGAGCAGTTTGAGTTTTCCCCCAAACACCTTTCAGGACTTAGTGGCTGTAAATGGAATCATTCTGGTTCTCAGGAACCATAATTAAGCTCCTCTGGTTGCATGTTCAAATCTTGAGGATGCCCCTTGGGCATTTGGAGAGCATTTACCACACTCAGCAGCCTCTGCAACCGAAGCCAAAGTGGCAGCAGGAGGGTATTCCATAAAAGCAGCTCTCTTCCTAAAGTCTGTTATTAGAATATGTTAACTACGTCCTCTTTGCATCTGATACATGGCAATTCAAGGGTGACAGAGGCAGAATGGAAAAGGGACCCATAAAAATGTTCTGCTATCTGTAAAGTTAATAAGTTGGTCTTTATTCTCACTTGTCCCCTGGAAATCAGGTTTTTTTCTGCCTGAGTATTAGATACTTATGGAAGCCACACTATTCTCAGAGTGAGATATTATATGCAAACCACTTACTACAGTTACTGGCAAATCATAAGAATTCAACAAGTGACAGCTATCATCATCAACATTATCATCCTTATACCAGCACTTCACCATCTTACAGAGAAAAAGGCACTATAGAAGAAAACATTTTGGATTGAGATTTAGAAGTTCAGGTCTGTAATCTGGTTTTGTGAGTAATTAGTCATGGGATCTGTGGGAGCTCACTTAATTTTCAGACTGGGATGACTCATGTGGCATGATAACGAGCTGAGTCTTTGGCAGTATGAGTTAAGGAGGAGGGTGGAAGTGGAAAGAATCATGAGTAGGGCAGATTGGGGTTAGGAAGTAAATCATCCCATTGCATAGTGTTACTGGATGTTCAGAGCCACTCTTCAGCCTGCCCTGTGCCACTGCAGGCTGATCTATATGGATACGTTAATGGGCTCCCTTGCTTCCTGACCCCTGATTATGTTTGGCACCAAATGGAGATCAGCGGGTAGGAGGAGAATGAAGTTGGGGTGTTTATTCCCCAGGCTCTTTCTTGATGGGCCAAGTATTGGCAGTGGCTGCGTCCCTCTACTGAAGATCACAGCTCTTATAAAGCCACCCTCTTCATACTGTTCCCTCTTCTTGGCCCTCCAGGCCTAGAGGGGTAATGGCTCCCTGCTGTTACTATCTCTAAGGTACCACCCCATCTCTTGTGGGGTTCCTATCCTCTACCCACACTTTTCTAAATAGCCTCTTTTTGAAATGCTCCCCAGATTACTCAGTTTGAGTGTGCCATCTGTTTCCTGTCCAGACCTTGATGGATAAACCTAGGTGTTTTTAAACTATATCCCAAGCCCCTAGCACAGTGCTTGGTACATGGTAGGTACGCAGTAAAGATAAGTTAGATCAATATATTAATGAACTTTGATTAGGATAGTGGAGTGGTCCAAAGGACATAGGTAACTCAGGTATAAGTCTGAGTATCATTAGTTCTAGGAGGACCAGTCTGGTAGATGGATCCAGCTTTCAGAAGAAAGCTGGAAAAAATTGAGTAAGTATAGTATTTAGGATCCTAGTCGCAGACTGGGGTTCAAGCAGGGCCCAATTATGTGTATTTAAGGCCAGAAAAAGCAGCAACGCAGAGTTCAACTTAACCATTGGGGTTTTGAGGGGAAAAGAGTATCCTGACTGGTCAACTTAATGTCTGGGATCTATGGTGAAGGGACGACAGAGTCTAATTCACTAGGCTAGCATAGTTTGAGGACTCTAAAGTATTCATTCATGTAAGATATTTATTGAGTTCTTTGTTCTGATTTTGGCACTCATCAAACAATCTTCAGGACCTCACTCAGTTTCCATCATCTTCCTTCTTGGGGAAAGAAAGCACAAAGTAGCCAACAGCTCTCTTTTTCAGTATAAAACAATGAGGGGCTGTGAGTGTAGGTGTTAAGGACATTGGCATTAGAATCAGACAGACTTTATTATAAGAATCCCAACTTGACCAGCTTGGGCAAGTCATAACCTTTCAGAGCCTCTGTTTATTTAAAAACTGAAGGTGGTAATACTACTTTACTCACAGTGTTGCCATGAGTGTTAAATGAGATAATTCATGTAAAGTACTTAGAACGTCTCTTGGCATATACTAAATACATAGTAAATCAATTTTAGTTTATTTTTATTTATTTATTTATTTTTGAGACAAGGTCTTGCTCTGCCGTCCAGGCTGGAGCGCAGTGGCGCAATCACGGCTCACTGCAGCCTTGACCTCCCGGGCTCAAGCAATCTTCCCACCTCAGCCTTTCAGGTAGCTGAACTACAGGCGTGTGCCACCAGGCTTTGCTAATTTTTGCATTTTTGGTAGAGATGCAGTTTCACCATGTTGCTTAGGCTGGTCTCAAACTTCTGGGCTCAAGTGATCTGCCTGCTTCTGCCTCCCAAAGTGCTAGGATTACAGGTGTGAACTACCATGCCCAGCCCCTAGTTTATCATTTATATTAATATGTGTCTTTTTGATTTATCATGGGTCAATCCCCTGAATCTGATTAGCCCTACAGCAACACATAAAATTAAATTTCTAAATGTGCAAAACTGAGAAGGAGCCCCACCACCTGTGGCAGCATCTTCATGGTGCTACTGCAGTCTTTCCCTGCCATATTCCTGGGCCAATCACTAGCACTGGCCAGTGGAGAGCAGTTATCTATCCCCTGGGCTTCCCCAAGCCTTTGGTTCATGCTTCTGTAACAGTGCTTATCACTTTTTATGTGTCCGTTTTACCTACTGGGCAGGGCTAGGCACAAGAATAAGGGCTCAGAAATGCTTGAAATTTTTTTAAAATAAATTTTCATTTGCACACATCTTCCTAGGTCCTCAGCTTCTTCTGAATAATAAGCTGGGCACTTCAGTCAGGATGTTGGGGCACCTGCTTTTCTCCTCTTATTCTGATCCCTATTTCTTCCATCCCCAGACACCTGCCCCCTGCACTGAACAAGTGTTGGAAAGCAAATATGGCAGAAATAAATACCAGTCAAGCAGTGCCTACACTGCAGGGAGCCCATAAAAGGAGAAGGCCCCTCTAAACTGGAAGATATGTTTATTTTACAATTAGCAAAAGGTCAGTAGGCCTGGTATAGAATCCAAGTGTTACTCTGCTGTGTTAGCAAGAATTGTGGGGTTGGGAAGTTACTGCTGGGGATTTGGAATTTTTATTATTAATTCCAGGAAACCAGTGGTTTCTGAGTAATACATGAATCACAGAAAAGTAGTCTGCCATCCTTTGACAAAAAGCTCCTTTTTGGTGACATAACAAGGTCAATAGGTCATGGGAGCTCTTCTGGGTTACCTTAAAATGACCCCTTTTGAGGATGTAACAGATTATTAATTAAGAGCCATATCAAGGAGCTATGGCTAGGCGGGGGCAAGCCTTCAATCTTTGATTTAGAAGCTGGGAATTTTCAGTTCTCTTTAGTCTGCAGAACCCTAAATTGGCCTTACAAAACTCTAATAGGAATATTTGTTTAGCTGTTGCTCTTTTCATCACAAGGAATCATGGGATATCATCCATTCCAGAAAGTTTATTGAGCACCTATTATGTACCAGGTATTGAGCTAGGGTGGATACATACAAATCAAAAAGACCCTGTCCTCAAAGTACTTAAACTCTAGTGGGGCACACAGACATGAAAACAAAAGGATACAATCAATTGTCACAGGTGACATGATGGAGTATGTTCGGCATATTGAGACCTAAAGACTGGAGTAGCCCACTGTAGCCAGGGAAAGAGTGAGGAACAGGAAAGCCTTCATAAAGGAGGTGGCCCATTTCAACTGTACAAATAAAAAGAACCATTTCAGTAAGAAAAATGCCTCCCTAAGATACACTCACACTTGTTTTGGCCACAGCATCTTTGATTCTGCATTTATTTGAGCCCTCTTCTACTGAGTTAGATCTACTTGTACTTTGAAAATTAGTTTTGAAGTCTTAGTTGTAAGATTGTGCATCTCAAATTCATTGAATTTGCCTTTGAAGCGAAAATGCCAATGCTCTTCTATCCCTCAGTTAATGCATATATTTGGTTGCTTGACAACGGAACATTTCTGTACTGCCTGTGTCATCTCAGACTGGAAACTTCTTGGAAGGGGAATCCCTTTGTTTTTATAAACAGCCTGGTAAGCTTTGAAAGCTTATTTCAGGAGGTGCATGGTGGGAGGTGAGGGATTAGAAAGTATTTGGGCTGCAAAGCTCACTTCAGAATATCTTCCTCCTAGCTCCAAACTGCCTCAGACTCTCAGTCACATTTTTTACCTGTTGCGAGCCAGGGATGTTCATATCACCACAGCCTTGACATTCCCTCTCTATTGATGAGAATGAGAACCAGAGCAGTATCTCTGTTCCTATTTTCATTCCTGGGTCTCTCAAAAGTTTTCTCAATAGCAAGTCACCATTCCTGTGATGAAGAAAGCAAATGCAACTATGAATCAATATGTATATAGGAAGCCAAAGACCTTTTATAGTTTCTGAACCTAGCTTGATATCTTTCTGGGAAACTAACTGTTCCACACAAACTGGAACGCTTGGCGTGATGGGCTTCTACAGGCTTTACAGCTGAAGTGCTCTTTATCTGATTCAAAAAACTAGATTATCATTTAAATATTCTCTTTCCACATGTCCCTCAAATTGATCATAGCTATATTTTCTTAAGCATGTGGCTTATAGCTTGATGATCTTGGAAAATATTCAAAAGTAGCACATAACAGGTATTGTAACCAAGGGAGGTTTCAAAGAGAGTGACTGGTCAGAGCATCTTCTAGGATACTTCCTTTTTAAAAAAAAGTTTTGGAAAAAACTTAATTCACAAATAAAAAATGTATGTATTCAAGGTGTACAATGTGAGGATTTGATACACATTTACATTGTGTACTGACTACTGAAGTCAAATTAACACATCCATCACCACCAGTAATTGTCATTCTGTGTGGGGAGGTGGGGTGAGGACACTTAAAATCTGCTCTTTTACCAAATTTCAAGTAAACAGTTCAGTGTATTATTAACTGCAGTTACCACGCTGTATGTTAGATCCCCAGAACTTATTCATTTCATAACTGAAGGTTTGTACCCTTTGAACAACATCTCCCCATTTCCCCAAACCCCAGCCTCTGGCAATCATTGTTCTACTCTCTGCTTCCATGAGTTCAACTGTTTTAGATTCCACATATAAATGCCATCATACAGTATTTGTCTTTCTGTGTCTGGCTTATTTCCTTTGACATAATGTCCTCCAGGTTCATCCATGCTGTGGCAAATGACAGGATCTCCTTTTTTAAGGCTGAATAATATTTCATTGTATATATATATATAATATATATTAATTATAATTATATATTATATTAATATGTTATAAAATATAATATATAATATAATATATATAATATATTATATATATGTCAGATTTTCTTTATCCATTCATCCTTCAATGCATGTTTAGGTTGTTTTCGCATTTTGGCTGTTTTGTATAATGCTGCATGAACATGGGTTTGCTAATATTTCTTTGAGATACTGATTTCATTTCTAGGATCCTTCTAAGCCATCCCACTGGTGAGTATTTGTGCTTCCTGTACATGCTGAATGTAAACTAATTTATTTTATTTTATTTTTTTAAGATGGAGTCTCGCTCTGTCGCCCAGGCTGGAGTGCAGTGGCGCGATCTCGGCTCACTGAAATCTCCACCTCCCGGGTTCACACCATTCTCCTGCCTCAGCCTCCCCAGTAGCTGGGACTACAGGTGCCTGCCACCAAGCCTGGCTAATTTTTTGTATTTTTAGCAGAGATGGGGTTTCACCGTGTTAGCCAGGATGGTCTCGATCTCCTGACCTCGTGATCTGCCTGCCTCAGCCTCCCAAAGTGCTGGGATTACAGGCATGAGCCACCGCGCCCGGCCAAGCTAATTTAATTTTACATTAGCCTAATAATGACTTTCATGAAAATGAAAGAGAGTCAGTCTAAGGAAAACAAAGCTGTTGAGCACTAAGCAAGAAAGTCAGCATCCATTCTTGTTGCAATTTAACTTTGTAGTGAAAACGAAGGTAAATAATCAATAGAGAGAAATTGTCACCTATTGATCCTAATAATAAGATGTCAAGTGATGTGTTTCAGATAGAGAGACAGAGAGAGAGGCAGAGAGAGAAAGAGATCCCCTCTTTGTGTTTACCATTTGCAAACTACTTGAAAATCTGTCTCAGCAAAATCTCATCTATTTGGACTAATGGGGGTTGGGGGCAGGCAGACCAATGTGAATTAGTGACAGGTTGGAATTCTAGAATGTTTTAAAACATGACCTTTCATTAGTTGAAGTCTATGTGTACCATAACTCAAACTAACTGCACACAGTGGTTCCCAAGAGAGATCCTCAGAGATTGGCTTTCATGAATAGATAAGACCCATTGGTTACTAGCAGTATTCATTGACTCATAAACAATGTGCTAAAGTCCTTAGAAACAGTTTGTTTCTTTAAGATGAAAAGGCCTTTGTGATGTGATTTAAAGAATCCTGCCCAGCAAACTTTACCCTCATGGAGAATGCAAAGATCTCTCTCTCTAGAATCTCACACACACAGTTGGCAGCACCTGAGGGATTGAGGTGTGACTGTACTGATGCGATAAGGTAAAGGGGGTTCACCCTGCTGTCTCTGTTAAGAGATGCATAGAATGTAAAGTTGGGAGAAACATCCTATCCCCACCTCAGCCTCTGCTGGTGTACTTCTGGCAGCAGGAATGGAGACCATTACCTCTGGAGGCTGGTCAGTACTAATGTTTGGAAATGGTTTTCCTTGACTCTCCATTATTTGATGGGCCAACAGGTCCTCTAAGTCTGTGAGTGTGGACTTGATACATCAATATCCCTTGCCTCTCCAGCCTCCTCCACATGGGTGTGAAAGGGGGAAGTTGATCTTGGTTGCCCACCCGTCTCCTTTCTTCTCCCATTGCTTCCTCTCTCATCTTGGACCCCTATAATAAAAAAAAAATGGGAGGCCAACTGTTAGCTAGAAAATAATCTTGCCCCTTTCTGGTTTCTTTGTCTACTCCTAAGGAATTGCAGAATTTCCTAATCCTTAAAGAGTCAAAAGAAAGAGCTAAAATTTCAGAACATATGACAAGCAATGGAGTTGATATATTTTTGAGAAATGGATCACCAGTAGTATTTAGTCAAGTCACACTGTGTGGACAGCCTGCCCTCCCTCCATCCTAAAATGCACTCATCTTTGCTCTGTTGGGTAATGTAAATATTCAGCTTCCTCTCCGTATCTAGGCTGAATGTTTGTCTTCTCTTGTCCGTATGGCCTTGACATGCCTGGCCACATCATGAAGGGTCTGTATTACAATGTAAACTCCAGCAAAGGGTTCGTGTTTGTTAATCTTTGTACAATTCTAAAAAAAAGAATGTTTAATAAGTGGCTTTAAAAATTTTCTAATTGTGGCAAAATACACATAACATAAAATTTATCATCACAACCATTTCTAAGTGTACAGTTTAGTAATGAGAAGTATATTCACATTATTGTGGAACCAATCTACAAAACTGTTTCATCTTGCAAAACTGAAACTCTATACTCATTTCACAGTAACTCCCCATTCCTTCCTCCCCCCAGTCCCTGGCAACCCCAATTCTACTTTCTATCTCTATGAATTTGACTACTCTAGATAACTCATATAAGTGGAGTCATATAGAATTTGTCTTTTTGTGACTGGCTTATTACACTTAGCATAATGTTCTCCAGGTTCATCCATGTTGTAGCATGTGTCAGAATTTCCTTCCTTTTTAAGGCTGGATAATATTTCATTTTATGTATATACCATATTTTGTTTCTTCATTCATCTGCTGATGGACATTTGGGTTGCTTCCACTTTTTGGCTACTGTGGATAATGCTGCTATGAACATTGACATAGGAATATTTATCTGTTTGATTTTATGCTTTCAACTCTCTTGGGAATATACCTAGTAGTGAAATGGCTGGATTATAGGTTAATCCTATTTTTATTTTTAGTAGAGACAAGGTCTTGCTATGTTGCCCAGGCTGGTCTTGAACTTGTAGGCTCATTATTCTATTTTTAATTATTTGAGGATAATGATGTTTTTCAATGAGACTGAGAAGGAGAAACATAAGCTATATGCATTATTATATTAGAGTGTCTCCCATTTCCCCACATATCTACTGAGTACCTATTATGTGCTTAGTGCTGTTTCTAGTAGGATTTGGGACCCTATGGTTCCTTCTTTTCTGTCACTAGAATATGACCTCCATGGGGGTAGGGATTTTTGTCTATTTATTTCTTCTTTACTGATGCATGGCCAGGACCTAGGATAGTGTCCAACATTCATTCATTCCTTTGTTCAGCAAATACTTATTGAGTACCTAGTATGTACCACATGCAAAACGATTATGAAAGTGATTATGAAAGTCAATTAAGAAACCAATATTTCTTTTCTGCTTGGCTAATGGGCAGAGTTGATGAAAGGAAGCAACAGGTCTTTCTGATCACTTTGTGCTCCATCAGCTAAATGTTAATGACCCCTTTACTTGCAAAGGAGGGATAGGGTTAAATTTAGGACTGTGTAGGGTCCAGCCCCACAGGATTGGTGGGTTTTCTCCCCATGTGCAGAGACAAGAGAGTGTAGAAATAAAGACACAAGACAAAGAGATAAAAGAAAAGCCAGTTGGGCCCAGGGGACCACTATTACCAAGACGCAGAGACCAGTAGTGGCCCCAAATACCAGGCTGCATTGATATTTATTGGATACAAAACAAAGGGGCAGGGTAAGGAGTGTGAGCCATCTCCAATGATAGGTAAGGTCACGTGGGTCACATGTCCACTAGACAGGGGGCCCTTCCCTGCCTGGCAGCTGAGGTAGAGAGAGAGATGGAGAGAGAGAGACAGCTTATGCCATTATTTCTGCATATCAGAGACTTTTAGTACTTTCACTAATTTTGCTACTGTTATCTAAAAGACAGAGCCAGGTGTACAGGATGGAACATGAAGGCAGACTAGGAGTGTGACCACTGAAGCACAGCATCACAGGGAGTCAGTTAGGCCTCTGGATAACTGTGGGTGGGCCTGACTGATGTCAGGCCCTCCACAAGAGGTGGAAGAGTAGAGTCTTCTCTAAACTCCCCCGGGGAAAGGGAGACTCCCTTTCCCGCTCTGCTAAGTAGCAGGTGTTTTTCCTTGACACTGATGCTACCGCTTGACCACAGTCCACTTGGCAATGGGCGTCTTCCCAGACGCTGGTGTTACTGCTAGACCAAGGAGCCCTCTGGTGGCCCTGTCCGGGCATAACAGAAGGCTCGCACTCATCTTCTGCTCACTTCTCACTATGTCCCCTCAGCTCCTATCTCTGTACGGCCTGGTTTTTCCTAGGTTATGACTGTAGAGTGAGGATTATTATAATATTGGAATAAAGAGTAATTGCTACAAACTAATGATTAATGATATTCATATATAATTATATCTAACATCTATAACTAGTATAACTATTCTTATTTTATATATTTTATTATACTGGAACAGCTTGTGCCCTTGGTCTCTTGCCTTGGCACCTGGGTGGCTTGCTGCCCACAGGACTGGAAGAGAGCAACTCAGCTAGAAGAGAAGATCAGTGGAGGCAAAAGCCTTTTCCAACTGATCCCGGATGGACAACTGCTCATTCACCAATACTGAAGCCATTTTTGAATTCAGAGGAGAGCAGAAAGTGGTGCCTGATTAGCAGCAACTTCAAATTAGAAGACTGAACAAACTCACCTAAATCTTACCTGGTACCCAGTCAATCCCGCTTAGTTCATTCAATAAGGTGATATTTAAAGAATATTCCCAGAGCTCTCTGGAGTTCACAAAATGGTGCATTCAGTTAACAACATCCATTTAAGTCTCCTCCTTTAAACTGCCATGAGATATGCTATTGGAGAAATTCAGCAGGTTAAGGGGCTGGCAGGAACTATCTAGGATTCCTTCCAGTTAGGCCCTCAAAGGCATTTTGCAGTCCCACGCTGGCCCCCAATATGCCAGTGTGGGACTGCATGCTGTGAACATATGAAAAGCCCTTCTGTGAGCCCCAGAGATTGTTTTTCTCTCCCTTCTGTGAGCCCCAGAGATTGTTCATGTCTATCTTTCTACTTTAAAACCACTGCCACGTACCATTTCTTAGGGTCCTTTTCATCTCCAGACTGGCCTATGTGGTAGGACGTAAACTTGCCAGCTACCCTCTCCTCACTGTCCTCCCAAGTAACACTGATACCATGGAGAAAACAAAGTTACAAATATGGGAAATAGTTATACAGACTTGAGACATTTCACAAAAGTTCCTGTAATCAATGTCCGTGCTTCTTTTGATTGAAGGTACTCTGAAGCTTCAGTGGTCTGCTCTATGCTATCTGTGAGAGTGGTGCTCTTTATTGCTTATAGGCTAAGGCTACACTAATTAGCCTGCCATTCAAGGCCCTCTCCAAGCAGACTATGGTCTACCATTCCATTATTACCTCCTACTCATCTTCCAGTCCACACAAACTGTCTGCTCCCATCAAATGGCACACTAACTATTTTCTCCCAAACTATTTTCATTAATATTTCCTGGTCTTTGTTCACATTAATTCCCTCAAACTCTCTACCCTTTCTTTGGGGCCTGGAGCCCTACCTTTTGTGACCACCCCCGGCCCTTGGGGCAGAATTGCTCCCTCCTTGGAATTCTGATAATCTTTCTAGTCTGCACCACTTCTCTGGATTTGACATATTGGAGTATATGTGTGTGCGTGTGAGACTAAAAGCAGGCACATTTTTATATTTCTAGGGCTAACACAGTGCCACACACTGAGTAGGGACTCAGAAAGCATTTATTTTTTAATGATGATGTCATGTTCTTGAGGCCTATTCTTTCTTTCCCTAGGTAATGTTTACTAATGTGAATGAAGTGCTGCTGAGGCTTGCTCATGTTTTTTAAAAAGATGAAGATGGTGATGACTCAGTGGCAAGACCTTTTGGCAGAGAATTCATCTTGAAAATACTTGTACTATCCTAGCAACACATGTGTAACAAGGGGAAACTGTCAGAACAGCCCTAAGGTAAAAGCAGGGCAGATTGTAGGATTTTAATAGGTAGGATTCTCTTCTCTCCTCTCCTCTCCCCTCCTCCCCTCCCCTCTCCCTCCTCTCCTCCCCCCTCCCCCCTTCCCTTCTCTTCTCCTCTCCTCTCCCTGTCTCTCTCCCTCTCTCTTTCTTCCATCCTTCCTTTCTTTTTATTTATTTACTCTCTTTTTCTTTCTTTCCTTCTTTTCCATCCTCTCTCCTTCCCTCCCTCCTTTCCTTCCTTTCTTCCCTCCTTCTTCCCTCCCTTTCTTCTGTCAAAGTAATTAAACTTTGGAATGAGTTATGGAGGGAGATTATTGAGAAAATTTGAACAATTTACTCATTCATTCTAAGAAAAACTTGGAGACAAAGTAAAGGAAAGGGGAAAAGTTTAAGTAAGAGGGATTTGGCATTTATCCACAGAAAACAAAGGAAGGCAGATAAAACCTTCCTTCCTTCCTTTCTACCTTCCTTCCTTCCGTACTTTTTGGTCTCAACTCTGTGTGGCTTCCCCAGCAGGATGAAGAACGCTGTGGTGGGTGGGGCTACTTCTTCACTGTGTTGTAGAGCCATCAATCAGGCCAATAAAAATTTAAAAAGGCACAGATGGTTTTCTCTGTGAAGAAGTGGCTGAAACAGTTACTGAGTAACTATTTCTCTTAATGTGGATATACCTTCATTCCCCAATTGACCCAACCAGGCCAACAATTTTAGCTCTTAAATACTTTACCCAAAGCAGTGCTGGAGTGATGGGTGGGAAAAGACCTGTTATTGCCTCAGGAGTTGGAAAAAGACAGACTCCCACAAGTGGCAGGACAAGAGGTAAGGGAACAACCAAAAAAAAGTAGCAGAAAAAGTTACAAAAGGGAAACAAGGAAACAAAAATTGAAATGTTAAAGGGACACTAACTACATAGGAAGCAAGTGTGGAAATTTGTCTGTGATTAGATTCTTGGAGAAAAGTATAGACAATGTGGTATAAAATACTTTAGTCCCAGAAACACCGTTCTAGAGCTATTCATTTATAAAACAATTTTAGGTGTGTAAGACTAGAAATCTGGGCAGGGCGTGGTGGCTCACACCTGTAATCCCAGCACTGTGGGAGGCCAAGGTGGGTGGATCACGAGGTCAGGAGTTCAAGACCAGCCTGGCCAACATGGTGAAACCCCATCTCTACTAAAAATACAAAAATTAGCTGGGCGTAGTGGCAGGCTCCTGTAATCCCAGCTACTTGGGGAGGCTGAGGCAGGAGAATCACTTGAACCCAGGAAGTGGAGGTTGCAGGGAGCTGAGACTGTGCCATTGCACTCCAGCCTGGGTGAAAGAGCGAGACTCTGTCAAAAAAAAAAAAAAAAAAAAAAAAGACTAGAAATCTGTATTTTTTAAAAAATAGAGATGGGGTCTCACTCTGTTGTCCAGGCTGGTTTCAACTCCTGGCCTCAAGCAATCCTCCCACCTCAACCTCCCAAAGTTCTGGGATTACAGGCATGAGCCACCACACCCAGCTGAAATTTGTATTTTTAGTAAGTGCTTCTGCTGATTCTTAAGATCGAGTAAGTTTGGGAAGCACTAGCCTGTAACATAGTAGAAGGAGTTTCATTAAAGTGCAGAAACAGCAGCAAATAATTTGCTTGAAAGACAATTCATGAGACAGGAAGAAGAAGACGGGAGATAAAGATCAAACTTTGAAATAGGAGAATAAATAATTATATTTCTCTTTTGCACCTCTCGCTCCTGAAATAATTTAAAGTAGCAATGTTATAATATGAATAATGAACATATCTTGAGTGCTTACTGTTGGCTTGGCACTACACGTGCATTTTCTCATTTAACACTCACAACAACTCCATGACTACTATTGTGTTTTTCATTTTACAGATGAGGAAAATAAAAGGTTAAGATAGGAAAGGGCAGAGCTGGGAGCCAAGTGTTAAGTATTTTAGTCCCCAGAGTCTCTGCTCTTGCCTCACTATATTGCTTCCAAACATCAAAACAAACAGAAAACCAGAAAGCCCAGAAACAACAGGAAAGCCAAAAAGCACAACTAAGTGAAGAAACTTAGATGAAGGAAAAATAAAGGAAGACAAACAGGTGAAGCTGAGGTGAGGTCCCGTGCATTGATTAGAAGGGGGTGGGGACACACATTTGGCTGTGGGCTTTCCAACAGCCAAAGCAAAGAAGGAAGAGTGTCTTGATGCAGGGTAGTCACAAGATAAAAGCAAACCCTCTTTTTAGAAGAAACATAGCAATTTCTGGTAGCATTTTCTGGGAGAAATGACCCTTGTAATACTTCAAAAAGAGGAGAAATGATTCTATTGAAAGGATTTGAAAGGATTTTTTTTCAAAGAACTTTGCTGTTCATTAATTTTTTAAAAATTGGGTAAGCAAATGTTTTAAAAAGGAAATCATTTAAATATAGATGATAATATTATTCCCTTGTAAATATGTTTTACAGTTCACACTTTTATAATAAAATAACTGCATGTGGAGTTTTTGTCCTTGGAGATCTTAAAGAAAAGAGTGGCTATTCCTCTGGCTCAGATGCCCGAAGGCAAGGACAGGCTTAAGGGGGCTCCTTCCAACTCTGAGGCTGCGATTCTATACTTTGGGAGCTGTGCAAACACTTCTACCTGCGGCAGCTTAACTAGTCTCAAACCTAAAGACTCAGCCACAGCAATGGCAATGAAGGCTTCCATTGTGGAAATCCTTTCTGATAAAATAAGTGCTTAAAACACACACACACAGACAATAAAACAAAACCTCCTCAACACTTGGGATTAAGACACACTCAAGTAAGACATTTGCAGAAACAAAAGTTTTACTTAGTAAATGCTTGTAACTGGGGACGGAGAATCAGCACTTAGGCACCACTGATTTAACTCTGAGAGTGTTTGCTGAAGTCCTCTGTGTCTTAGACATCAAAGAAATATTTTCTAAGAGTGCCATCAGCACCACCTCAGGGGTGATGTTTTAAGTCTAATATGAAAAAAGAGAACTTTGCTGAAATTTCTTACATGATTAACACGGCTGAATGCCCTTTATGACAAAGCATGAGGAGCGCAAATAAAATTCTCTTCAGGAGGAGACCTTTTCCCTGTTTTTTTTCTTCTTAAATCATTTTTTAGTAATGTAGCACAAGAAAAGAATGTTCACATTTTGGGGTGGGAGAAGGAAGTCCAGAGAGGTATAGCTGTGCCGTTGAAACTGACCGAACTCATTACATATTGGGTCAAATGGCTCACAGGAGGCTTCCTTGCTGAATGTCATCCAAATGCAACCCATAAAAGGTGAGAATCAAGTTACCATCATTGTGTGCATTAGGAAATGTGGTGCAGCAATGGCTAATAAAAAAACATTGGTTCTTTATAGAGTCTGTTGGGATCTTTGGCCTTCTGGCTAGCATGGGGCATCCAGGAAGAAGGCACACAGGTGGCTTCTCTAAGAAAGAACTGGCTGGGCATGGTGGCTAATGTCTGTAATCCCAGCACTTTGGGGGGACAAGGTGGGTGGATCACCTTAGCACAGGAGTTTGAGACCAGCTTGGCCAACATGGTGAAACCCCGTCTCTACTAAAAATACAAAAATCAGCTGGGCATGTTGGCAGGCACCTGTATTCCCATGCACTTAGGAGGCTGAGGCAGGAGAATCACTTGAACCCAGGAGGCGGAGGTTGCAGTGAGCCGAGATCATGCCACCGCACTCCATCCTAGGTAACAGAGCGAGACCCTGTCTCAACAACAGAAAAAAAGAAAAAAAAAAAGAACTGAGGTGCTTGCCTCTGCAAAAAGGGGCAGAGTTATGTTGCTGTCAAGTGAAGGACTTCATCCTTGCCACAGAATGCGTCACCTTCTGGAGGGCTTGATGGACTGCTACCCGACCAGGTTTCCCCTTTATAAACAGAGTCCAGCCACCTTGGCCTTATCTCCTGGATTCTAAAATAGCTCATCAATTTAATAGCACTCAGGTTGTTTATGCACACACAAGACCCTTTGAAAATAACCATTTTCCTGTCACCAAACAGGCATTTTGAAATCAACTAATTGGATGGTTTTCTGAATTCAACTCATTGTTTTAAAAATAACTAGTTGTTCCACCCAATTACATTTTTTTTTTTTACCCCCAAGCCAATTGGTGTGTGTAGACAGAGTTTGAGTTGATCCAGGTGTCTGGCTGCATTTTTGACCTGAACTGATTGACTGCATGTTTTGTGGTCAGATATATACAGCTCTTGATAGCCACAGGGGAAAATGGAGTAGAAGGGAAGGAAGGTGTAGGAAAGTTAGGAGAAATTATATCAACAAAAGTTTCCATCTTGAGTGCTGTGGATCAAGCCATTTTCTGCAATCAATCCTCCCTCCCCCTCAAAACACATGCACGCACATGCGCACGCACACACACACACATGCACACACACACACACATAGTTAAGAAAACAAAAATAAAGTAATAACATCCCTCCCAGCTGGCTCTGCTCATGGCTGTGGGTCTTTTCTTTCTTTCTCTCCATGAATTTCATTACTGTTTGTGTGGCCTGTGGAGGGATTCTGGCAACTCAACTTCATAGGTTTCGCTACCACTTAAGCTGACTTTTCCTTCCTGTGGGGAGCTCTCCTTTGACGGGCTCAGTGTTCCTCTCAGTCTGCTAAAGGCAAGGCAGGAATGAGAGGGCTTCGGTCAGACCTGTACCCCGTAATTCCAAGCATGAGGCCTGACACTGACCCATGTAACCACTTTTCCTGAGGGAAGCTGGGAGTTTCCTGTTATGCGTGTAACCAGTTCTCTCCACCCAGACAATTACCGGTACATTTTGAGAAATTCAGAGTTTTGTACCATCTATAGTTTCCATAATTAGTTGTCAAATTCCACTGGCCTGAGGAAGTGCAATTCAGATGCTTTCAAAGGCTACTTCTTTCAGACTTATCATTTTGATTTCTTCATTTACCTTACTGATAACATGATGAAAGTAGAACAGAGACAGACTTTCCTTGAATGACTTATCCTTAGGTTTTTCACTTGTGAGCAAGAAAAGGTTCTCTAAACATTTACAATTGAACTGTAAGGGTGATCTTGAAGATGTCTTCTGCTTTTATTTTCACAAATTCTGAATGAACTGTATGACATAAACTCATTTTTCTACTGCCCACAGTACTTTTCTATCTGCAGTGCAAAGGTCACTGCAGTGAAGAGAAGAGCACAAGAAATATTCTGAAATTTGACCCATTTATATTGTTCTCAACTTTTCTCTCTCATCTAGTAAATCCCAAATTGGCATTTTTCATAACATATCATTTTTCCTGCCTGGCTCTTTAAGGTGAGTATTGATTCCCATAAGCCTTCCATAGACATCTGGATAACATTCAAAGTTTTTGCCTATGACATTTAGGTTTTAAAGCACTGCCACATGGCTTGTTGGGATTTTTTCTTTTCTTTTAGACTTGGGGTATGGTTCTGTCTTCATTGCTGACCAGCTATGTGACTTTGGTATTGCCACTTTATCTCTCTCAATCTCAGAGGGTTTCCTATGAATATTAAGGGGGTAATAATACTTGCTTGCCTGGTCTATCTGATAGGGCTGCTGGAAAGAACAATCAGATAAGGTATGAGGAAGTCCTTTGTGAGAAGTAGGAAGTTTTAAACAAATACAAGAGGTTCTGAAAGGAGACAATTTAACTGGGATTATTAGCTAGTCCTGGAAATATGGCTCTTCTTTCTCAGATTAAGAGGTTTGTTATCAGGTCCCCAAATTTTACTATGTGTTACCATTACTGTAATCCTTGTTTGTTGAATTGAAACACCCCAAAAGATCAAATTCTAAGGAAAAAATGCTATGAGTGGATATACTGACTAAGATTTGAGAATCAATAATATTAGTACAGGAATAAGGACATTTGGCAGGGTTGAATTTTTTTAATGTTAGTGATACTATGAATATGTTATAGTGCATCAGTATTATGAGTTCTGTTTGTAGCAAAACTAGGATGAGAAATAGAGATCTCTCGATTTCAGAATTGTGGCTGTTTCAGGTGTGAATACAATACAGCTCATAGGCTGGGCCAGGTGGCTCACACCTGTAATCCTAGAGCTTTTGGAGTCCGAGGTGGGTGGATTACTTGAGGTCAGGAGTTCAAAACCAGCCTGGCTTACATGGTGAAACCTGATCTCTACTGAAAAAAAAATAGCTAGGCATGTTTGTGGACACCTCTAATCCCAACTACTTGGGAGGCTGAGGCAGGAGAATCACTCAAACCCGGGAGGTGGAGGTTGCAGTGAGCTGAGATCACGCCATTGCACTCTGACCTGGGCAACAAGAGCAAAACTCCATCTCAAAAGAAAAAAAAAAACTGAACTGCTCATAGAACAATACTGTGCTGATCTTTTTATATTAATGAGAACTAAACCATTTTTTTTTGTGAAAATACACAGAAAAACAGTAGGTGATTCCATCCTTCATTCTTTGATGTTTCTCTTTAACTGGCTCATCCTTGAGTGGTGTAGGGCATTTGATAAGCCCCAGATGGTTTAGAAGCACACAGGTAATATATCTGCTTTTTATTATCATCTTGTCTAGCTGCTTGCATGTGATTAAATGACCTCTTTGCCATAAGACCAGTTACACCAAGGAAGATGAACTTTCTCTTCTATATGTGAGATAACTGTTTTCCCTCCACACCATAGAGTATTAGCTGAGAGACTGACATTGTTTCCATTTACTGGCCTTTTTCCTCTGAACAAGAGTCACTTCATTACCTAGTACCAAGCAGAAGAAAAGAAAGTAAATATGGCATGATATTTCCATAAGGTGACAAATTAGAAATGGTATGAATATATGTGAGTTTGATGGTGAAGTTGAAAACTGGGGTAGATCTGGCTGTAAGCTCAAGTTTGAAATCTTTTTTCAGAGGTGAATTTAAGCTCCTGTAGTTACATCCAGGAAATATGAACCATTACTAAGATCTGGGAATTGAGGGTAAGGCCAAAAGATAAAACAGGTCTGGAAATGTAATTGTAATTGGGGAGGCCAAATGACAGAGGTTAAGCCCTGAGAAATGGAAAGGCAAATTGGTGTCTGAGAATTCCTGGGCCTTTGGCAGGTCTCTTGCTGGATCCAGGCCAGCACTGAACACTTCTTAGCTCCCGTACTCTCCACACGGACTTGTTTTAAGGAGAAGCTGGAGGAAGACTAAGCAGGATCCAACACCGTGAAGTTAAAGGAGACCCTCTGAGGGCATATGCCTGCCTTCAAACTTACAAATCTGCAAACCTTTGGTAAGCTGGCACTCCCAAAAGCTGGCATTTGTGGCAAACCTGCCAATGAACTCACAACTAAAGACGCAAGATCTGTCATTTCTGATCACTCTGGAGGTTAAAAACAAACCTGGCTAAGGACCATGAGGATGAGAATTTTACCCTCATCACTGTATCACCAGTGCTTAGAACACAGTGACTGCTGAATAAATGTTAGTAATAAATGAAAGAGAAAGAAACAAGTAAATAAAGTAATGTTTGTTAAAACAAACAAAGCCAAATCTGGCTTTGATGGCCTTTAAAAGAAGTAGCCTTAAGGTTCAAACAATAATGTGAATACCTGCAACATGCCAGACACTTTACCTATATGATCTCTGGTCCCTTCAAAGATTTGGCAAGATTGTATTTTTCTTAGCATACAGAGAAGTTGTACAATGCATTGTAATATATGTGTAATATCACATGGGTCTATGTATCCATCCATTCACTGACCAAGATTAAGTTTAAAAAAATTGTGATAAGAACGCTTAACAAGAGATCCCCCCTCTTAACAAAATTTTAAGCATATTATACATTATCATTGACTATGGGTACAATGTTGTACCCATAGTACAAATTTATAGAGCCTATTCCTCTTGCTTGACTGAAACTTTATGTCCTATTCTTCCTTATCCCCAGTCCCTGGTAAACACTATTCTACTCTTTGTATCTATGTATTTGAACATTTTAGATACTTTTTGTAAGTGTAATTGTGCAGTACTTGTCCTTCTGTATCTGGCTTTTCTCACTTAGCATAATGTCCTCCAGGTTCATCCATGTTGTTAGAAATGGCAAGATTTCCTTCCTTTTGAAGGCCAAATAGCATTCCATTACATGTGGATACCTCATTGTCTTTTTAAAAAACTTTTATCAAAACTTCAGGGTTATATGTGCAGGATGTGCAGGTTTGTTACATAGGTAAATGTATGCCACGGGGGGCTGTTGTACAGATTATTTCATCATGCATGTATTAAGCCTAGTATCTATTAGTTATTTTTCCTGATCCTCTCCCTCCTCCTACCTTCCACCCTCCAATAGGCCCTAGTGTGTGTTGTTCCCCTCTATGTGTCTGTGTGTTCTCATCATTTAGCTCCCACTTATAAGGGAGAACATGTGGTATTTGGTTTTCTGTCACATTGTCTTTATCTATTCATCTGTCCATTGTCATTTAGGTTGTTTTCACTTCTTGGCTATTGCAGATACTGCTGCAGTGAACAGGAGAGTGCTAATATCTGTTTAGGATCCCGATTTCAATTCTTTTAATGAATACCCAGAAGTGGGATTGCTGGATCATATGATAGTTCCATTTTTAATTTTTTGAAGAGCCTCCATACTGTTTTCCATAGCAGTTGCACCATTTTATATTCCCATCAACAGTATACAAGTTTCCAGTTTCCACATCCTCACTAATACTTGTGGTCTTTTTGAAGGTTAACTTTTTAATCCTCATTGTAAGTGAAGGCTTAGACCGATAAGGCTACTTGCCCAACGTTATCTAGCTAACAAATAATAGAGTTGAAATTTGGACCTAGGACTATCTGACTGTGGAACTTATGTCCATTCCACAACACTGTCCAGCTCTCGTGATCACTGTGTTGCAGCATAAGTTAAAGCAAGTCATCTGGAGAGTGAGTTGAAATAGCTGTTATTGAAAATGATTGCTGTTTAACTGAGGTTAAACCAAACGAACGACCTAGGAAGGGCTACTTTAGCCTTTCATTCCAGAATTACAGTTTTTAAAAAGCAGACCAATGCAGGACAGCCTGTATCTGTATATGCTGAATCATACATTAAAGAGGAAGAGAAAACTTATTTCAGAGGATTTGTTGTTATTTTTTAAAAATCAAATTTCATGATGTGTAGTAGGCCCAATACAGACTCAAGCTCATTGTCTTACCATTTTTGTATATTTACAAAATCCTACAAAAATTGAATATGCTAAAACAGAGCATCAAGGATAGGTTATATTAGATTTCATATGCTTTGTTTACTAAGGCAGAGAAATAGGCAATACATTTTGGAAGGATTTCCATAGAAGGGACTGACACAGGTTTTCCAATAGGAAAAAATTAATAATAAATCTTCCTAAAACATTACTATAATCATTTCCAAACAATAAAATAATCAATTAGACCCCCATACAGTGAGATTTAGATAAATATAGTCTCTCACCTTTAGTATTTTATAATCTTGAAGAATCAATATCAAAGCCTTGGTTATTTAAAAATGTTAATGAATTAACTTTTAAAATCTCTGACTTAGATTTCTGGAGATAAAGAAAATATGATAGAGGTATGTCTGTTTATATCTCCACTCTTGCAAAATTGCTTACAACAAACATTACTATCTTGCTTATTAGGAGAAAATTTAATATTTTTTTGAGATGTCTCGCTCTGTCACCCAGGCTAGAGTGCAGTGGTACAATCTTGGCTCACTGCAATCTCTGATTCTTGGGTTCAAGTGATTCTTGGGCCTAAGCCTCCCAAGTAGCTGGGATTACAGGCACACGCCACCATGCCCAGATAATTTTTGTAGTTTTGTAGAGACAGGTTTCACAATGTTGGCCAGGCTGGTCTCAAACTCCTGACCTCAAGTAATCCACCCGCCTCAGCCTCCCAAAATGCTGGGATTACAGGCATGAGCCACCATGCCCAATCAGGAGAAAATTAAAGTTTATAATGTTATTATATGGTACTTTGATTAAGATGAGCACTGATCAATGACTAATATTTCTTGAGCATCTCCAATGGAGCCATTACTGGGGTCTGTGTCATGAGGAATACGTTTTGTCATGTCTTCAACAGTATGTATTGGGGGCCTACTGCATTCTAGGCAAAGTTCTGGAGGCTATATGCAGAAATATAAGATTCCTTCCCTCAAGGAGTTCACTGACATAGAAACACAGATGGTCAGAGGTAGAAGGAATTTTACAAAGTACGTAGTCCACCATTCTCAATTTACAGTTAAGGAGGCTGTAGTCCAGAAATGTTAAGTTACTGATCCAGAGTTGCAATGCTCAGAGTGGCAAAACAAGAACTAGAAATGAGTTCTTTGACTGCTGGTCTGCCATTCTTTTCATTATTCCAATCTACTTGGGAAGGTGGGATACTCCCACACGAAACAACTGCTAACTTCAAAACAATACCAGACAAAAAACTGCTAACAAAACATATGGTATTAACCATAAGTTTAACAGGAGTTACGGAAGAACTGGAGACATCCAACAGAGCATAAATCTTCTGAGTAATGACATGCAATGTATTTACGGCAGGGGAGACTTGCTATGCTTCTGACATGTTGTAAGGATGAATGAGATGAAGGCATTCCAAGGAAGCATTACTTCCTGCTGGATCTTATCATCTTGCTCCTAAAATGATATGCTTTGGTACACAGGCTAGTATCTCATTTACAACAGAAAACATGATATAAATTAGGAGGGAAATAATCGACAAAATAAAATACAAAGGCTATGGAATTTAACCTCTGTAATTTACACCAAGATCTTCTGAGATGCACGACCTCATGCAAGCCATAGTTACTCTCTTCTGAGTGTTTCTTCAATAAAAGTGAGCTGAAGAAGAAAAGCATTCTTACTTGATAATTTTCATAGCAGGACTACGTTAGCTAGAAATTTATCTTTAAATAAGCCACTTATTATTAGAAAGTTTTTATATGTTATTATCTTAATAGAAACTCTCCATAAATCAAGATGTGTGGATTTATTTTTGCAAAGAAAAGCATCACAGGGTTTCATTGAAAAACATTTACTAAGGGACTACTGCAGACCAAAGTACTATGCATATACTAGGGCAATGCTTCTCAAACTATCTATAGTAAAATCAGTTTATTTTATATTATTTTTATTTTCTATCTGACATAGAAAAACACTTTGGGAAAACATCATAAAAATGATTTACTGGAAAAACTGAAAAAGAAATACAAAATATAAGGCCGTTAAAAAAATTATTTGCCTCAGTAGTGTGGCCAATTCTTCATGTGCTTACAAGTGGCAGCAATATAAAAATGCTATAAAAGTTTCTAGGGGCCGGGTGCAGTAGCTCATTCCTGTAATCTCAGGACTTTGGGAGGTGGAGGTGGAAGGATCTCTTGAATCCAGGAGTTCGAGATCAGCCTGGGCAACATTGTGAGACCCTCATCTCCGCATAAAATAAAAAAAATAATTAGCCAGGCATAGTGGTGCGTGTTTGTGGTCCCAGCTACTTTGGGAAGGGTGCTGAGGTGGGAGGATTGCTTGAGTCCAGGAGGTCAAGGCTGCAGCAAGCCAGGATCACACCACTCCAGTACAACCTGGGCAAGACCCTCTCTCAAAAAAAAAAAAGTTTCTAAATGTTTACTTGGTAGCAGTCACAGATGCACAGACTGGTAGCAAACAGGGCACCGACCAGCACAGGTACACAGACTGCACTCTGAGTAGCACTGTACTACAGGGAGTACAGAAAAGAAGCATATGAATCCCTACTCATTTAAAGCTGTCAAGTTATTGTGGAGATACATATACAATGTGGTGAGTGTAGTGGTCACCCCAATATTGGTACCGCAAGTGAGGCAGCCCCTGGGCCTGGTTGGTAGGGTATGGTGTGGTTTGGACCTGCTCTCTCTTTCCTTTGACTGCAGGCCCCAACCAGACTGCCTCTCAAGAACACAGTTCTCACTTGGCGCGGTGGCTCACCCCTGTAACTCCAACACTTTGGGAGGCCGAGGTGGGTGGATCATAAGGTCAGAAGTTCAAGACCAGCCTGACCAACATGGTGAAACCCCGTCTTTACTAAAAATACAAAAATTTGCTGAGCATGGTGGTGCATGCCTGTAATCCCAGCTATTCAGGAAGCTGAGGGAGGAGAATTGCTTGAACCCAAGAGGTGGAGGTGACAGTGAGCTGAGATCGCACCACTGCACTTCAGCCTGGGTGACAGAGTGAGACTCCGTCTCAAAAAAAAAAAAAAAAAGCAGTTCCTGAGGGATAATCTTTATAGTAACTACAGAATTACAGGTGGTGCTGGCAATGGCATTTTCTTATGAGATGCTACTTTTGAAATTCCACAAGACTTAGGAGTGTCTGTAAGAGTTTGGGAAGGGGAAGGGAGAAGTTATCAAAAATATGAGTTGTTATCTGTGATGGTGGCTGTTGATTTCCCATCATATGTTGCTTGAAATTCAGGGAGCTCTGGTGATAGGAAAGGACCTTAATGGAAGCAAACACTTGGGGTGTCAACTGTTAAATGCTAGTTGGCTTACTGGGGACCCAGGGTCCAGAGCATAAAGACCCAGAAAAAAACTTAGTGAAATAAAGATTCTATACATCATACATCAAAATAGATATATTACGTTACCTGAACCACTGTGTTTTTTGTTCCAAAATCATTCAAAGCAAAACAAAGTATGTGTGAATTGCCATGTGGCACATAAAGCCATGTCTCAGGCATCACCGGCATTTGGATTTAAAGCTACCATGCTCTCAATCACCAAACTACAAATCCCTTACATTTTTATAGAAAATTAGATATCCTATGCAAGAGACACAAAATGTTAGATTTACATACAGTGTATCTGCCCACCCAAAAAGAAAAATCAATGGACTGGGTTTTGAAGAAATATGTTAGAAATCTAGGTCAATATCCCTTATACAAACAAACACAGAATAGAATAATTTTTTATTTGTGGTAACCAATATGATGCTACAAATAAAATTTTCAATAGTTTTTTCAAGCCTTGGACTCTGACTTACAAGAAGCTCAGTATATTTGGTGGATTTACTGAGGTCAAAGCATAGTCCCTGGTCTGAGGAGAGGCTACCCATCTACAACTCACAATGCAAGCATCTCAGCTGGCTCTATTAATTTTCCATACACACGGAGCCAAATTCTTCCTGGGATTATTATGCAATTTTCAAAATGGCTCTAAGTCTTTCAACTTACAAAGTTACTATTTATATTGCACTAGCCTGCTGGCTGGGATGAATAAATGAACACTTTTTCCCAAAGGACCATAATTCATTCTCTGGTCATAGCTTATATATTTGGGAGCACTGGGATCAGTGTGCCTGGTGCCTCCCCTCCCGTCTGCCCCACAAAGGAGTCATACACTGTAAGAGAAGGGGAGAGAAAGTGGCCGTGTGCCATAGAGTGCAGAGGTGTGGCCAGGGAGGTGTTGACTGTGAGCAGCACCAGTCTCACATATAAGCAACTGTCTACATGATGTGATTTCAGGTGCACCAAACAAGGCTTCATTGCCCCTCCATTTAAACACTCCCTTCCCACTGGTGGATGCCTGGAATGCCACAGTTTTTAGAGCTCTGTTCCTTTGGTTAAAAGTTTTGATCTTGTTAAAATACTCATACCCCTGGGTAGGCAGCCCCATTATAACCTATCAACCATATACACTGTAAGCAGATGAGTTTTAAAGTGTCTTCTGAAAGTAGGTTTTGAGAGTGTGGTTCAGGGCAGAAGATACTGTGTACCTAAGGGAGATAGGGAGAGGAGAACATCACCTGGGGGGCAAAGGAAACTGGGCCCAAGTCAAACAATATGTGTGTGTGTGTGTGTGTGTGTGTGTGTGTGGCTGTGTGCATGGCTGCGTATGAGCTCCTCCCATGGCAGCAGCTGTTGAACACCCTTTCTTAACCCTCTTCCAGAAAACTTGATTTTTGCTGCTTTTGGAGTCATAGAACCAGACTCTCCTCCCAGCCACAGCAAGATAATAGCTGCTGGCTACAGATGTGAATTCTCGAATTCTTTCAAACTGCAGACTAGGAGTGAAAGGTGAAAAAAGTTCTTCTGGGCCTGCTGCGCTAGTTAGCCTTCCTCTGGGATCCAAAGAGAAAGATGGGGCCCAATGGTGCTACCTAAATGCTTCCAAATGGGCCTGAAAGCACAGAATCATAAATTGTCAAATGTGAACACTGGCTCAATCACCACATCCTTTTGTGTTTCTAGACTGATTGTTTCTTTTTGTGTCTCTACTAGCTGACGAGTAAGGATGAATCACTGGCCTTACTTCTAACACAAGGAAGGGAGCCTTGAAAGGTAAGACAGTTGTTTATGTACAGGAAGAAAAGAAAACCCAGTCTTAATTCACAGTCGCCAATATGGGCAGTATATAGTATGTAATGTAACAGATTGTATGCTTTGGTTAAGGATCTGGATTTTCATCAGTAAAATTCCAAGTTACTGGGTAGGCAGAGCAGACAGCTGCTCATGGCTTTCCTCAACCTCAGTTTAAATTCCACTATTAGAGTCATCGCTTAGGGACTGGGAGGTTAGAAAATCTTTGAGAGGCACTTATAAAAATGGAACCACTCCTTAAACCTAGCAAGTTTTATTAACTCCTACCTTAGGTTGGCTAAAAGCTCTGAAGCAGCTGCTCGGAGGGGCAGCAGAAGCCTTTAGGCCAAAGAAATATTTTTCAAAACCTCAGGGCCAGATTGCCTATGACATAGCCCAAATCCTAGTCATTCACATACCACCCCACACTTTCTGTTATATCTTCACATTCCCTTTACTATTAAATATTTTTTCTTCAAACCAGCTCCCATTTTAATTGAAATAAATTTATCATGGCACCAGCTACTTAGCTTTGTCCTAACAAAATCATGGGTTGGATGTACTAGTTACATATATTTTTTCTTATCCACCATTAAAATAAATATTTATTAAAATGAAAAGCAAAAACTTCATTGGTCCACTTCAGTGAACCCAGAGATTCACACACTTCACTATGGGAAGCACTGCCCTAGATCATACAAAGTGTATTAGATGTAAAAGCATATATTAAAAATAAGTCACAGTCTCCCTTTTCCAGGTACTCAATACCCAGTAGTTGAGAACAACTACTGTATCTGTAGTTAGTTGCATGAGCTCTGGAAGATCATGAATTTATGGGAGGTCATGTCTTCCTCTGTAAGGTCATGAAATTCAATCAATGCTTGCCTTCTAATCTGCCCTTTTGTCACAGGGCTCCACAGATGGAACATATCAAACTCACCAGCCAAATTATGACTCTTAATTGGTGTTTCTTTTTCTTTTTCTTTTTTTCCACCTTCCTGCATTTTTTATTTATTTATTTTATTTATTTATTTTTTAATTTCATTATAATTACACTTTAAATTTTAGGGTACATGTGCACAACGTGCAGGTTTGTTACATGTGTATACATGTGCCATGTTGGTGTGCTGCACCCATTAACTCGTCATTTAGCATTAGCTATATCTCCTAATGCTATCCCTTCCCACTCCCCCCACCCCACAACTGTCCCCGGTGTGTGATGTTCCCCTTCCTGTGTCCATGTGTTCTCATTGTTCAATTCCCACCTATGAGTGAGAACATGCGGTGTTTGTTTTTTTGTCCTTGTGATAGTTTGCTGAGAATGATGGTTTCCAGTTTCATCCATGTCCCTACAAGGGACATGAAATCCTTTTTTATGGCTGCATAGTATTCCATGGTGTATATGTGTCACATTTTCTTAATCCATTCTATCATTGTTGGACATTTGGGTTGGTTCCAAGTCTTTGCTATTGTGAATAGTGCCGCAATAAACATACGTGTGCATGTGTCTTTATAGCAGCATGATTTATAATCCTTTGGGTATATACCCAGTAATGGGATGGCTGGGTCAAATGGTACTTCTAGTTCTAGATCCCTGAGGAATTGCCACACCGACTTCCACAATGGTTGAACTAGTTTACAGTCCCACCAACAGTGTAAAACTGCTTCTATTTCTCCTCATCCTCACTGGCACCTGTTGTTTCCTGACTTTTTAATGATGGCCATTCTAACTGGTGTGAGATGGTATCTCATTGTGGTTTTGATTTGCATTTCTCTGATGGCCAGTGATGATGAGCATTTTTTCATGTGTTTTTTTGGCTGCATAAATGTCTCCTTTTGAGAAGTGTCTGTTCATATCCTTCGCCCACTTGTTGATGGGGTTGTTTGTTTTTTTCTTGTAAATTTGCTTGAGTTCATTGTAGATTCTGGATATTAGCCCTTTGTCAGATGAGTAGGTTGCAAAAATTTTCTCCCTTTCTGTAGGTTGCCTGTTCACTCTGATGGTAGTTTCTTTTGCTGTGCAGAAGCTCTTTAGTTTAATTAGATCCCATTTGTCAATTTGTCAATGGCTTTTGTTGCCATTGCTTTTGGTGTTTTAGATATGAAGTCCTTGCCCATGCCTATGTCCTGAATGGTATTGCCTAGGTCTTCTTCTAGGGTTTTTATGGTTTTAGGTCTAACATGTAAGTGTTTAATCCATCTTGAATTAATTTTTGTATAAGGTGTAAGGAAGGGATCCAGTTTCAGCTTTCTACTTATGGCTAGCCAGTTCTCCCAGCACCATTTATTAAATAGGGAATCCTTTCCCATTGCTTGTTTTTGTCACGTTTGTCAAAGATCAGATAGTTGTAGGTATGCAGCATTATTTCTGAGGGCTCTGTTCTGTTCCATTGATCTATATCTCTGTTTTGGTACCAGTACCATGCTGTTTTGGTTACTGTATCCTGGTAGTATAGTTTGAAGTCAGGTAGCAGGATGCCTCCAGCTTTGTTCTTTTGGCTTAGGATTGACTTGGCAATGCAGGCTCTTTTTTGGTTCCATATGAACTTTAAAGTAGTTTTTTCCAATTCTGTGAAGAAAGTCATTGGTAGCTTGATGGGGATGGCATTGAATCTATAAATTACCTTGGGCAGTATGGCCATTTTCACGATGTTGATTCTTCCTACCCATGAGCATGGAATGTTCTTCCATTTGTTTGTATCCTCTTTTATTTCATTGAGCAGTGGTTTGTAGTTCTCCTTGAAGAGGTCCTTCACATCCCTTGTAAGTTGGATTCCTGGGTATTGTATTCTCTTTGAAGCAATTGTGAATGGGAATTCACTCATGATTTGGCTCTCTGTTTGTCTGTTATTGGTGTATAAGAATGCTTGTGACTTTTGCACATGGATTTTGTATCCTGAGACTTTGCTGAAGTTGCTTATCAGCTTAAGGAGATTTTGGGCTGAGACAATGGGGTTTTCTAGACATACAATCATGTCATCTGCAAACAGGGACAATTTGACTTCCTCTTTTCCTAATTGAATGCCCTTTATTTCCTTCTCCTGCTGGATTGCCCTGGCCAGAACTTCCAACACTGTGTTGAATAGGAGTGGTGAGAGAGGGCATCCCTGTCTTGTGCCAGTTTTCAAAGGGAATGCTTCCAGTTTTTGTCCATTCAGTATGATATTGGCTGTGGGTTTGTCACAGATAGCTTTCATTATTTTGAGATACGTCCTATCAATACTTGATTTATTGGGAAGTTTTAGCATGAAGCGTTGTTGAATTTTGTCAAAGGCCTTTTCTGCATCTACTGAGATAATCATGTGGTTTTTGTCTTTGGTTCTGTTTATATGCTGGATTACGCTTATTGATTTTCATATGTTGAGCCAGCCTTGCCTCCCAGGGATGAAGCCCACTTGATCATGGTGGATAAGCTTTTTGATGTGTTGCTGGATTCGGTTTGCCAGTATTTTATTGAGGATTTTTGCATCAATGTTCATCAGGGATATTAGTCTAAAAGTCTATTTTTTTGTTGTGTCTCTGCCAGGCTTTGGTATCAGGATGATGCTGGCCTCATAAAATGAGTTAGGGAGGATTCCCTCTTTTTCTATTGATTGGAATAGTTTCAGAAGGAATGGTACCAGCTTCTCCTTGTACCTCTGGTAGAATTAGGCTGTGAATCCATCTGGTCCTGGACATTTTTTGGTTGGTAAGCTGTGAATTATTGCCTCAATTTCAGAGCCTGTTATTGGTCTATTCAGAGATTCAACTTCTTCCTGGTTTAGTCTTGGGAGGGTGTATGTGTTGAGGAATTTATCCATTTCTTCTAGATTTTCTAGTTTATTTGTGTAGAGGTGTTTGTAGTATTCTCTGACGGTAGTGTGTATTTCTGTGGGATCAGTGGTGATATCCCCTTTGTCATTTTTTATTGCATCTATTGATTCTTCTCTCTTTTCTTCTTTATTAGTCTTGTTAGCGGTCTATCAATTTTGTTGATCTTTTCAAAAAACCAGCTCCTGGATTCATTGATGTTTTGAAGGGTTTTTTGTGTCTATTTCCTTCAGTTCTGCTCTGATCTTAGTTATTTCTTGCCTTCTGCTAGCTTTTGAACGTGTTTGCTCTTGCTTCTCTAGCTGTTTTCATTGTGATGTTAGGGTGTCAATTTTAGATCTTTCCTGCTTTCTCTTGTGGGGGCATTCAGTGCTATAAATTTCCCTCTACACACTGCTTTGAATGTGTCCCAGAGATTCTGTTATGTTGTGTCTTTGTTCTCGCTGGTTTCAAAGAACATCTTTATTTGTGCCTTCATTTTGTTATGTACCCAGTAGTCATTCAGGAGCATGTTGTTCAGTTTCCATGTAGTTGAGCGGTTTTGAGTGAGTTTCTTAATGTTGAGTTTTAGTTTGATTGCACTGTGGTTTGAGAGACAGTTTGTTGTAATTTCAGTTCTTTTACATTTGCTGAGGAGTGCTTTGCTTCCAACTATGTGGTCAGTTTTGGAATAGGTGTGGTGTGGTGCTGAAAAGAATGTATATTCTGTTGATTTGGGGTGGAGAGTTCTGTAGATATCTATTAGGTCCACTTGGTGGAGAGCTGAGTTCAATTCCTGTATATTCTTGTTAACTTTCTGTCTTGTTCATCTGTCTAATGTTGACAGTGGGGTGTTAAAGTCTCCCATTATTATTGTGTGGGAATCTAAGTCTCTTTGTAGGTCACTAAGGACTTGCTTTATGAATCTGGGTGCTCCTGTATTGGGTGCATATGTATTTAAGATAGTTAGTTCTTCTTGTTGAATTGATCCCTTTTACCATTATGTAATGGCCTTCTTTGTCTCTTTTGACCTTTGTTGGTTTAAAGTCTGTTTTATCAGAAACTAGGATTGCCACCCATGCCTTTTTTTGTTTTCCATTTGCTTGGTAGATCTTCCTCCATCCCTTTATTTTGAGCCTATGTGCGTCTCTGCACGTGAGACAGGTTTCCTAAATACAGCACACTGATGGGTCTTGACTATCCAATTTGCCAGTCTGTGCCTTTTAATTGGAACATTTAGCCCACTTACATTTAAGCTTAGTATTGTTATGTGTGAATTTGATCCTGTCATTATGATGTTAGCTGGTTATTTTGCTCATTAGTTGATGCAGTTTCTTCCTAGCCTTGATGGTCTTTACAATTTGGCATGTTTTTGCAGTGACTGGTACCGGTTGTTCCTTTCCATGTTTAGTGCTTCCTTCAGGTGCTCTTGTAGGGCAGGCCTGGTGGTGACAAAATCTCTTAGCATTTGCTTGTCTGTAAAGTATTTTATTTCTCCTTCACTTATGAAGCTTAGTTTGGCTGGATATGAAATTCTGGGTTGAAAATTCTTTTCTTTAAGAATGTTGAATATTGTACCCTACTCTCTTCTGTCTTGTAGAGTTTCTGCCGAGAGATCAGCTGTTAGTCTGATGAGCTTCCCTTTGTGGGTAACCCGAGCTTTCTCTCTGGCTGCCCTTAACATTTTTTCCTTCATTTCAACTTTGATGAATCTGACAATTATGTGTCTTGGAGTTGCTCTCTCAAGGATTATCTTTGTGGCATTCTCTGTATTTCCTGAATTTGGATATTTGCCTGCCTTGCTAGATTGGGGAAGTTCTCCTGTATAATATCCTGCAGAGTGTTTTCCAACTTGGTTCCATTCTCCCCGTCACTGTCAGGTACACCAATCAGACGTAGATTTGGTCTTTTCATATAGTCCCATTTTTCTTGGAGGTTTTGTTCATTTCTTTTTATTCTTTTTTCTCTAAACTTCTCTTCACGCTTCATTTCATTCCTTTCGTCTTCCATTGCTGATACCCTTACTTCCAGTTGATCGCATCAGCTACTGAGGCTTGTGCATTCATCAAGTAGTTCTCGTGCTGTGATTTTCAGCTCTGTCAGGTCCTTTAAGGACTTCTCTGCATTGATTATTCTAGTTAGCCATTTGTCTAATTTTTTTTCAAGTTTTTCAACTTCTTTGCCATGGGTTCGAACTTCCTCCTTTAGCTCGGAGTAGTTTGATAATCTGAAGCCTTCTTCTCTCAACTTGTCAATGTCATTCTCCATCCAGCTTTATTCTGTTGCTGGTGAGGAGCTGTGTTCCTTTGGAGGAGGAGAGTTGCTCTGATTTTTAGAGTGTCCTGTTTTTCTGCTCTGTTTTCCCCCCATCTGTGTGGTTTTATCTACCTTTGGTCTTTGATGATAGTGACCTACAGATGGGTTTTTGGTGTGGATATCCTTTCTGTGTGTTAGTTTTCCTTCTAACAGTCAGGAACCTCAGCTGCAGGTCTGTTGGATTTTGCTGGAGGTCGCTCCAGACCCTGTTTGCCTGGGTATCAGCAGCGGTGGCTGCAGAACAGTGGATATTGGTGAGCAGCAAATGCTGCTGCCTGATCATTCCTCTGGAAGTTTTGTCTCAGAGGAGTACCCGGCCATGTGAGGTGTCAGTCTGCCCCTACTGGGGTGTCCCTCCCATTTAGGCTACTTGGGGGTCAGGGACCCACTTGAGGAGGCAGTCTGCCCATTCTCAGATCTCAAGCTGTATTCTGGGAGAACCACCGCTCTCTTCAAAGCTGTCAGACAGGGACATTGAAGTCTGCAGAGGTTATTGCTGTCTTTTGTTTGTCTGTGCCCTGCCCCCAGAGGTGGAGTCTACAGAGGCAGGCAGGTGTCCTTGAGCTGTGGTGGGCTCCACCCAGTTCGAGCTTCCTGGCCACTTTGTTTACCTACTCAAGCCTCGGCAATGGCGGGCACCTGTCCCCCAGCCTCGCTGCCACCTTGCCGTTTGATCTCAGACTGCTGTGCTAGCAATGAGCAAGGCTCCATGGGCGTAGGGCCCTCCGAGCCAGTTGCAGGATATAATCTCCTGGTGTGACATTTGTTAAGCCCATTGGAAAAGTGCAATATTAGGGTGGGAGTAACCCGATTTTCCAGGTGTCATCTGTCACCCCTTCTTTGACTAGGAAAGGGAAATCCCTGACCCCTTGCACTTCCCAGGTGACGCGATGCCTTGCCCTGCTTCGGCTCATGCTAGGTTCGCTGCACCCACTGTCCTGCACCCACTGTCCAGCACTCCCCAGTGAAATGAACCCGGTACCTCAGTTGGAAATGTAGAAATCACCCGTCTTCTGTGTCACTCATGCTCTGAAGTTCATGTTTCTAATGGTAACTTCCCTACTAGACTGTGATCGTCTTGAAGATATTATTATTATTTTGTATCCCAGTGTCTAGCACAGTAGAGGATACAAATAATGGGTACTCAATATATATTTATAGACTAAATGAATGAATGAACAGAGTTAGAAATGTATTGCAAACATAATATTTTCATAAAGCCAATATTTAAGTAGTTGATTTATTTTTACCAATGTACTAAGGTTTCTAAAGAAGTAACCAGTTTTTTAAGGTCAAAAAACCATTTGTTTTTTATAGGTAAGTGATAAAGGATATTGGTTTAATTCATTTGGCTCTACCATAACTCTCTGGAAGAAGTAGACTAGTCAAATCTTATAAGATGTGAGTATTTGGTGCTTGCTTATAAGATATTATAATTTCAAGATAAATTAAAGATATATTGTACATGTATATATAAATGCATATGTTTATCTTCGCCTGACATACCTGTGGTATTGTTTGTGAAAATAATGCAACTTGGTGCCAGTTATGGGAACATACACTGAATGTATGTAAGTTTTTCTTCAGTGTTTGGTGTTTCTTACCTAAGACATCAAGTTTCATAAATGTACATTTAAACGGACATAATCCAGGCTGGGCATGGTGGCTCACACCAAGGCAGGTGGATTGCTTGAGCCCAGGAGTTCGAGACCAGCCTGGCCAACATGACAAAACCCCATCTCTACTAAAAATATAAAAATTAGCTGGACATGGTGGTACATGCCTGTAATCCCAGCTACTCAGGAGGCTGAGGAAGGAGAATTGCTTGAATCCCAGAGGCAGAGGTGTGGTGAGGTGAGATTGCTCCACTGCACTCTAGCCTGGGCAACACAGGAAGACTCCATCTCAAAAAAAAAAAAAAAAGACATAATCCAAAGTGGATTTTCAAACATGGAAATTTCATTTGCGTAGGATAAAGGGCCTCATGAAAGTTCTCTTAATTTCTGTCTGCATTAGGCCAAACTTTCAAGTAGTTGCCTAGGTCAACTAATTGAAAGTTGAAGGAAAAGTTCTTCCAAATAGAGGCCTAAGTAGGAAAAAGGATAAAAAAGAAAGGGATGACGTTCATTGGAAAACAAAAATCAGAATTCTATTTGCATACTCTTCTCCTTAATTACGGCTCTGCTGCCTGTCTTCCAAACCCTGCATATCAGTACTTACAGTGTGTATCACGTGACCCTGGGATTCTTCATTGCTCTTTGTCAAATTTTGTTTTGAGTGATTGAAGCTGATGGAAACGTGGTGAAGAGAGGAAGAGTTAGGGTGACAGATATAGGGAGGTGATTAAAAGCCTTCACTTGGTATATATTAGAAAGTTAACTGGCACATGACAGATGCAAAGGATTGGAAAATATTTGAATACAGAAATTTGCATGTGTGCAGAGATAATATAGAAGGGTGTCCCAATTGCACTGGGTTCAGAGAAATACTTTATCTGTACTTGTCACTTAGTATCCACGTTTTTTGAAATACGTAGCTTATTCATGGCCTCTTCCAGACTCTATGCTTACTGAATGCAGGAGCCATGTTTGATTCATCGTGATATCCTCTAGAGTGGTGAGTAGAGTGCCGTGTACAGAGGTTTTAATGGAATTAATTAGTTTGAATGAATGTAAGACTAAACCCCTAAAGACATAGTCTAGAGAACTTGACCACTGTCCAGTGAGATCCTGGGGTGGCATATCGCTGAAGAACATTGATTCTCTGAATGTATCATTGTCTAAACTGATTGGCAGCAAAGAATGAAGAAGGGGTGGTGAATTTGAAGTATATTTATTTATTCTCTGTGGCCCTGGGAGCCTTGTTGCCCCTCTTTTATTTTTTTCATTATTGTTTTTGAGACATGAGTCTCTTTTTTTGAGACAGAGTCTCACTCTGTTGCCCGGGCTGGAGTGTGGTGGCACAATCTCAACTCACTCCAACCTCTGCCTCCCAGGTTCAAGAGATTTTACTGCCTCAGCCTCCTGAGTAGCTGAGATTACAGGCACTCACCACCACACCCAGCTTATTTTTGTATTTTTAGTAGAGATGGCGTTTTGCCATGTTGGCCAGGCTGATCTTGAACTCCTGACCTCAGGTGATCCACCTGCCTCAGCCTCCTCCCAAAGTGCTGGGATTACAGGTGTGAGCCAATTTTGTGCCCTGCGAGTTGCCCCTCTTTTAAAACTGAAGATTGAAGAGGAGGTGACAAGTAAAGAAATATTTTTTAAACTATAACTTTACCTAGTGTGGTGTTTGTATATGTTTTATATATTTACATACATAGATTTTATGTATGTATATAAAGATTTCATTATTTAGACAGCAATAATTAATAAATATTTCTGTTATTTAATATTTGAAAATTAATTGTTACTCTAAACAGTAGGTGGTCTTTCACAATCATACTTTACATTTGTCTCATGAAAGCCTTGTTTTCATATATCTCATGTACACACAAGGAAACCGCTCATAAAGTGTCTGTCACTTCTGACTTCCAGCAACCTGCCTGGTTCCAGCACACATACACACACATATTTGTACACTCATACATACACACATATAATATCCCTACATCTTTATGCCTTTAATAATCTAGAGACTAAGCCTAATTTATGCTTGGGGAGATCTAGTGGGTACAGTTTTCTGCGATTGAAAAAGCCATTTTCAGCAGGATTAGCCTGAGACTGTTGCAGAGCTAATTGTCACTGATCTCATAGAGCTACCACTCTTAAAATCAAGTTCCATCATTTCCCCAAGTACACAGATGTTATCCTTGTTAAGTAGTGACAGTCACCAGTAATGTGAATTTGGCCCACTTTGGAGAACTACTTCTAGCACTGGCAGCTTTACATGTTGAGCACCATAGAAATGAGAATGTGACCCAAGAAGCAGTTTCCAGGTTAGGTTTCATGGAGTGATGGCACTGAGGACCACAGTTATCTGTTTTGGAAAACAGATGGAAATTTGCAGAAAACAAACTCACTAATAATGAATTTTATATGCCATTTCTGCATAAATATTTAAAAGTTTTTAAAATGTATTCTTTACTTCAACCAACATTTATTTAGTGCTGATACTATGCCAGGTACTGAGCTAGGAGCTGATGAACTAGATAAAATCACTGCCAGCAAGGAGCTCCCTGCCTAGTGAGGGATCCAGACAAGGAAAAACATAGATGTCAAGGCTGCACGACTGTGGCCTGCCATAGAGCTGGGCACCATGTGAAGGCCTGAGGGCTCTTGAGCTGTGGAGGAAGTATGCCTAGTTGTCTTAAGAGGGCTGAGTTCAAAGCTGCAGTGAGCTACCATCATACCACTGTACTCTAGCCTGGGTGGCAGAGAGAGACCCTGTCTCAAAAAAAAAAAAAAAGAGGGGGCTATCATGTAAGGCATGTACAAAGGTACAGAGTTAAGAGACAAAATGACACATTTATTGGACTGGAATAGTTGGGATTGCTCTGAGCACAGATGTGGAAGTAGAGGGAAGATGAACTAGAAAAATAGATGGGAAATGCTGAGGAGTTTGGGTTACATCCAAGGATGATGTGGAGTATGGAAAACATTTTAAGAAGGGAAACATTATTCATCTGGAGGATGACTGGAGAATGAGCGGTGGCAGGGAGTTTTAGTAACACAGATGATAGGGCAGGGGACCATAAATAGGAGAATAAAAGCTAAACTTGAGAGAATAGAGGGAGTACAATAGACATGACTTAGTGACTGGATATGAGGACAGAAGGGAGAATCTAGAACTTTTGGTTTTTCTGGGTGGTGGTGCTGTGGCACATAATAAGTGCTTAGTAAATATTTGTTGAACAAATGAGTGTGCTTAAAATATAGGAAGAACATGCTTTGAAGGGCTGAAATAGTCAGTTTGGTTTCAAGCAGGTTGAGTTTGAAAGGTCCTTTGATGGAGGTAGAAAATGTCTGCTATGTAGTTCACGTTGTGTTTTGGATTACGAAAGAGAGGGAAATCAGGGATGGAGATATATACTTGGAAATTATCAGCATATAAATGGTAATTGAAGCCCTGGGAACAGATGAGATCACTGGGAAAGAGTGTATATATTCTTCTGGAATTAAGGAGAAGCACATAGTTGGGACTCATCAGCATATAGGCTTAAGTTGGAAGTCATGAGTGTGGATGATATTTTCCAGGCTTTTGCATGTGACATGTATTAAAATGTATTTTGCCAACATCTAATGATTTAAGAAAAAACTGCTAAAGACTTCAAGAACCCTCGTGATTAAGAGAAAGTATGAGTATATGTTGTCATGATCCAAGACTCTGCAAATAAGATAATGTGCTAGCAAATACACACACATGCATGTGCACACGTGCATACACACACATCTGTATGTAGAGGAATATATTAGAATCAAAGAATCAGACTTCTATTATTCTTGATAGTAATAATGGATAATTATGCATGTTATTTAAACTGAAAGTCTGGGTGTGGTGGCTCACATCTATAATCCCAGCACTTTTGAAGGCTAAGGTGGGAGGACTGCTTGAGCCCAAGAGTTCAAGACCATGGAAGCTTGGGCAACATAGTGAAACCCTGACTCTACAAAAAATACAAAAATTAGCCGAGTATGGTGGCTAATGTACCTGTAGTCTCCGCTACTCGGGAGGCTGAGGTTGGAGGATTGCCTGAGCCCAGGAGGCAGAGGTTGCAGTGAGCTGACATCATGCCACTGCACTCCAGCCTGGGTGACAGAGAGATACTCAGCCTCAAAAACAAACAAACAAACAAAAAAACACCTGAAAGTTGTTAGCTATTACTCTTAGCAGTAGGTGGTCTTTCAAAATTGCACATTACATTTGTCTTGTGAAAGCCTTGCCGTCATATATCTCATGTATACACAATGCAACCACTCATAAAGTATCAAAGAATCAGACTTCTGATATAGTATTCTGTAGCTTCTGAGTTCCAGCAACTTTAGTAGTTCCAACATGGTGGCCCCTCTGTCCCTCCTCCAGGGGAGTATTCTCCCAATGTAAAGAATGAAAACTAACAATGTGTAGCTTTTGGAACTCTGGTCTGTATTCTACTTCAGACTTGGCCCTGCTGGCTGGTCTCTGAAACATGTGGCTCCAAGTAAATGCTAGGAATACTTGTGTAATTGAGCTGATCTTTCATAAGTGTCTATGGAGATGTCTTATTTTTTGGTTTGGGGGTTGGGTGTTAGGGTCATCCCGACCAGACTGTTCCCCTCCCTTCCCATGGGTGTTATAATGCAGTCCTTTGTGACCTCTGCACTGCTTCCCCAGGGCTAAAGACAAACACCCCTTCACCGACCCCTCCAGTAATTGTTTGTCCAGGCAGTTACAGGATGTGGTTAACATGTCTGTTGACCTCGCATAACAAAGCTGGCAAAAACATCTCCAGGATGTGGTCAAGACACCTGCACCCTCAGCTCAGCTCCCCCACCCCAACTCAGCCCTCCTGCACACCCAACTCAGCTGCCCCACCCTGACCCAGTTACTCACCTTATAAAGCCCTGTTGTAGTCTGTAAGAGGGGCTGCCTCCTCTGCTTTTGTCAGGAGGTAGCCCGGCAGGACTGACAATAAATCAGCTTGCCTGAACTTGGGTCTGCTGGCCTCACTCCTTTCTCGGCTGTCCTTCCAATTATACCTTATGTCTTGGTGCCGAAACCGGGAAGGTGGTAGAGTTCGGCCTCCTTTTCTCCCTTTATCCTCCCCCTGCTCCTTCCCCTGGCCGAACTCCCCCTTCCAGAACCTGCTAGAGACCCAAGGATCTCATACATCTTTTCCATTGCTGGCGAACACATCCAACACCAGGGACACCTCAGGAGTGAGTAAAGGAGACATACCTTCCGTCCGGAACCCTTGTCCGCTCTTTCCTTCCCAAAAGACCCAGCGCTGGGCCAAAGGTTTCCTCGTCCCAGCCTCCAGGAGACCCTCGATGTCTCCCTATCAGTGATGCCTGTACGGGGGATTATCGTACCTCTCCGACTTAAACTGTGGGACAGGGGACGCCTTCTCCCGCCATCCTTGTCTCTGGCCAAGTCTTCCATCTCTACCCCTCTCTCATTCCACTATGGGAGCCTCCCAGTCCACTCCCTCAAAGGCATCCCCCCATCGGGTGTCTCCTCCGTAACCTTAACACCCTTAACCTCCATTCCAAAATTTGGCCAAAAAGGCTCATCTTTCATTGTAACACAGCCTGACCTCAGTATAAATTGGGCAATGGCTCCCAGTGGTCTAAAAATGGCACATTCGATTTTAACACCCTCAGGGACCTGGACAACGTTTGCCATCGCAATGGAAAGTGGTCTGAAATCCCTTATGTTCAGGCCTTTTTTGCCCTCCGTAGCTGCCCCTCCCTTTGTCAGCCCTGTTCTGGTTTTCAAATCCTCCTTGCCCGCTCCAAGCCAGACTCATCCTCAGCTCCCCTTCCTTCTGACGATTCCTCCTTCTTTAACCCTGCTGACTTTTCCTCTCCCTGACAACACCGTAATCCTCCCCCAAATCATCACAATCCTCCACCATATGCTCCCGCTCCTGCCTTACCTCTTTCCCCTCCTCTCTCCAACCACCCAGATTCTGATTCTAATTCCTCCCCATCTCCACCTCCAGCAGGCCCAGCAGTCGGCCCCCTTACTTCCCCTGCGAGAGCTGGCAGGGGCTAAAGGAATTGTTCACGTCCACATTCCGTTCTCCCTCTCCAACCTTTCCCAAATTAAGAAACGTCTCAGATCCTTTTCCTCCAATCCTGACACTTATATCAAAAAGCTCAAATACCTCACCCCATCTTACAAATTCACTTGGCTTGATCTCCATATTATCCTCTCTTCTACTCTCTTCCCAGGAAAGAAAAACAAAACAAAACAAAGTGTGGCTTGCAGCTCAGTCGCATGCCAACGATCTTCATCGGCAAGACCCTACTAAGCCCCTAGGGGCCGCTGCAGTTCCCCGAGAAGACCTTCCTGGGAGTACCAACCCACATAACCTGGCCAGGCATCTCATAACCATGTGATTACTTGCCTCATCACAGGCCTTAACAAAGCAGCCCATAAGGCCATAATTTTTGAAAAGCTGAAAGAAATCTCCCAAAGAGCAAATGAAAACCCTGCTGAATTTCTTTCCCGCCTTACAGAGGCCCTCCAAAAATATACCCTTGTTGACCCCACCTCCCGGGAAGGAACCATTGTTCTGTTTTTTTTTTAAGATGGAGTCTCGCTCTGTCGCCCAGACTGGAGTGCAGTGACGCGATCTCGGTTTACTGCAAGCTCCGCCTCCTGGATTCATGCCATTCTCCTCTCTCAGCCTCCCGCCTAGCTGGGACTACAGGCACCTGCCGCCATGGCCGGCTAAATATTTTTTGCGTTTTTAGTAGAGAGAGGGTTTCACTGTGTCAACCAGGATGGTCTCGATCTCCTGACCTCGTGATCCGCCCGCCTCGGCCTCCCAAAGTGCTGGGATTACAGGCGTGAGCCACCACTCCTGGCCCTGGAACTATTGTTCTTAATATCCATTTCATCTCTCAGTCTGCTCCTGACATACAAAAGATGGCCCTCAAACCCCTCAACAAGACCTCCTTAACCTGGCCTTTAAGGTCTTCAACAACAGAGATAAGCAAAATAAATTAGATAAAGCCCAACGAGATGGTAATAAATACCAGCTCCTAGCAGCAGCTATTTGTCAGCCTACCCAGGCTGCCCAGGGGCACAAAAGACCTGATAGCAGTGACCCTCCCAGGCCCTGTTTTAATGTGAAAAAGAAGGCCCTTGGGCCCAAGCATGCCCTAACCCACAAGTGCCAAAAACTCCTTGCCCAGCCTGCCAACAAACCGGTCACTGGAAGTCCGATTGTCCTCTTAAGCAGACTAACCGGCCGGTTCCTCAAGGCCCTGGCAAAGCAAAGAGTGAAAAATCATTCACACCCCCACAGCTCCTTGGCCTTGCCACTGAAGACTGATGGAGCCCAGGGACCCTGGCCCCATCTGCCGTCACTGCATTGGAGCCCAGGGTAACTCTGCTAATAGCAGGTAAGCCGATCTCTTTTTTTAATCAATAGCTGGGCCACCTACACGGCTTTACCTGAATTTTTAGGACCCACTTACCCTTCCCAGGCCTCTGTGGTGGGGGTTGATGGACTTGTCTTCTGTCCACGTGCTACTGAATCCCTTACTTGTTCCCTATTTAATACTATTTTTTCACACTCCTTCCTTATCATGCCTCATTGCCCCACCCCCATCCTAGGCCGAGACATTTTAGCCAATTTTGCAGCTTTTATCACCTTTTCCTGTCCCCCTCAACCAGAAGTCCCTCCTGCTTCTCTCTGCTAGTCCGGCATCTGACCCCCTCTCCAGCACCCGCTACCCACCTCTCTCGTTAACCCAGTAGTGTGGGACACCACCACCCCTGCCATAGCTGCTCACCAGGACTGCATCAAAATCCAGTTAAAAGACCCCTCTAAATTTCCCGACGTTCCCCAATATCCCATTTCCCTAACACACCAAAGGGCTTACAACCCACCATAAACAAGCTCTGCTCACACAGTCTTCTTAGACCAACACACTCTCCATATAACAACCCCATCCTCCCTATTAAAAAATCCAACGGCTCATACCAACTCATTCAGGACCCCTGAGCTATCAATCAGGCTGTCCTCCCTGTTCATCCTGTAGTCCCTAACCCCTATACACTTCTCTCTCTCATCCCCTCCAACACAACCCACTACACTGCAATTGACCTGAAAAATGCCTTCTTCACCATTCCCCTACACCCTGATTCCATAAACCTCTTTGTTTCACCCAAACTGACTGCAACACCCTCCAGTCACAACAACTCACGTGGACTGTCCTCCCTCAGGGCTTCAAGGATAGCCCTCATTTCTCCAGGCAAGCCCTAGCCCAAGACCTCGCCTCCTTGGATCTTTCCCCCAGCCACCTTCTTCTATATGTAGAGGAACTCCTCCTCTGTAGCCCCTCCCTAAAAGGCTCCCAAACTCACACTGCAGCCCTTCTCAATTTCCTTGCTAATAAAGGCTGAAGCTCCCAGCCAAATAAAGCTCCTTCCTTCTTTAACATGGTGTCTGAGGAGTTTTGTCTGTGGCTCATCCTGCTACATCATAACTAGTTGGAAAGTACTGCCTTTGCTGCCTTAGATGTGTAGAACCTTTAGTCTTGGCCTTGGCTTAATTTAATGTGACCTCTGCAGCTAAGAACAATAGTTCCAGGGCCAGGAGCGGTGGCTCACGCCTGTAATCATAGCACTTTTGGGAGGCCGAAGTGGGCGGATCATGAGGTCAAGAGATTGAGACCATCCTGGCTAACATGGTGAAATCCTATCTCTACTGAAAATGCATGATCATTTGGCTCTTCTGAGATCTGAGATCATTTGGCTCTTCCCCTAGGGAACTAATGGTTTCCCACTTTTTCTTTTGCTGGCATTCTGGGGTATATCTTACTTGGCCATCTCCAGAAGTCAGAGTGGAACTACTGAAGAGTTTCAAAGAGCTGTGGAAGAACTGTGCTCAGTGTTTAAAACAGTCCTTTCCGTTTTCAGAAACAGGTTTTCTGCTTTGTTTTCAAACTTCAAAATTTATTTCTGAAACAAAGATTTATTTTCCCTGTGGTATTCTGAAGGTTTTATACAACTGTTAATTTCTAAAACCTAAGTCATTTCTTGGTTTTAAAACTTCAGTGCTGGCAGAGTGGAGCCAAGATGGCTGAATAGGAACAGCTCCAGTCTACAGCTCCCAGCATGAACGATGCAGAAGATGGGTGATTTCTGCATTTCCAACTGAGGTACTGGGTTCATCTCACTGGGGAGTGCCGGACAGTGGGTGCAGGACAATGGGTGCAGTGCATCGTGGGTGAGCCAAAGGAGGGCGAGGCATCACTTCACCCAGGAAGCACAAGGGGTCAGGGAATTCCCTTTCCTAGTCAAAGAAAGGGGTGACAGACAGCACCTGGAAAACAGGGTCACTCCCATTCTAATAGTGTGCTTTTCCAACAGGCATAACAAATGGCACACGAGGAGATTATATCCCGCACCTGGCTTGGAAGGTCCTATGCCCACGGAGCCTTGCTCATTGCTAGCACAGCAGTCTGAGATAAAACCACAAGGTGGCAGTGAGACTAGGGGAGGAGTGCCCACCATTGACAAGGTTTGAGTAGGTAAACAAAGTGGTCGGGAAGCTTGAACTGGGTGGAGCCCACCACAGCTCAAGAAGGCCTGCCTGCCTCTGTAGGCTCCACCTCTGGGGGCAGGGCACAGACAAACAAAAGACAGCAATAACCTCTGCAGACTTCAATGTCCCTGTCTGACAGCTTTGAAGAGAGCAGTGGTTCTCCCAGCACGCAGCTTGAGATCTGAGAACGGGCAGACTGCCTCCTCAAGTGGGTCCCTGACCCCTGAGCAGCCTAACTGGGAGGGACACCCCAGTAGGGGCAGACTGACACCTCACATGGCCGGGTACTCCTCCGAGACAAAATTTCCAGAGGAATGATCAGGCAGCAGCATTTGCTGCTCACCAATATCCACTGTTCTGCAGCCACCGCTGCTGACACCCAGGCAAACAGGGTCTGGAGCGACCTCCAGCAAAATCCAACAGACCTGCAGCTGAGGGTCCTGACTGTTAGAAGGAAAACTAACAAACAGAAAGGACATTCACACCAAAAACCCATCTGTTGGTCACCATCATCAAAGACCAAAGGTAGATAAAACCACAAAGATGGGGAAAAAAACAGAGCAGAAAAACTGGACACTCTAAAAATCAGAGCAACTCTCCTCCTCCAAAGGAATGCAGCTCCTCACCAGCAAAGGAACAAAGCTGGATGGAGAATGACTTTGACGAGTTGAGAGAAGGCTTCAGAAGATCAAACTACTCTGAGCTAAAGGAGGAAGTTCAAACCCATGGCAAAGAAGTTGAAAACCTTGAAAAAAAAATAGATGAATGGCTAACTAGAATAACCAATGCAGAGAAGTCCTTAAAGGACCTGATGGAGCTGAAAACCATGGCACGAGAACAATGTGATGAATGCACAAGCCTCAGTAGCCGACGCGATCAACTGGAAGAAAGGGTATCAGTGATTGAAGATCAAATTAATGAAATGAAGTGAGAAGAGAAGTTTAGAGAAAAAAGAATAAAAAGAAATGAACAAAGCCTCCAAGAAATATGGGACTATATGAAAAGACCAAATCTACATCTGACTGGTGTACCTGAAAGTGACAGGGAAAATGGAACCAAGTTGGAAAACACTCTGCAGGATATTATATAGGAGAACTTCCCCAATCTAGCAAGGCAGGCAGACATTCAAATTCAGGAAATACAGAGAATGCCACAAAGATACTCCTCGAGAAGAGCAACTCCAAGACACATAATTGTCAGATTCACCAAAGTTGAAATGAAGGAAAAAATGTTAAGGGCAGCCAGAGAGAAAGGTCGGGTTACCCACAAAAGGAAAGTCAACAGACTAACAGCTGATCTCTCAGCAGAAACTCTACAAGCCAGAAGAGAGTGGGGTACAATATTCAACATTCTTAAAGAAAAGAATTTTCAACCCAGAATTTCATATCCAGCCAAACTAAGCTTCATAAGTGAAGGAGAAATAAAATACTTTACAGACAAGCAAATCCTGAGAGATTTTGTCACCACCAGGCCTGCCCTAAAAGAGCTCCTGAAGGAAGCAGTAAACATGGAAAGGAACAACCAGTACCAGTCACTGCAAAAACATGCCAAATTGTAAAGACCATCAAGGCTAGGAAGAAACTGCATCAACTAATGAGCAAAATAACCAGCTAACATCATAATGACAGGATCAAATTCACACATAACAATACTAAATGTAAATGTAACAAGCTTAAATGTAAATGGGCTAAATGCTCCAATTAACAGGCACAGACTGCCAAATTGGATAAAGAGTCAAGACCCTTCAGTGTGCTGTATTCAGGAGACCCATCTCACATGCAGAGACGCACATAGGCTCAAAATAAAGGGATGGAGGAAGATCTACCAAGCAAATGGAAAACAAAAAAAGGCATGGGTGGCAATCCTAGTCTCTGATAAAACAGACTTCAAACCAGCAAAGATCAAAAGAGACAAAGAAGGCCATTACACAATGGTAAAGGGATCAATTCAACAAGAAGAACTAACTATCCTAAATGTACATGCACCCAATACAGGAGCACCCAGATTCATGAAGCAAGTCCTTAGTGACCTACAAAGAGACTTAGACTCCCACACAATAATAATGGGAGACTTTAACACCCCACTGTCAACATTAGACAGATCAACAAGACAGAAAGTTAACAAGAATATACAGGAATTGAACTCAGCTCTCCACCAAGCAGACCTAATAGACATCTACAGAACTCTCCACCCCAAATCAGCAGAATATACATTTTTTTCAGTGCCACACCACACCTATTCCAAAATTGACCACATAGTTGGAAGCAAAGCGCTCCTCAGCAAATGTAAAAGAATAGAAATTACAGCAAACTGTCTTTCAGACCACAGTGCAATCAAACTAGAACTCAGGATTAAGAAACACACTCAAAACCGCTCAACTACATGGAAACTGAATAACATGCTCCTGAATGACTACTGGGTACATAATGAAATGAAGGCAGAAATAAAGATATTCTTGGAAACCAACGTGAACAAAGACACAACATACCAGAATCTCTGGGACACATTCAAAGTAGTGTGTAGAGGGAAATTTATAGCACTAAATGCCCCCACAAGAGAAAGCAGGAAAGATCTAAAATTGACACCCTAACATCACAATTAAAAGTGCTAGAGAAGCAAGAGCAAACACATTCAAAAGCTAGCAGAAGGCAAGAAATAACTAAGATCAGAGCAGAACTGAAGGAAATAGAGACACAAAAAACCCTTCAAAACATCAATGAATCCAGGAGGTGGATTTTTGAAAAGATAAACAAAACTGATAGATCTCTAACAAGACTAATAAAGAAGAAAAGAGAGAAGAATCAAATAGACGTAATAAAAAACGACAAAGGGGATATCACCACCAATCCGACAGAAATACACACTACCATCAGAAAATACTATAAACACCTCTACGCAAATAAACTAGAAAATCTAGAATAAATGGATAAATTCCTTGACACATACGCCCTCCCAAGACTAAACCAGGAAGAAGTTGAATCTCTGAATAGACCAATAACAGGCTCTGAAATTGAGGCAATGATTCACAGCTTACCAACCAAAAAATGTCCAGGACCAGATGGATTCACAGCTGAATTCTACCAGAGATACAAGGAGGAGCTGGTACCATTCCTTCTGAAACTATTCCAATCAATAGAAAAAGGGAATCCTCCCTAACTCATTTTATGAGGCCAGCATCATCCTGATACCAAAGTCTGGCAGAGACACAACAAAAAAAGGGAATTTTAGACCAATATCCCTGATGAACATTGATGCAAAAATCCTCAATAAAATACTGGCAAACCGAATCCAGCAATACATCAAAAAGCTTATCCACCATGATCAAGTGGGCTTCATCCCTGGGATGCAAGGCTGGCTCAACATATGAAAATCAATAAACGTAATCCAGCATATAAACAGAACCAAAGACAAAAACCACATGATTGTCTCAATAGATGCAGAAAAGGCCTTTGACAAATTCAACGACACTTCATGCTAAAAACTCTCAATAAATCAAGTATTGATGGGACATATCTCAAAATAATAAGAGCTATGTATGACAAACCCACAGCCAATATCATACTGAATGGACAAAAACTGGAAGCATTGCCTTTGAAAACTGGCACAAGACAGGGATGCCCTCTCTCACCACTGCTATTCAACACAGTGTTGGAAGTTCTGGCCAGGGCAATCCAGCAGGAGAAGGAAATAAAGGGCATTCAATTAGGAAAAGAGGAAGTCAAATTGTCCCTGTTTGCAGATGACATGATTGTATATCTAGAAAACCCCATTGTCTCAGCCCAAAATCTTAAGCTGATAAGGAACTTCAGCAAAGTCTCAGGATACAAAATCCATGTGCAAAAATCACAAGCATTCTTATACACCAATAACAGACAAACAGAGAGCCAAATCATGAGTGAATTCCCATTCACAATTGCTTCAAAGAGAATACAATACCCAGGAATCCAACTTACAAGGGATGTGAAGGACCTCTTCAAGGAGAACTACAAACCACTGCTCAATGAAATAAAAGAGGATACAAACAAATGGAAGAACATTCCATGCTCATGGGTAGGAAGAATCAATATCGTGAAAATGGCCATACTGCCCAAGGTAATTTATAGATTCAATGCCATCCCCATCAAGCTACCAATGACTTTCTTCACAGAATTGGAAAAAACTAAAGTTCATATGGACCCAAAAAGAGCCCGCATTGCCAAGTCCATCCTAAACCAAAAGAACAAAGCTGGAGGCATCCTGCTACCTGACTTCAAACTATACTACCAGGATACAGTAACTAAAACAGCATGGTACTAGTACCAAAACAGAGATATAGACCAATGGAACAGAACAGAGCCCTCAGAAATAATGCTGCATACCTCTAACTATCTGATCTTTGACAAACCTGATAAAAACAAGCAATGGGGAAAGGATTCCCTATTTAATAAATGGTGCTGGGAGAACTGGCTAGCCATAAGTAGAAAGCTGAAACTGGATCCCTTCCTTACACCTTATACAAAAATTAATTCAAGATGGATTAAAGACTTACATGTTAGACCTAAAACCATAAAAACCCTAGAAGAAAACCTAGGCAATACCATTCAGGACATAGGCATGGGCAAGGACTTCATGTCTAAAACACCAAAAGCAATGGTAAAAAAAGCCAAAATTGACAAATGGGATCTAAGTAAACTATAGAGCTTCTGCACAGCAAAAGAAACTACCATCAGAGTGAACAGGCAACCTACAGAATGGGAGAAAATTTTTGCAACCTATTCATCTGGCAAAGGGCTCATATCCAGAATCTACAATGAACTCAAACAAATTTACAAGAAAAAAACAAACAAACTCATCAACAAGTGGGCAAAGGATATGAACAGACACTTCTCAAAAGGAGACATTTATGCAGCCAAAAAACACATGAAAAAATGCTCATCATCACTGGCCATCAGAGAAATGCAAATCAAAACCACAATGAGATACCATCTCACACCAGTTAGAATGGCGATCATTAAAAAGTCAGGAAACAACAGGTGCCGGAGAGGATGTGGAGAAATAGGAAAACTTTTACACTTTTGGTGGGACTCTAAACTAGTTCAACCATTGTGGAAGTCAGTGTGGTGATTCCTCAGGGACCTAGAACTAGAAATACCATTTGACCCAGCCATCCCATTACTGGTATGTACCCAAAGGATTATGAATCATGCTGCTATAAAGACACATGCACACGTGTGCTATTGTGGCACTATTCACAATAACAAAGACTTGGAACCAACGCAAATGTCCAACAATGATAGACTGGATTAAGAAAATGTGGCACATATACAGCATGGAATGCTATGCAGCCATAAAAAATGATGAGTTCATATCCTTTGTAGGGACATGGATGAAACTGGAAACCATCATTCTCAGCAAACTATCACAAGGACAAAAAACCAAACACCGCATGTTTTCACTCATAGGTGGTAACTGAACAATGAGAACACATGGACACAGGAAGGGGAACATCACACACTGGGGACTGTTGTGGGGTGGGGGCAGGCAGGAGGGAGAGCATTAGGAGATATACCTAATGCTAAATGACGAGTTAATGAATGCAGCACACCAACATGGCACATGTATACATATGTAACAAACTTGCTCATTGCGCACATGTACACTAAAACTTAAAGTATAGTAATAGTAATAAAAAAAGTAAAAAAAAATAAAGTAAAAGGAAGGTTTAACTGTGTTAGATGAATCCACACTTAAGAAGAAGATTCCCAGATAATTTCTTTCTAGTTTTTATCTGACTATATTCGGTTTTTCTCCTGAGGTTTCAATGGGCTGAAATATTCTTTTACATATTCTACAAAAAGAGTGTTTCCAACTGGCAGAATCAACAGAAAGGTTTAACTCTCCAAGATGAATCCACACATCACCAAGCAGTTTCACAGATAGTTTCTATCTAGTTTTTATCTGTGGATATTCAGTTTTTTGCCATAATAGGCTCTTATTTTAATAGGCTTCCAAATATCCTTTCATATATTCTTCAAAAAGAGAGTGTTTCCAACTGGTGGAATCAACAGAAAGATTTAACTCTCCAATATGAATCCACACATCACCAAGAAGTTTCACAGATAGTTTCTATCTAATTTTTATCTGGTGATATTCAGTTTTTTGCCATAATAGGCTCTCATTTTAATAGGCTTCCAAATATCCTTTCATGTATTCTTCAAAAATTGTGTTTCAAAAATGCTGAAGCAAAAGGAAGTTTTAAATCTGTGAGGTGAATCCACACATCAACAAGCTGTTTCACAGATAGCTTCTTTCTAGTTTTTATCTGGGGATATTTCAGTTTTTCCCCATAGGCCACAATGGGCTCCCAAATGCCCCTTGGCAGATTCCCCAAAAAGATTTTTCCAACCTGCTGAATCAAAAGAAACGTTTAACTCTGTGAGATTAATTGACACATGACAAAGCATTTTCACATATAGCTTCTTTTTACGTTTTATCTTGGGATATTCTATTTTACCTCATAGGCCTCAATGTGCTCCCAAATGTCTTTTTACAGATTGTACAAAAAGAGTGTCCTCAACCTGCTGAATCGAAAGAATAGTTTAATTCTGTGAGATGAACCCACACATCACAAAGCAATTTCACAGATAGCTTCTTTCTACTTTTATCTGAGGATATTCAGGTTTTTTTATATAAACTTGAACGGACTCCCAATTTTCCCTTCGCAGATTTTACAGAAGAAGTGTTTCCAACATGCTGAATCAAAAGAAAGGTTTAACTCTATGAGATAAATGCAAAAATCATGAAGCCATTTCAGAGATAGCTTTTTTCTAGTTTTTATCTTGGTGTGTTCAGTTTTTTTCCATAGGCCTCAATGTGCTCCCCAACCTCCTGTTGTACATTCTAAAAATACAGTGTTTCAAATCTGCAGAAAAAAAACCCGTAACTCTGTTAGATGAATCCACAAGTTACACAGATAGCTTCTTTCTAGTATTTATCTGGGGATATTCAGTTTTTTTCCCTTAGGCTTCAACTGGCTCCCAAATGTACCTTCGCAGATTCTACAAAAGGAGTGTTTCCATCCTGTTGATTCATAGCATAGGTTTTACTCTGTGAGATGAATCCACACATTACCAAGCTGTTTCATGGATTGGTTTTTTCTAGTTTTTATCTGGGGATATTTTGTTTCTCCCAATAGACCTCAATGAGCTCCCAAATGTTCATTTGTAGACTCTACAAAAAGAGTGTTTCCAACCTGTTGAATAAATGAATGGTTTTACTCTGTGAGATTAAATCACACATCCAAAAGCAATTTCACAGATAGCTTCTTTCTAGTCTGTATCTAGGGATATTAGTTTTTTTCCCATAGTCCTGAATGGGCTAGGAAATACCCTTCACAGATTCTGCAAAAAGTGTGTTTCCAACCTACTCAATCAAAAGAAAGGTTTAGCTCTGTGAGATGAATCCACATACCACAAAGTAGTTTCACAAATAGATTTTTTGCAGTTTTTATCTGGGGATATTCAGTTTTTCCCGAGGCCTCAGTTGGCTCCCAAATATCCCTTCACAGATTCTACAAAATGATCATTTCCAAACTGCTGAATCAAAATAAAGTTTTAATTTTGTGAGTTGAATCCACACATGACAAAGCAGTTTGACAGCTAGCTTTTTTCTAGTTTTTATCTGAAAATAATCAGTTTTTCCTCCTATGCCTTTAATGGGCTCTCAAATGTCCCTTTGCATATTCTACAAAAAGAGTGTTTTCAACCTGCTGAATCAAAGAAAGTTTAAACTCTGTGAGAGGAATCCACAAATCACAAAGCAGTTTCACAGATAACCTCTTTCTAGTTTTTATCTTGGGATATTCTGTTTTCCTCTATAGGCCATTAATGGACTGCCAAATGTCCCTTAGCAGATTCAACAAAAAGAATGTTTCCCACCTACTAAATAAAAAAAAGATTGAATTCTGTGAGATAAATTTATACAACACAAAGCAGTTTCACAGATAGCATCTTTCTAGTTTTTACCTGGACATGTTCAGTTTTTCCCCACAGGCCTCAAGAGGCTCCCAAATATCCCTTTGCAGATTCTGCAAGAAGAATGTTTCCAACCTGTGGAATCAAAAGAATTGTATAAATCTGTGAGATGAATTGATACATCACAAAGCAGTTTCACAGATAGCTTCTTTCTAGATTTTATGATTCCATTCGATTCCATTCAATGATGATTCCATTCGATTCCATTTGATGATGATTCCATTCGATGAGGATTCCATTCGATGATGATTCCATTTGATTTCATTTGATGATTCCATTCGATTCCATTCAATGATGATTCCATTCGATTCCATTTGATGATTCCATTAGATTCCATTCGATGATGATTCCATTCGATTCCATTTGATGATTTCATTTGATTCCATTCGATGATGATTCCATTCGATGATTCCATTCGATTCCATTCTATGATGATTCCATTCGATTCCATTCGATGATGAGTCCATTCGATTCCATTCGATGATGATTCCCTTCAATTCCATTTGATTGTGATTCCATTCGAGTCCCTTCGATGATGATTCCATTCGAGTCCATTCATTGATGATTCCATTCGAGTCCATTCCATTCCATTCAAGTTCATTCCTTTCCATTTGAGTCCATTCCATTCCATTCCAGTCCACTCCACTCCACTCCAGTCCGTTCCATTCCATTTAATTCCATTCCATTCCATTCCACTCCACTGCACTCCACTCCATTCCACTAGACTCCCCTCCACTCCATTCCATTCCACTCCACTACATTCCATTCCATTCCATTCCCCTCCATTCCATTCCATTCCACTCGATTTTACTCCACTCCACTCCACTCCTCTCCACTCCACCCCACTCCACTCCACTGCAGTCCATTCCATTCTACTGCATTCCATTCCACTGCATTCCATTCCATTCCTTTCTTTCGAGCGTATCTCAGTCTGTCACCCAGCCTGGAGTGCAGTGGCACAGTCTCAGCTCCCATTCCATTCCATTCCATTTGATTCCATTCAATTCCATTCTATTCCATTCTATTCGGTTCGATTCCATTCCATTCCATTCCACTCCACTCCACTCCACTCCATTCCATTCCATTCCATTTCACTCCATTGCATTCCATTCCTTTCTTTCGAAAGGATATCACTGTGTCACCCAGGCTGGAGTGCAGTGGCACAATCTCAGCTCATATTACATGTCCGCTTTCCATTGCATTGCATTCTATTCCATTGCATTCCATTCCATTCCATTCCACTCCATTCCATTCCATTCCACTCCATTCAATTCCATTCCATTCCACTGCATTCCACTCCACTCCACTACATTCCATTACATCCAATTCCATTCCACTCCCTTCCACTCCTCTCCACTCCACTACACTCCACTTGACTCCTTTCCATTCCATCACTTTCTTTTTTTTTTTTTTTTTTTTTTTTGAGACGGAGTCTCGCTCTGTCGCCCAGGCTGGAGTGCAGTGGCGCAATCTCGGCTCACTGCAAGCTCCGCCTCCCGGGTTCATGCCATTCTCCTGCCTCAGCCTCCCAAGTAGCTGGGACTACAGGTGCCCGCCACTACGCCCGGCTAATTTTTTGTATTTTTAGTAGAGACAGGGTTTCACCGTTTTAGCCGGGATGGTCTCGATCTCCTGACCTCGTGATCCGCCCGCCTCGGCCTCCCAAAGTGCTGGGATTACAGGCGTGAGCCACCGCGCCCGGCCCATTCCATCACTTTCTATTCCGCTCCATTCCACTGCACTCTACTCCACCCCACTCCACTCCACTTCATTCCATTCCATTCCATCCCATTCCATTCCTCTCCATTTCACTCCACTCCACTCCAGTTCACTCCATTCCATTCCATTGCATTCCATTCCATTCCTTTCTTTCGAGAGTATTTCACTCTGTCACCCATACTGGAGCGCAGTGGCACAATCTCAGCTAACATTTCATTATTCCATTCCATTCCATTTCATTTTATTCCATTGCATTCCATTGCATTGCATTCCATCCCATTCCATTCCATTCCACAGAGGAGGTCAAAGTATATATCTTATTCTTATCTCTGACCATAGTGGGAAATTATCCTTTCTTTCACCACTAAGTTGAATGTTTGCTGTTGGCTTTTCACAGGTGCCATGTATCTGGTGTAGAAAGTTCTCTATTCCTGGTTCATTGAGTTTTTATTTTTATTTGTAATCATTAAAGCATTTGGATTTTGTTAAATGTCTTTTCTGAATCTATCGAGATGATAATGCAATTCTCGTTTCTTATTCTATGGATAAGATGTATTACCTTAATGGATTTTGGGCTGTTAAACCAACCTGGGATTACTAGTATAAATTTCACTTTGTCATAGTGTATAATTATTTTATATGTTGCTAGATTTGTTAGTTTTTTTTAAGGAATTTTGCATTTATGATTATAGTAGTTTTATTTTTCTATGCTATTTGGACTAACTTTTGTATCAAGGTAACACTGGCCCCACAGAATAAATTGGGAGGTGAATATTTCTCGTTTTTAAAAAGTTAGTCAAGAATTAATATCAATTAGTGAATACTAACAAATATGATTAAAATTATTAATTATTAATTTGTCTGATTTTTATTTTCTTCCTTCTGCTTGCTTTAGGTTTATTTTGGTATTTTTTCCAGTGCCTTAATGTGGAAGGTCATCTTATCTCATCCTTTCCTTTGTCTTTTCATTTTCGAAATAGTGTCTTTTTAGCATCAGGTGAGGTCCCCAGGTTGGCAGTACTCCATGTTTATTGCTGTACAACAACGACAGGTAATATGTCCTGAAGACAATGGAAACTTAACATTCAAAATCCTCCTAGATTCCACCTTATGTGATATGTCTCTTCCTTTGATTGGTCCTAATTTGTACCCTTTCTCTATTATAAACCATGAGTACAATGGCATTCAATGAGTTCTGTGAGTATCTCTAGTAAATTCTTGAAACTGAGGGTGTTCTGGGGAAACCCCTGAACCGGCAGTTGGTGTCTAAAAGTGAGAATCGTCTTATATGGCCTCCTCCTTTGAACTTTGCAGCTGGACCCAAAGTCTGCACAATTTGGGCCAGAAGTCTCGTGTTGACTTTGCAGCCTAAAGTATCTTGTAGTTTGTCTAACCCTCAATAAATTTGCTTTCATCAAATATTGTATTTGTTACCCCAAAATTACCATCATTTTTTTCTCCAAATAACTAACATTTGGAGAAACAGCCAGCTGAATCTGTAACTCAACAGAAACAAGAGATCCATAAACCATATAAGTGGCCATTTCATTTTTTTGCCTCCTTCCACCAAATTTTAGCAACCTCAACCATTGCCATGAGCCACTGTAGGCCTACCGGCTACAAACAAACACGTATCTTTTAAAAACACTTCATACTCCCATTTGATAAATTTCCCAGCAAAGAGATGCCTACTTTAACTCTATGCAGGTGGCTCATATTCACGAAGTCTGGAGATATTATTCATGTAGTGTGAGAAAACCATCCCAGCGACGCCAACACATTCTCCTTCCCATGATCTGCTTAGTTTGCAAACATATTCAGGCCATGGGTGAGAGATTTGTATTTCACAGGACAGCAATTTTATGGAGAGCATCGAAACTTACATTGAGCATTTTAGTACAGTCACACATCACTGAATGATAGGATATATTCTAACAGATGCATCCATAGGCATTTTCATCGTTTTGTAAACATCACAGTGAATATTACAAACACCTAAATTGTACAGCCTACCACGTCTAGGTTATATGGTATAGCCTCTCTCCCCTAGGCTACAAACCTGTGTACTATATTACTATACTGAATACTGCCAGCAATAAGAACACAGCGGTAAGAGTTTATGTATCTAAACATTCTTAAACATAGAAAAGTATGTAAAAATATGTATTATAATCTCATGGGATCACTTTTGTATATGTAATCCATCATTGACTGAAATGTTATTATGCATCACATGACTGACAAAAATAAAATAATACATTGTAAAAAATGTACACATGTATCAAACATATTATAAAAATAAAAATATTCAGTGTAAGAATTTGTAATGATCACAAAATATTCACAGCTTATATTTTAGTACAGTTTCAAATGCCTAGTGCAATTACTATTTATTTATAACATGTATATAATAAATATTTTTCAGGTTCAACAATATATATCAATCTTACTGGCTCTTATAAATATTAGTTAAAATCAATTGGTAAATTCATGTATATATATACACACACGTGTATCAGTGTGTGCATGTGTGTAAATGTAACTGTATGTGTGTGTAAATGTAATTGGATGCATCCTAATATTTACCCTTACCTACAAGATTTCCAAGATTCATTTATTATCTTTAGTTGATATGCATTTAAAGATTTACCAAATAAAACTCTAATCGTGGAAAATATCAAGATGTTATTAAATTCATCTTGTGCACATAATTGTTTCTATAAATTTGTTTCTTGCAAAACTTGCAGTAATGTTCATGCACAAAATAATTTTCTAAATAAAAAAAACATTTTCTGTCATTAATTTTAATAATTATTTCTCCCTAATAATTAATGTGAATTCTTAATTCTTAATTATAGAATAATGTTGCCCTTCAGAGTTTGGAAACTTTTACATGTTGTACCCATTTCACTAACCAGAAAAACTTCTGAAATATTGGCATTAATGTCACTCAGCAATTACTGATTTCGAAGAAATTAAATACCATTCATATTCTGAATCACAAAGTGTACTTTGGCATCTAATTTAATCAAGCTCTTTGTATCATCATCTACACTTTAATTACTTAATAAACATTTGTCTGTGTGAGAAAGATTGAGCAGGTTATTGTGCTTTTTTAAGATGCAACTTTTGTTTAATCTAGAGATAGGCAATGCTCCCTATAAGGAACAAAGAGAAAAATGAATGAACAATAGAGATGTGACAGGCATGGAAAAAGGCACTACATTTATAAAACAAATAGGGCCACAGACGATAATGGGGATCAAATCTTGAGATACTGACTCAGTTTATAACTGCACTGTATAATAGAGCAAATCATTTGTTAATTTTTTGACAAATGGAATTTAATTTAATTAAGATGGATACAGTGTTTTAAACAAGGCAGGTCATCTTAAAATAAAAGAGTGGAATAAAGTGATAAAACCAAAGTAAAAATCATAAACATTTTATAAAGAATTTTTGTCATGTAATTTTTTTATTTAAAATCACCCAAATCAAAATAATTTTATCTTAATTAACAAATAATCATCAGAAGTTTAACTAATTTTACTTTATAATACTAGGTTTAAAAATTCTTAACTATATTTTAATCATATATGCTTATATATAAAATAGACATAGGATATATATTTACATGTTCACAATATTATATTGTAATTGTTCCTATGGATGTGGTTTTTCAATAGAATTATTAAGTACTTTTAAAAAGTTTCAATTTCAATGATATATATGTTTGACTTTTCTTTGACAAAGCATACATATATTGATAGGTAATGATATGAAAATCTTCTAAAGACATTACAGGAACATGAAAATGTAATTAAATACTCACAATTTGTAATGTTTTATGTAAGTGGAACACATTTAACTGAAAATTGCTTTTATATAATACTCAAACGAGACTAAAAACATTTTAACTAGCGGAATAAGTCTTCAAATTGATAATCTGAACTATATAAGAGGAGAAACTTCAGGCATTCAAATACTTGAAATGCTACAAAATATTTATATAAACTATTATTTAACCATTTCTGTTTGTCGAGTGCTATACAGTAATCAATATAAATGACATCTCAAGTCTTTCTATAGCTTTGACCACATTTACCTCCTAATTTTAATTATTAATATGTTGGAGCAGTGCATACAACTCGATTCCGATCTTCTCTTTAATGAGTAAAAATATGTCCTTTGAGACAGCATTAAAGAGCACCTTGTATAAATTCAAAGCCAAGAGACAAGATATTCTTGATTCTGATGTCTTGTTCTTTTATACAACAATGTAATTAATAAGAGGAAAAGCAGGACATAGACATGGAGTCTATTTTAATCAAAAATTGTCCATAGATTTTGATGATAAAATTTAAAAATCTACTACATTTAGTTACAAAAAACTAGGTTGTGGGAACTTATTTGTTCAATAAAACACAGCTACTAAATGCTGACAAGAAAAAAAGTTAGGTACCACCTTTCTTCTCTGCAGATGGCCTGAGATGGGTTAATTTGAAAGAATGCTTCCAAACCTGAGGTGACCCCTGGGAACAGCATAATCCACTGCTGTCTCCTACATTCAGTTTCTCAGTTTGTGCTCTTTTAATTTCGGGGGGAGGGAAGCCAGTCCTTTAAACCGATCTTCAGCACGATGGCAGAGGCAAGGAGTGTGGACAGGTGGCACGGTGTCTGACTTTGTTGCAGCAGCCACTTGGGCTTTCTCTGGGTCTTCTCTGCCCTAGGGATAGCACCACTATTGAAAACATGTCTTTGTGACATTCTTTATGCCAGGAACTCCCAACGCATTTTCCTTGAAACTGATGAAATGAATAAAAATAAACCAAGAGGTGTGCTGTTTGTTTCTGTTTCCTCCTTTCTGCAGCCCTTCTTGATCATCTAATATTTTTAAATACATTGTCGATCAGCAAAAGGAGCATAAGGCCTTTATTGATTTGTAGCAGATGTATTAATAGCCCAGCCCCTATTCCTTACCTGTAGCTGCTGTGAAGAAAACCATCCTTAACACTCTACAAGGTCTCATCTCCAGAATTTGCACCTGTTTCTAGCCGAGGACTCTCTCTAGCAGCATGGGAGCTTGATACTGGGCATGAAGTGGGAAGAAAAGGTGAGGGTAACTAAGAAGAATCTCCCTGGATTCAGTGATGTAATTCTGAGGCATGTTCCACATAGCTTCCCATAGAATTAAGCCCAGATATCTAACACAGGAACTTGCCTCTAAACACGTGTGGCATTGGCTTTTCTATCTTTCCTGTTTTATTTTGTTCTCTCTTCCTTGTCTCACTTTCGCTGTGTCCTCACTCCTGCTTTAAGAATACCCAAACAAATACATTCATTTATTTTTTTAGACTCTCAGAACACAGTTGATAGTTGAACTTGTAATCTATGATAATCAGCTTGGATGCTATACTGACAGGAAGATGGTGAACTCACAATGTCTAATTAAGATAAAATTAAAAAATATATTGACTCATGTCCAAAGATTTAAAAAACCTAAGCGGCAGTGTCACAATTTCTTCTTTTTAGTTCACATGGTTTCTTAAACGCCTACAATTATTTTAAAGTAAGACTTGAGTCTAGGAAAAATTGAGACATATGGAATAAATTACTAACCCATTTCTCCTTGAAATCCATTAGATGCTTGATGATTTTTCACATACATTTCTGAATTGAAAAGCTACTTGTGAATTATTTTTATAAGCATATCCTTATGTAATATTTTGTTTTTAACAGTGAATTGAAGGTTTAAAGATTAAATTATTCTATCCAGAGAATAAAAAGCAATTATTTCACAAGGAGAACATGTGTATGTTGACACGACATTTTAAAATCTAGATTTTAAAATAGGTCCCATATACTTTTGAGTCAGTTAGAATATGTTTGTATCAGTCTGTCTACAGTTTTACACCTGTCAAAATGTACTTGAACTACAACAATTACCTTGAACAATTTTGAAATTTATTATTTCTCTGAAACTGATTAAAAGAATTATGGTAGAGTGAAATTCTGATTGGCATAATTTGGGAGAGAAATTATTCCTTGGAGATCAACCTCTGCCATGATAGTTTATAATGACATTGAGACTTTTTGATTTACAAAATTTGTTATATAAAAAATACTAAGACGATGACAGATAATACACAGACTTTAATTAAAATTGTACTAAAATTAAATGTCTAAATAAATTAGAAGGGTACATGGTACATCTAACTGTATGTTTATATATTTTATTTGTGCATTTTATTCTTAGGGTTGCTTTTGCTTTAGTTTGTAAAATGTTCTTATTTTTATGATAATGTAGTATATACTAAATAAAGAAAAATCAGGAAGTAGAAAATGAAGAAGAAAACATTAGCTATTGTCAACCAAATAAAAATTGTGCAATCTCTAAGCACATGAACTATGTATTATTTGTACAGCACGTACAATGTTTATGCTTCACAGGGTGAGGTAGAGACTGCAAAACATCGAACCTGGGACAAATAAGAAAGTAAAGAAACTTTCACAACATATTAATATTATAGAAAGTGTTGAACTTAACAGTTAAGATACAAGTAGTGAAAAATGATAGTATTTAAGGAGATCTAGAAAATTTAATCTATATCTGTAATGTGTTAGAAGTATTAGAATAATGCTTGTATTTCTGGATTGGCATCGATTTCTATTGAGACTGGAAACATAATAGAAGAGAGGGAAAAACAATTTAAATTGTGGATACTTGAGTTTTATACCTAGGAGTTCGAGAAATACATTTTGTTACTATCAAAGCAGTTGGCACAAGAGTGTACAAAATTCCCTAATTGTGTCTATGTGGAGAAGACATAGACAGAGAATAGCCAAACAGAAATAGCAAAAAAGCACAAATAAATTTTACCTGTATTTTTACGTAAAAGCCAATTAGAGTAGGAAAACATGAAATTTGTGTTTTATCAAAATATTTCTCTTTCTCATAATATAGTTGATTATATTACTGGAAAAAAATTGAAGCATTGGTATGTTCACAAAAAAAAGTAAAATATAAGGTCAAAACCATGGGAACGCAGGGAGCAGACAAAATATACCTAAACACCGAAACTGATTTTGCCCTACGGAAATGTACCAAAATGAATGAGTGCAGATTCCTACTGTCATTCATCACATAGGACAGTAAAGAAATACACAGCTTTTCCCAAGATAGGGCATCACACAGGAGCTCCTCCCTAAAGCTAGGACCAAAATTTCTGTCCTCAGTATAAACAAGAATCAGAGGTAAATTAGTCCCATTTCACATTCCCTGGAAATGGCAAATAAAAATGACTTGAGATTGGACAGATTTAAAGAAACTCAATCATTAATGATTTACAGCAATTAATTTAAAAATTGTTTAAATGTGCAGTCCAAACATACATCCAAACACCTTTAGGCCAAGAATTAACATAATGTGGTCCCAGAATGGTGGTGTCTTTAGTAGACTCACAAAAAAATTCAAATTCTCTTTGGCAAATTTTCTTCTTACTAATCCTCAAAAGTGCACAAAAATAATTTTCAGAGAAAAATAAATATTTGTCATTCAAAGGCATCTAAGTACGCAAGGAAATGATATTCCACCATCTGAAAGGAAAGCAGAACAAGAGTACAAACAGATCCACAAAGTTTCATTAGTAGAAATATCACTGTTAGATTATAAAGCAAATTTGCTTTAAAAAAATTTAAAATAAAATGAATATATTTTTAGGAGACTAAAAAATTGATGTAGCAAATTCGAAAAGTAGTTTGTATAAAAATATAGTATTTTAAATTAAAAACTCAAAAATGAACTCATCAGATTAGACATGGCCATGGTGAGAGTTCATAAATATTTCAGAATGCATTACAGAAAATTTTAAAAAATGCAAAATGTGGACAGAATCATTAAGAGACATGGATGATACAGTGAGAAAGTGTAGCATGTGTGTAGTGAGTGTTCTCATACAAGAATAGAACTGGGAAGGGAGAATATGTGATGGTATTTTGGCTGAAAGTTCTCTAGACTTTTGTAAGACACTAATCCGCATGTTCAAAAATTCCATGCATGCTAAGCAAGCTACAATGGAGATAAACCTACACCTACGTATCTCCTAGAGTAATAGTAAACAATCAGGAAGGGAAAAATATTTCACTTAGCACTAGAAAAATCAAATTACCTTTAATCATATTGAAATCTGAAAGAATGAAAGGTAAAATAATAGTATTTGTTAAAAATAATAATGCCATTCTGAAATTCTCAAGCAAGAAAAATATTCATCAACCTATGGCTAAATAACATATTTAGAGACAAAAAACAAAACGCCACCAGCAGAATTCCACTAAAGAAACTAAAGAGAAACTCTGAAAACATGCTTCAGAAAGGCTGAAGTTCTGAAATCAGAGAATGAACACAGAGCAAAATATACTGTAAACATACAGATAGATCTAAATAAAAAATTAGGTGTTGAAACAAAAAGATATTCAAAATTAGATAAGCACTGCAATATGTATGTTAGGAAGCAAATTATTAGGGCTGAAGTATTCAAAGACCCCTTAATTGTCCGACAAGAGCAGAAAGGTGAGTATGACTTTGCAACTCTTTTTTTTTGTTTTTTTGAGAAGGAGTCTCACTCACTCTTTCGTCCAGGCTGGAGTGCAGTGGCGCCATCTCGGCTCACTGCAACCTCTGCCTCCCAGGTTCAAGCAATTCTCCTGCCTCAGCCTCCTGAGTAGCGGGGATTACAGCCGCGTGCCACCATGCCTGGCTGATTTCTGTATTTTTAGTAGTGACGGGGTTTCACCATGTTGGTCAGGCTAGTCTCCAACTCCTGACCTCATGATCCACATGCCTCGGCCTCCCGAAGTGTTGAGATTACAGGCGTGAGCCACGGCGCGCGACCGACTTTGGAACTTTAATAAATTCGCTGGACATTATGCATTTCTCTGTTGTATCTATGAAAACAATAAAAATAAGTCATAATTTAAAAACAAGAAGACAGAAACTAATAGGAGAAAATGAGACATTTTATATATATATATACACAACAAATTAATAAAACAAATTAAGTATAAATGATCAAAGATTAACTTAAACCTAAGTACACGATGTTTCTATTAAAATACAAAGATTGGCAAAATTAAAAAAATCCGTCTCTATCATAGTTACAAGAGAGGCAACTAATATATAAATTTACAGAAACTTTGAAATTCAAACAATACAGATACTGTGTATATATGATATACATACATACTACATGAATATAATTTTTTAAAAAGTTGCTATGCAGACAAAATAGAATGTAAGTTAGAAACATTTATTAAAATAAGTTAGTCTAACCAGTGTGATAAAAATTTTAAGTTATTAAGATGTGATGACTTAAATGTGCATTAGCCTGATACATATATACATAAATACACACACAACACACTCTCACACACACACACACACACACACACGTATTTAGAGAGTCAAATTATATAAAGCAAAAATATCAGAAAGTAAGTAGAAATGGATAAGCCCCCAAATCATTATAGACATTTCAAACACACATCTTTCAGTAATAGATAAAAGAAAAAATTAAAAGAGTAAGTTTTAAAAGAAGCTAGTGGATTTTAAAAAGGGCAAATGTTTTATAAGGAACATGAATATTATAATTCATGTTATTTTCATGTTCATACAGAATACTTACAAAAATTAACATTTTCTAGACCATAACACAAATTCAAACAATTTTCACGGAAATAACGTGACACAGAATATATTTCCTAAACAAACAGCAATGAAGGTAGATATCAATACAAAAAAGAAAGCTAGAAACATAAGTCTAATAATATTGGTTGGAAGCTATTTTAATGAATATTGAAATATTATAAAGGTCAATAGTCAATACAATGAACCAAACACTTTTTTAAGGCCACTAAGATGCAAGTATAATGTGTAATGCCTCCTTTTATAAGGAGTAAATCTGTAACATCACCTGGGCTATTTGACAACTGCAAAGTGAATGTGAGAAGGAGAGAAACAGTGAGAGAGAGAGAGAGAGATAAAACCAGTAAAATAAACATAAAGAACGAAGGAAATATCCAGGCGCCATGGGTCACGCCTGTAATCCCAGCACTTTGAGAGGCCGAGGCAGGTGGATCACCTGAGGTCAGGAGTTCGAGACCAGCCTGGTCCAACATGGTGAAACCCATTCTCTACTAAATACACAAAAATTAGCCTGGCATGGTGGCATGCAGCTGTAATCCCAGCTACTCGGGAGGCTGAGGTGGGAGAATTGCTTGAATGTGGCGGGTGGAGGTTGTAGTGAGTAGAGATCATGCCACTGCACTCCAGCTTGGGCGACAGAGCAAGACTCTGTCTCAAAAAAAAAAAAAAAAAAAAAAAAAAAAAAAAAAGAGGAGGAACCGGTACATGAAAAAGCAGAATTAAAGCCACAGAGTATATATTTAAAAATGCAAAAGCTCACTTTTTCAGAAAAATATTAAAATATTAAATCTAACAAATATCTAGGTAGACTGATGGAGAAAAATACAGAAAATGCACAAAAAACCAATTACCTGGAATGCAAAGGTTACAAAACGTCAGCAGTTGTAGATTTTAAATAAGCAATGACTTTGAGTTCAACCATGATGGGGTATATTGAAAAGAATCTCTCAGAAAAAAAGAAAAAAAACTGTTATAAAGCTATGTATAAAATGTTAAGCACTATTAAAGTCTTCCAATTATACCAGTTATGGAGTTATTTGTCTTGGACTAACTCTCCTGAAAAGAAAAAAACAAAACAAAACCTAAAAACCCGGATAAAATAGCCTACCGTGGGCAATGGCAATGCAACCAAGCAGGTAGGACATGGGTGCTACATTCTCTTTGTCAGAACACAAAGCATTCATACACTCTTCTCACCCTCACTCTCACCTTTTAATCTTAGATCTACTATTAAAAGTATTCAACATTACTATCAATCCTTTGGCCAAAATTTCTTTACTCACATTTTGCTTGATGCACTTGGATAGACTGTTCAAGAAAGTGTGAGTAGTGAATTCCTCAAACTCTTGCATATTTAAAATTACATTTTTGAACCTTGATGCTTGAAGTGTAGCTTGGGTAACGGGTGGGCTTTAAGCCAATTTTGGCATGCAAGGGGTTGAGTTTATTAGGCATCAGCACCTCTGAAAATCGTGGGGATGCAGGCTTAATTTCAACACTATTCTAAATACTTGAAAGATATTATATAACTCTTTAATAAACTCCTGTGTCTACAAATGGTTCACATTAACTCAATATCCATGATTAAACATCTATAAAATCAAGGCACTGTTATTTAGTGGAGACTTGCTGGCTATTCTATGAGAGGAGGTATTGTTATTGTAATCTCATCCTCTCATAAAAGTGTATCATATTACTCATAACCAGCCCTTCATATTCTATTCCTATTTTGGTATTTAAAAATAAGATATCTTTGAAACACTTGAATTCAAATCTGAATAGTTTTTAAAATGTCAATGAAATGCCATTTCTTCATGCTTGAACAAATACAAATTGACTGAAGTGCTTCTCTTCAAACTTTCTGGAACATTTTTTATCTAAATTCTAGGAACAATCACAATAGGTTTTAACCACAAATGTGAGAATGTTCTAAATGTTAGGGTGGAAAAATTTTTAAAATAATTTTATAGTAATTTTTTCATCATAGTGACAGTGTGCTAAATTTTTTTCAGTCAAATATTACTGTGGACATTTAAGTCAAGATTCTAAGAAGCTGTTCTACAGTCCAAAATTGTTTCATATACAATATTATATATATGTATTTGCATAAAAAATTAATATAAGTGAGCCATTTCAAATAGTTGAGAGATTATTATATCAAAGATTCTTGATTATATAAAATGCCAATTACTTATGGGCACACATGCTTTTAATAATTACAAAGGCAGCTGTGGTTGATTCTACTCTTGCTACTGGCATTTATATGGACATAACATTATGGTCTGAAGAATATTTAGGCAAATTTATCCCTCATATGATCAGAAGAACAATGCAAGATAGTTTATATCTGAAAGGAAAAAATCTTTATATGGCTCTGAAAGCCTAAATCATTAACTACTTGGATAATAATTAGCATAAAAATACACAAACATGCCCTCTTCCTAGCAGTAAGTACACAGTGACAACAGAATCAAAGCATGTGGCTCCTCTTCTCTGCCCTTTCTAGATGGCACAATTCCTCATGAATCTAAGTGCAGTCATAGGGTGGATTAGGGTGACCTGCCATTTGTATGCAACTGATCTCTATTTTGGAAGCAATTAATGTAAAAATATATTTTTACAAGATAATTTCAAATTTCGGGGCAAACTAGCATGGTTTCACTCCTTTGTAACATTTTTTCTAAGGTTGGAAAAGTAAGGCTTTAGTACGATTTTTAATAATAAGTTTTCAAAGTGAGACGCAAAATGGTGGCGCCAACACATTTCAAGTCTGCTATATTTTGAATACACTTATTGGAGAAAAGACCTTCTCATCATTTTTCTCTTACAGGAAAGGAAATAACATGTACAGTTGACCCTTAAGCAACACGGAGGTTGGGGTGCTGGCCCCCCTGCACAGTAGAAAACCCACTATAACTTTGACTCCCCCAAAACTTTACTAATAGCCTACTCTAAGCCTTACAAGTAACACAAGCAGTCAATTAACACATATTTAACATGTTATATTTCTTATATACTGTATTCTTAACATGCCAGAGAAAAGAAAAAGAAAATCATAAGGAAAATATATTTACTAGTTATTAAATGGAAGTACATGATCAAACAGATCTTCATCCTCATCCTTTTCATGGGCAGGGTGTGGAGAAGGATGTAGAATTGTTGGTTTTGCTAAGTGGACCTGCACAGTTCAAACCCCTGTGGTGCAAAGGCCAACTGTATAGCCATTGAATAGCAATTTAGTTTTAGAAATTAACCTCACTAAAATACTCTTAGAAGGATGCCAAGAAAAAAATGAATAAGTATTTTGGTTCATCTATTTCATCATTTCATTTCATCATTTCACTTCCTCATTTCATCATTTCATTTCATTTCCTCCTTTCATCATTTCATTGCATCATTTCATCATTCCATCTTATCATTTCATCTCATTCTTTCATTTCCTTTCATCATTTCATCATTTCATCTCAACATTTCATCATTTCACTTCATCTCATCATTTCATTTCATCTCATGATTTCATCTCATCATTTCATCTCATCATTTTATTTCATATTTTCATCTCATTTCATTTCATCATTGCATCTTTTTATCTCAATTCATTTATTTCATCAATTCATTTCATTTATTTCATCATTTCATCATGACTTCATTTCATCATTTCATCATTTAATATCATTTTATCATGTCATTTCATTTCATATCATTTCATCATTTCATCTTTCCATTTCATCATTTCATCATTTGACTTATCATTTCATCATTTCATCATTTGACTTATCATTTCATTTCATTTCCTCATTTCATCATTTCATTTCATCCTTTCATCATTTCATCTCATCATTCCATCCTTTCATTATTTCATCATTTCATCTCATCATTGCATTTCATTTCATCATTTCACTTCATCTGATTTCATAATTTCATATCATGATTTCATTTCATCTCATCATTTCATCTCATTTCATCATTTCATCTCATCATTTCATTTCATCAATTCATCATTTCATCATTTCATTAATCATTTCACTTCATCATTTCATATCATTTCATCATTTGATCTTTTCATTTCATCATTTCATCATTTCACTTCATCATTTCATTTCATTTCATTTCCTCATTTCATTTCACCATTTCATTTCATCATTCCATTTCATCATTTCATCATTTCATCTCATTTCATTATTTTATTTCATCAATTCATTTCATTTCACTTCATCATTTCATCATTTGACTTCATTTCATCATTTCATTTCATCATTTAATATCATTTCATCATTTCATTTCATATCATTTCATCATCTTTCCATTTCATCATTTCATCATTTGACTTATCATTTCATTTCCTCATTTCATTTCATTTCATCCTTTCATCATTTAATCTCATTTCATCCTTTCATTATTTCATTTCATCATTTCATCTCATCATTGCATTTCCTCATTTCACTTCATCTCATCATTTCATAATTTCATGATTTCATTTCATCTCATCATTTCATTTCATCTCATTTCATCTTTTCATCTCATTTCATCATTTCATCTTTCATCTCATTTCATTTCATCAATTCATTTCATTTCATTATTTCATTAATCATTTCACTTCATTTCATCATTTCATATCATTTCTTCATTTCATCATTTGATCTTTTCATCATTTCATTTCATCATTTCACTTCATCATTTCATTTCTTCATTTCATTTCCTCATTTCATTTCACCATTTCATTTCATTTCATTCCATTTCATCATTTCATCATTTCATCTCATCATTTCATCCTTTCATTATTTCATTTCATCATTTCATCTCATCATTTCATCATTTCACTTCGTCTCATCATCTCATGATTTCATCTCATCATTTCATCTCATGATTTCATTTCATCTCATCAATTCATAGCATCTTTTCATCTCATTTCATTATTTCATTTCATTTCATCTTTTCATTTTGTCATTCATTTCATCATTTCATTTTGTCAATTCATTTCATTTCCTTATTTCATCATTTCATTATTTCACTTCATTTCATCATTTCATATCATTTCTTCATTTCATCATTTCATCATTTCATTTCACTTCATTTCATTTCACCATTTCATCATTTCATCATTCAATTTCTCATTTCATCTTATCATTTCATTTCATCATTTCATCTCATGATTTCATTTCATCTCATCATTTCATCTTTTCATCTCATTTCATTTAATCATTTCGTTTCATTTCACCTTTTAATCTCGTCATTGCATTTCATTTCATGTCATCAATTCATCATTTCGTCATTTCATTTCATTATTTCATCATTTCATCATTTCACTTCATAACTTCATTACATTTCATCTCATCATTTCATATCATTTCATTTCATCTTCTCATTTCATCATTTCATTGTTTCACTTCATCATTTCATAGCATTTCATTTCATCATTTCATCTTTTCATCATTTCATTATTTCACTTCATCAGTTCATTTCATCATTTCATTTCATTTCCTCATTTCATTTCACCATTTTGTTTCATCATTTCATTATTTCATTTCATCATTCAATTTCATTTCATCATTTCATTATTTCATTTCATCTCATCATTTCATCATTTCATCATTTCATTTCTTCATTTCTTCATTTCATCATTTCATCATTACGTTTCTTCATTTGATCATTTCATTTCATCATTTCATCATTTCATCTCATCATTTCATTTCATCATTTCATTTCATCATTTCATCATTTCGTTTCTTCATTTGACCATTTCATTTCATCATTTCATCATTTCATCATTTCATTTCATTTCAGTGATACATGTATTTAAGTGCTAATGTGATGCCCAAGAGACACCCTATTTCCCTTTGTAAAACACGTCCTTCAACAAAAGGCAACCTCTCATGGCTGGCTAAGTCTACAGGGATACCAGCCTCTCTTCAACCACCCAGTTTGATTTAGAACCTCAAACAGCACCTCAGTTTCATAAAAACCTAAAACATAAACACAACACTTGGTTGTAAGTGAGCCAACAGTTTCTTGTCTCTTTCTCTGCTCAAGGCTTAAGGCCGTGTCTCCCCAACTACGTTCAGTGGAAGAAAAGATCCCCTGGACAAATAAGTTTGAGAACTGTTGTTGCAGGACTTCTCAGAACCTTTAAAACACAAATCCTCATCCGCAGGGATCTTCAGGAGGGAGATGGCTGGTGCAGCACAACTTTCTTTCACAGGAGCATCTTGCAGAATACAGTATGAGATACAGAAAGGCTGCACTGAGTCTTTTTAAGGGCCCGGGCCTTGGTGCGGGTGGGGTAGGAGCTCTCCAGATAGCATCTAATGAGTAGGAACATTCAGGTGGCTTTTTTTTTTCCTTATTGGCAAAACTGTGTGTGCACCATGAATGAAGCTGGTCTCCCTTATCCATATCAAAACTAAACCCAAATTAATTGGCTAAATTGGGACTCAACACCTCCAGGAGCCACATGGAAGAAAGCCCCACCACACTTTAAAGTAGCTTACCTCATCATATTTGAGGAAAGCAAAACGCTTATGACCAGTATGCTGCTAATACAAGTCTACAGATAATGCTGTATGAAAAATTATTTTTCCCAATCATGGCTGGCATAGTCTACATTTCACATTACACTTTCCCCCCTTTTTTTAAATTTTAAGCACAGGTCTTTTTTTCTTCTTTTTTTAAATTTTAATTTAATTATACAAGACGGAGTCTCAGTATGTTGCCCAGGCTGGTCTTGGACTCCTGAGCTCAAGTGATACATCCGTCTCCGCCTCCCAAAGTGCTGGGATTACAGGCCTGAGACACTGTGCCCGGCCTTAAACACAAATCTTAATTCATTCTTACAACTATCCTGAGGTTAGAAAAATGGAAGGGGAAGAAAAATGGCAAGCAGGCAGGCTGACTTCGGCTTCATTATTTGGAAGGACAGTTTGCTCGGTTAAAACACACTACTGCCCACAAAGGCCAAGACAACAGAAAAATACAGACTTATATAAATAGATTTTATATGTGACAGCAGTTTGAATGGAGACTTTTTCAATGCAAATGACAAACAGCTGTCCTTGGGAATAAATGACAACGAATTTTTTTATCTCAACAGCTGTCCTGAGAGCACGTCTCTACATCTCTACCTGCATTCTGGAAACCGGGAGAAAGCCAAAACGGACGACAAGACACTAGATCAGCCGTGTCCAACCCTGTGACTACAAGGACTTTTCCGCCTATCTTTGGTGGTGGGTATCATCAAAATTCTGCACAAACCTTTTTTTTTTTTTTTTTTTTAAGCTCATTAGCTGTTGTTAGCATTAGTGTATTTTATGTGTGGCCCAGGAGCATTCTTCTTCCAATGTGGGCCTGAGAAGCCAAAAGACTGGACACCTGTGCACTAAATCAAAAGGCTATTCCTTCTGGAAGCAATTGTAAAGAATTTCTCACATTATCTTGACACGAAAACCAATGGATAGTGGGACAGAATGCAAAATCTTCAAGAATTTTTGTTGTTGTTGTTGTTGTTTTTGAGTCAAGGTCTTGCTCTGTGGCCCAGGCTGGAGTACACTGGTGAGATCACAGCTCAGTGCAGGCTCAAGTGCTCCTCCCGCCTCAGCCACAGTACTAGCTGGGACTACAGATGCGCACAGCCACCCCTGGCTAATATTTTATCTTTTGTAGAGACGGGGTCTCACTGTATTGTCCAGGTTGGTCTCAAACTCTTTGACTCAAGGGATCCAGGACAGGATAACAGGTGTGAGCCACCACACCTGGCCATGTGCATGAACTTTTAAGACAAACACAAGGCCCCACAAAAGGTAAGGTTTTCCCACCTAATTTCCAGGGGATCTTTTGGTGCAAGGATGAGAAGCCCTTAAAAGTACACAGACAACTCCAAAGATTCAAGACAGTTCATTCGGGCTGAGCCAGCCCACTGGGCAGACAGACCTTCAAGAAAGGCCCACGCATGACATACACCAGATGGCTCTCCAAGAATCGCTTCAGTCCTCAGGGTCCCTAAGGTACTGGACAGAGCTAGGAAAGCAAACCCATTTGCTTCTTCCTGCACGAAACCCCTTGAGGTCAAGACCCCACAATCAGACGAGGATGGAGTGGCTCACCCTCAGTCAACAGGCCAGACTCAAGGTGGTATAATGACTTAACCAAGGGTGTGGGACTCCAGGTCTGACTCCCAACTCAGTTCTCCTTTAATAACCACACTTTGGTAATTCTCCTTAACAGGGGTTCCTGGCAAGTCAGTTCTCCCTCGGGCCTTTGGTTTCCTCACCTACAAGATGAGAGGGCCGGACCAGATGGAAATTCGGGGGTAAGGGGATGTCCGCGCGCAGCCCACCCTCACCCTCCCCGCCCCACGGGACCCTAGCGCCTCCATCCCAGTTCCCACCAAGCACCCGCCCCACAAATCCTGCCCAAGGTGAGGGCTGGTCCCGGGTCTCTCGGCTGCCGCATCAGCGAGTGCAGGAGGGAGGGGAAGCCTCCAAGGGCGCGACGCGGGCTCAAGGATGCAACTCGGCCAGGAGTGAACTGGGGCCCCAAGGGAGGTGTCCGGGCCGCTGCTCGAGCCCAGCCCGGGTCCCCAAACCCCTTACCTCCAGGGTCCGTATCTCCTGCTCGGTGAGGTCGTTGGACACAGCGCACTTGGTGCGCAGCCCGCGCAGGCTGCCAATGGAGATGCCGATGAGCTTCTGGAGCTGTCCGCACTGCTGCAGCCCCGGGCTGGCCGGGGCCCCTGCGCCACCCTCAGCGGCCGCTGCATCACCCCCGCCACCGCCCTCCTTCTTCTCTCCCATCGCCTCCGCGCGCAGTGCCGCCCTATGCAGGCCACAGCGGCCGAGGCAGGGAGCCCGGGGCTCGGGCGCCTAGGCAAGGAACCCCCGAGCCGGGAGAGCCCCTCGGCGCTGCCCTTGCCAGGACGCCAGTAGAGCTGGCAGCGGAGTCTGCCGCTCCCGCCCTCAGAGCCGCGGCGGCGGGAGCAGAAAGCCGCGGCGGCAAAAAGCGGCGGCGGGGGCAAAAAGCCGCGGCGGCAGGGGGCAAAATGCCGCGGGAGCAAAAAGCCGCGGCGGCGGGGGCAGAAAGTCGCGGCGGCGGGGGGCAAAAAGCCGCGGCGGCGGGGGGCAAAAAGCCGTGGCAGCAGAAAGCCGCGGCGGCGGGCGCAAAAAGCCGCGGCGTCGGGGGCTAAAAGCCGCAAAAAGCCGCGGAGGGGGGAGCGAAAAGCAGTGGGAGCTGGGGCAAAAAACCACAAAAAGCCGAGGCAGCGGCGGCAGAAAACCTCGGCAGCGGGGGCAAAAAGCTGCAGCGGCAAAAAGCGGCGACGGGGGCAAAAAGCCGCGGTGGCAAAAATGCGCGGCGGCGGGGGAAAAAGCCGCGGCGGAGTGGGGCGAAAAGCAGTGGGAGCTGGGGCAAAAAAACCACAAAAAGCCGCGGCAGCGGCGGCAGAAAACCTCGGCAGCGGGGGCAAAAAGCCACGGTGGCGGGGGTAAAAAGCAGCGGTGGCAAGAAGCCGCGACGGTGGGGGCAAGAAGCCGCGGCGGCCCAGGCAAAAGGCCGCAAAAGCCGCGGCGACGGGGGCGAAAAGCCGCGGCGGCGGAGGCAAAAAGCCGCGACGGCAGGGGGCAAAAAGCTGCAAAAGCCTCGGTGCGGGTGAAAAAAGTCGCGGCGAGAAAAAGCCGCTGAGGCGGGGGCAAAAAGCCGCGGCGGCAGGGGCGAAAACCAGCAAAAAGCCGCCGCGGTGGGGGCAAAAAGCAGTGGGAGCTGGGGTAAAAAACCACAAAAAACCGCGGCAGCGGCGGCAGCAAGCCACGGCGGCGGGGGCAAAAAGCCGCGGCGGCAAAAACCCGGGGTGGCAAAAAGCCGCGGCGCCGGGGGACGAAAAGCTTCAAAGGCCGCTTCGGCGGGGGCAAAATAGTGGAAAGGAGGTAGAAGGCTGGCACAGCTTGGCATTGCTGGAGTGTGATGTGATAGGAAAAGTGCACCCGAAAACAAAGATGTAAGTGGGCTTGACTCAGTGCAGCTAAGAACCTAGATGTTATCTTGAGGGTATTAACTAATAAGCAGTTTAAATCAGAATGGCACATTCTGATTTGTTTTTTGTATGTTCACATTTGGCAGACATAGATACTGTTTGAAGAGAGGAAAGTCAGTAAATAGACGTAACAAACTTGAATATGTGCAAAGTCTAGAAACAAGAGACTAGGGGGATAAGAACCTTTCAAAAATGCAAGATTTGAAAACTGGCTGGGGGATGAGGAAAAGGCAGGTCTTTAAGGTCAATCCTTGTTTTGCTTTAAGTTGTTAGGGGGTGGTTTTATCACATATTGTAGAATATGTCATTTCAGTTTTGAACATCTTGAGTTAAATTGTCCTAACATATCTTATGAATTTGGTTTTCTTCCCTGGGAAGCTGATATTTCAAAAACTTAAAGACTATAGATTTCCAACTTGTATCCAATTTATAAAATTATCTCTAGGCTGCTGGTTTCAGGAGGAGGCTCACTGAATATTCTATTTGCAGAGAATATATCAGGAGTTAACAGCCTCAATTTTTGTGGACAACCAGTTAACTAAGCCACCTCTTAGTGTATTTAGTTGGGAAATCTTAGCTGAAGATATTCATTAATGAACCAACAGTGACTAAAAAATTCATTATTTAAGTACATTTCATTGTAATTAATTTGAATTTAAGTAGCCATATACAGCTAGTATTTACTACATTGAACAATGCAAATAAGAGGAAAAAATTAATAACCATCTCTAATATCACATGCCAAAATCCTAATCAATTTATTCTAGCTAAAGGAGTTTATCAGAAGCAGCAATTGAAAGTACCAACTAAACCAGTTGGGGTTAATTCACTGTCATTCTCTCAGAACCATCTCTTCTCTGAACAAAACAAGTACAAGAGTTAATTGTGAATCTGCATTTTCCTTGCCTATTTTAAGGTTTGGATGTTGACACTAATTTGTGAAATCCCGCCTGTGGTGTGATATTTGATTTTCCTTGCTTTTTGTTAGGGCAAGAATGCTTCAGCTCTTAATTTAAAATTATGTTTCTCCCTCCTAGGTTGAGTGAACTTAGAATGCATTCTCTGACATATCCAAGTTTTTGTTAATATGGATCTGGGGAAAAAAGCATACTTAATTAGCTAAGACTTCTTATTCTAGGCTTGACCCTGTGTTCGACATCTTTTGAATTTGTAGTTGCATAGGCTGCTCTCTGACACTGGTTGGTGATCTTGAAGCTATATTAACATTAGGGGAGGTGGTGTATTAGCATTAGAGGTATCCTTGCAAGGAAAAACTTGTCTTATCTCAATACGTCTTTTTTTTTGCACACAAGAAAGTCAATGTTTGAGTCTTCTAAAATCTTCCTATTTCCAAGTTGCAGAGTACCATTGATTCCTAAACAAAGATCTAATTTTTGACTCAGAGACGTGGCAAGGTAGTGAATAACCATTATAATTTAACAACCTTCAAGATAAAATTATCTCTCTGATATTTAGATTTTGCCCGATTATTAAGATATTTGAGTGTTTCTTTAAGAATGGAACACTCTAGTCTCTTGAGCAGAGATTATAAAGGCCTCAGATGATCATTTTTTATGCTCTTTTCTTTAACACCTTCAACACAGTTGGAAGCAGCCAATATTCCCCAGAGTTGTTGTGTTTTTTAAACCAAATGCATGGTTCAGTGGTAGAAAACTGGGCTGATCCAAGCTGTTTTCAGTAAACACTTCATTTCAGGTGACCTATTTCATATGAAATAATCTCTAGATCCTGTCTTCAAAACTAACTAGATCAGATAACCTACCCTAGATTTTCCCCTTTTAGGGTCTGTTAGCTGCAGTCACTTTTGTGAAAATGATTGCAGTGAAAAGATAGAGTTGTAGATGGGGAAAATGTTTTGACTAATTTAAGCATAGTGGTATTTAATATGAGAATTTAAGTTACACACATTTGAAAATTACAATGGAGTCTCTTGGCTGAGCTTTAAAAAAAATAGCGTTTAGGCTAAAAAGGGAACTGCTACCTCTCCTAAAATCAGAAAGATGTTACAGTAATTCTCCATTCTCTAGAATTATCAGGAAGCACCTTTGTGATGATTTACTTTTGCTCTTAGGAGTGTGAGCCTGTGTAGTCGTGGAACCATCAATTAGAATGATGGCTTTCTGATCCCAAAGTCATTCATTCTGAAAACAATATTTTTCATAAAATTGAAAGTGAGAAGTTTTGATCTTGCCATTCCCAAGTAACTCTCTTAATAAGAGGCATCAGCATGCTTCAGTGACAGATGTCACCTTCCAGTGCTGAGAGTCATCTTTGAGTTCTCCATTTCACTCCCTACACTCCAATTTAGCTGCAGTTCTTTTGGCCAGTCCTATGAAATACATCCTGGCCTAACGACTTCTCACCACTAATACCACTCATACTCACAGCATTCTCACCTAAGTCACTACCTTTTTTCTCTGGATTACAATAGCCTCCCAATTTATTTGCTCACATAACCATTTATTCTACACAGTGCACCAGATACACCCCTTTGAAATGCAAACGCAATCATGTTATTCTCTGGTGAAATTATCTCATACATTCCTATCGCATTTAAAATTAATTCAGAATCATCCCATGATTATCAAAACCCTACATGCTCTTCCACAACATGGTTTACTTCCAAGATATCTCTTCAAATTTTTTTTCGCTGTACTGAATTGGTGACTAATAGTCATATTTTTGTTTTTGTTCAAAAAGTCTTGACTTGTAAATTTTTCAGTTTCTTCTTTATCCACAGGTAACTCTTTCCTCACAAGGTGAATTGCTTGCTTCCTTGAGTTCTGCTCTCAAAGATACCCTTCATTTTCTACCTAATATTAATAACTGTAATCACTCATTATTCCATTACTATGCTCTATAGTGTATACAACTACTGTTCTTTGTCATGTCATTAACTAAATTATTTATTTGTTCCAGTAATGTATTCCATAAATATTGTACACCTAAAAATTATGTTATTTTTATTGCTGTATGCTCAGCTGCCCAATAACAGTTTGAGGATTAACATATTTGTTAAATGCACAAATACATTCTTTCAGAAGTGTTAGTTGAATAATTTTATATTAAACTCCCTATATACGTACAATATGAATTAGAGAATTCAGAATAAACATTCCATTGGAAAAAACTAAACAATTTGTTATAAAACATCCTTAAAAGCATCAGAAAGTTAATACAGCAATGAAGAATTACAGGACCAAATTAAGAATGGTATGGAAGCCTGTTTGTGAGGCTTATGTTTGGGTTATCTCTTTACTTAGAATGACTATAAATCTCAAAAGAGAACTAAAGGGAGAAATAACCATATCTACTAACATGGTAAGGGTATTTAAACATCTCTTAGTAATTGGGAAAGTTGAAAGAAAAGAAAAAAGAGAAAGGGAGAAAGAAACAGAGCGAAAGGGATAATGAAGGAGAGAAGAAGAGAAAGGAAGAGGAAGAAAAGTAAAAAGAGGAGGGGGAGGGAGGAAGAAAGAAAGGTGGAAAGAAAGAATGGTAAAGTTTTTAACATAATTTATCCTTCTGGAATATGAATGTTGGTCTATTTGATGGTGTCCCACAGATTCCTTAGTCTCTGCTCATTTTTTATTTTTTATTCTTTCTGTTTCTCAGAGTCAGTATTTTCCATTTTCTTATCTTCATGATTTCTTCTGCGTGGGCAAATATACTCTTAAATCCCTCTGTTGATTTTTTAATTTTTATCATTGTAGTTTTCCACTCCAGAATTTGTTATCTTTGTTGATATTCCTACTTTTTAATACTTTTTTCTGATTCCTTTCTTTCTTTGTTTATGTTTTCCTTTTGACATTTGAGTATAATTAAGAGAGTTGTTTAAAAGTCTTTGTCTAGTAAGTTTGATGTCTGGGTTTCCTTAAAGATATTTTCTGTCAATTTATTTTGTTCCTTTGAATGAGCCATACTTTCCCATTCTTTGTATGCCTTGTAACTTTTTTTGAAAACTGCACATTATAATAATTATAATTACTATGTGGTTACTCTGTAAATCAGACCCCCCCCTACAAACACACTAATGTTTTGTGGTTTTAAATTTTATTTACTTATTACATTGTTAAAGTTTTTATTTTTAGTGAAATTTTCCAAAGTGATTTACAAAACTGTTTGCTTTATAAGGTGTGGTCACCGAAGTCTTTTTGTTTCCTTAATAAATGTTAAGCTAATGTTTTGACAGTGATTTTCTTGTATGTCAGGAACTAAGCAAACAGGCAAATACAACAAAAACAAAAAGAAAAACAAGTAATCATTAGCCAGCAAAATATGTCTCTAGGCCATGCAGACTGGCTTTGTGCTGGGTTCTTTAAAGCCTGCACAAAGTGTATGTTCACTCTTGCACTGAGTGAAGTTCAAGTTCACTCTTGCGCAGAGCTTGCACTGAGGGGAGGGATCGGCCAAGGTAAAAGTGTAGGCTCTTCTTATGACATTTGTCATCATGTGGCTTAACCTATGCATACATGTGACTTTCTAGACTCTCCCATGTACGTGAATGTTGAATGTCTTAGTTTTCCAAATACTCTTCTCCAACTTTTCTTCCTGTGCTGAAGGTGATCTACTGTATGTGTAAACTCTAATTTTTGCCCTAAGCGTCTGTGGTTTCTTAGGTCTCCTTGCTGAGTTTCTTAATAATGTCCATTCCTTATCTGTTCTGTATTCTAGCAACACAGAAAAAAAAAGCCTTTCACTAGTCCTTCAGGTATCCCCCAGACCAGTCAGAACAGACACATAATAATTTGCGGGTAAGATCTTCTCTTGTTCCTTTGGGCGATGGACCAGGCTTCCTCACTGGGAACGTGGGCTTCTGACACTTCAGAACTGCCAATTTGCTGGGGCAAAGGCAAGTTAAAAATGTCGTAAAGTTTTCCAGTTGTCTTTTCCTTGAGTCTGCTTTCACTTGGTTGTTGTAATCTTTTGACCATTTTCCAGAGTTTTGGCAAAGTTTATTCGGACAGTTTCTCTTAGTTGTGTGATGTTTCTGTGGGGAAATGAAAGATTGCAGCTGTCTCCACTGCCATTTTGCTGATGCTCCTCTTTTGTGAATTTTTGCTTCATGTTCTTATGCTTTGTTATTAGTTCATGTATTAGTTTTCTAGGGCTGCCATAACCAAGTAACACAAACTGGGTGCCTTGAACAACATACATTTATTGCCTTATAGTCCTGGAAGCTAAAAGTCTGAGATTGAGGTGTCGGCAGGGATGGTCCCTTCAAGGGCTATGAGAGAAAGTCTGTTCTATGCCTTGTTTCTAGCTTCTGGTGGTTTTGTGGCAGTCTTTGGCATTCCTTGGCTAACCTCTGCCCTCATAATCACATGGAACTCTCCCTGTGTGTATGTCTCCCTCTACTCAAATTTCTTCTTTTTATAAGGACATCAGTCATATTGAATTCAGGCTCATCTGATTTTATCTTAACTTGATCACCTGCAAGGAACCTATTTCCTAATGAGGTCATATTCAGTGGTTAGGATTTCAGCATCTGTATAGAGGAAACAATTTAGCTCAAATCTGTGCATACATGATTGTAATAGCTATGTCTTCCTAAAGCGTTGACCTCCTTATTCCTACAATAAAAATTTTTAAAATCCTATTCACATTTTTAATAGTCTATATTGTGTTATGAGTATAATGAGTTCAGTGTTTTTATGATTGCTCTTTGCATGATATTTTTTGTCATCTTTTTACTTTCAATCCATTAGTATCCTTGCATCTCAGCGTATATTGGGATCACTTGTTTTAATCCAGTCTGACAATCTCTGCCTCTTGATTGGATTTTAATCTGCTCACATTTAATATTATAATTGGTATAATTCTATTTATGTCTGCCATTTTACTATTTGTTTTGTATATTTCTCAAATATTTTTCTTTATTGCTTTATTTTGCAATGAATGAATATTTTCTAAAATAGGGAACTTTAGATTACTAATGAAATATTTTACTATATATTTTTGAGAATTTTTGTTGTTGTTGTAAGTTTACCATGTAGGTATATGGAAAATTAATTACTCAAATCATCTTCCAATTTATACTAGTAAACTTTTAGTAATACATAGAAACATCATTCTTATTCAAATCTCTTTTATTTCCTCCATTTGAAAGTATTATCACTTTACACATTACATCTATTAAAGTTACAAAGCCAACAATGCATTTTAGTAATTATTACTTTACCATCTAGAGTGATTATCTTATCACGATACATTTTTCTTCCAACTACCTCCTTTTTAATGTTACTGGGAAATATGTTATACACATATTACATTTCTACATGTCAAATACTCAGCAATACGTTATGCACATATTATTATTATTATCATTGAGACGGAGTCTCCCTCTGTCACCCAGGCTGGAGTGCAGTGGCACTCCAGTGCCACTCCAGTGAGCTCCGCTCACTGCAAGCTGCATCCCCCGGCTTCATGCCATTCTTCTGCTTCAGCCTCCCGAGTAGCTGGGACTACAGGCGCCCGCCATCACGCCCGGCTAATTTTTTGTATTTTTAGTAGAGACGGGGTTTCACTGTGTTAGCCAGGATGGTCTCGATCTCCTGGCCTCGTAATACGCCCGCCTCAGCCTCCCAAAGTGCTGAGATTACAGGTGTGAGCCATCGTGCCCGGCCATTATACACATATTATTTTATAAACAATTTATGATAAAGAGAAAAGATGCATTTCTACTGTCTTTTATAATGTTAATATTACCTATACCAGTGCTTTTTTAAAAATGTGGATTCAAATGACTGTCTTGTGTAACTTGCTTTTAGCCTTAGGAATTTATTTTGGTGTTTTTGTTTTTGTTTTTTTTTTTTTGTATGGTAGGTCTGCCAGCAACAACTTCAATTAATATTTCTGTTTATCTGGCAAAGTCTTTGTGTTATCTTCATTTTTGAAAAATAATTGCTGGATAAGGAATTGGTGGCTGACAGTTTTTTTTCCTTTGCATCTTTTGAATATATTATTCTACTGCCTCTTGCCTTCCATTGTTTCTGTTAAGTCAGCTGTTAATCTTACAAAACATAGGTGCTCAAATAACAAACATGTGCATGAATATTTACAGCAGTAATAATCATACAGTCAAAAAGTGGAAACAATCCATAGGCTTGTTGACTCATAAATGGACACCCAATTTTTAGCTATAACAAAGAAAGAAGTACTTATACATGGTATAATGTGGGTGAAATTTGAAAGCATTAAGTGCACAAAAAGACAAATATTACCTGATTTTATTCAGATGAAACATCAGGAATTGGCAAATCAATTGGGATATAAATCAGATTAGTGGTCATTAGGGCTCAGGGAAGCAGAATAGGGTGTAACAACTTTATGGATAATGGGTTTTCAGAAGGGACAGGATGAAATTGTCCTGGAACATTGTGAATATACTAAAAGCAACTGCATTGTATGCTTTAAAATGGTTGTTATTAATTTTATATTATGTGATTTTTACCTTAAAAAACAAAAAAAAGAAAATAGCCTTACTCTATACATAATAAACTCAAGATGTGTTACAAATTTATATGTGAAATCCAAAATACTATAATATTTAAGGAATAGCTCAGTAGAATAACACTAAAATTTAATGTAATGAAATATTACCTTAAAAAAGAAAAAAGCACAGTAATTAAAAAGGGAAATATAGTTAATCTTTTTTCTCTCCAATAAGCATGCCATTAACTGAGGAAAAAGTCAAGCTGCAATTACGTAAACTACATTTTCTAAAACCATAAAGAAAATAAGAAATGAAAAGGGATTTGGGGAAAAAATCCAAAGGTACAGTCAACTACACAAAAAAAGCTTAGTCTCATTAATCATTATGAAAATGCAAATTGTAACTGAAATAAGATAAAACTACAATTCAAAGAGAAAGCCTAAAATTTCAACCCCCAAAAAATTCTGGGTTTTGGAGAGCTGGGATGGAATAGGGCTCCTAACCTTACAACAATGAAAGAACCCAACTAACTTCAAAGTCATGACTTTATTTTTATAGCAACCAGGTTGCCAAGAACTGAGTCAAAATGTGAGGGAAAACAAGCACTTGCAAGGAGAAAGAGGACAGATGCACTTACATAGGACAGATGCAAATAGACACCAGTATGACAAGTAAAGCTGGAATAATCATTAAATTCCTGAAGACAAAGTGGGGCCGGTCAGATTGGGAGACCGCTGACAGCTGCAGAAGTTGGGAAAGATCCATCATCTTGAAAACTTTTTCCCCAAAACCCACTGTGATCTCTCAAGCAATTGGTAAGGAATCCAAGAGAGTCTGTATATGATACAGATCAGGGAGAGCAGAACACTTGGGAGGTGACCAGGTCTTGGGGGCCGAGCCCTTATGAATGGGATTAGTGCCTTTATAAAAGAAGCTCAATGGAGTTCTTGTGTGCCTTCCACTATGTGAGGATGTAGAAAGAACGCCCCATCTATGAACCACGAAATGGGCTCTCATCAACACTGAATTTGTGAGCATCTTGACCTGAGATCTTACAGCCTCAAGAAGTGTGAAAAAAGAAATATCTATTGTTTTTTAGTCACCCAGTTCATGTTATTTTTTTATAAGAGTCCAAATAGACCAAGATATTCCACTTAACATGTAGGGGAAGGCAACAAAAACTGCCACACTTAGAATACTCCTGATGCTGGGAGTATGAAAACAGGAAAAACAAAACTGCTCTTGAAGGTGAAGGAGGAATACCACTGAGCTCACCAACACAGCCAGGAAAAGAACAGAAGTGTGAGAAGGCTACATTCCTGGGACCCTGAGAAAAAGCACCTGCATAAGACTGAGATGAAATTACCTACCCTAGTTACAACTGAAATTCCAAAAAGAAAAGAGGAAAAAATAACGGAGCAAAAGAAATATTTTTCAAAATAACTGCCAAAAATATTCTAAAAGAAGTGACAGAAAATCAAACTTCAGATATAGGAAACTCAGAGAATGTCAAATAGAACAAAAATAAATAAGAATTACATCTTGAAAAATCTTTAAAAAATCAAGTCTAAATTTTACATCTTGCTCCAAATATATAGAGATATAAATAGGTTATCATCAAGATATGGAGAATGCCATATCATGGAAACACTAAAATAAAGCTGTGGAAAGACTACATTGATATTAGACACAACAGAGTTCAGAACAAGAAATAGTATCAGAGATGAGAGATAATAGATAATACAATAATCAATTCTCAAGAAGTTGTAAACATCCTACTAATTAGGGTATGCAGCTAACAACAGAACCTCCAAATACATGAGGCAAAACAGGAAGGAAATCAAAGGCGAACTAGAAAAATCCAAAATTATATTTGCAGACTTCAACACTTTTGTCTTAGTAATGGACAGACTAGGCACAAACTCAGTAATCATATGGAAGATAAGAACAATATCACCAACAAGACATCCAATCTTCAATGGCAGATACTCTTTCAAGTGAAAAAAAAAAACAGTATGGCATATTCTCTAACAAACCCAGAATTTCTAATATTTGCGGTCTTCCTTCCTTCTTTCCATCTTCCTTTCTCTTCTCTTCCCTTCCCTTGCCTTCTTCCTTCCTTTTTTCTTTTCCTCCTTTTCTTTTCCTTTTTCTTTTCCTCTCTTTTCTTTTTTCTCCTTCCTTCCTTTTCTCTTATTCTTCCTTCCCTCCTCCCTCCCTTCCTTTCTCCCTCCCTTTTCTTCCTTCTTTTCTCTTATTCTTTCTTTCTCACTTTCTTTTCTTTCCTTTTCTCCTTTCCTCCCTCCCTCCTTTTATTCCTTCCTCGCTCCCTTCCTTTCCTCCTTTTTCCTTCCTTCTCCTCTTTATTTTCTTTGTTTCTTTGCCTTCCTCCCTTTTCCCATTCTCTCTTCCTCCTTTCCTTCCTCCCTTCCTTTCTTTCTTTCTCACTTTCTCTTCTTTCTTTCTCTTTCTTTCTTGTGTTCTTGCTTTCTTTTTAGTCCCTTCCTGCCTTTCTCCCTTCCTCCTTCCCTCCCTTCCTTCTCTCATTTCCTCCTTCTTTTCTTTCTTCTTTCTTTCCTTCCTTCCTTCTTTTTTCTTTCTTTCTTTTCTTTTCTTTCTCTTTACTACAATTCATATTATTTAAAAAAAATTAAGAGGGGGAGGCAGAAAAATAAAGAACACTTTAATCTGCAGGTAAATAGATTATGTCTGCTGCAGACAAAAGAATGGCCTCCCAAAAATGTTCATGTCCTAATTCCCAGAGTCTAACATACAAATATGTTAGGTTGCATGGCAGTGGGAAATTAGATTTCAAGTGAAATTAAGGTTGCAATAAAATGATGGAGAGATTATCTTAAATGGGTGGGATCAACGAAATCACAAGCTTCCTTATAAGTGAGAGAAGAAGGCAGAAGAAAGGCAACCATGGAGGTCGTAGCATGAGAAATTACTCAACATCACTGACTTTTAAGATACAAGAATGAGGACCCAGCGTGGTGGCTCATGCCTAATCCCAGCACTTTGGGAGGCCGGGGTGGGTGGATCACGAGGTCAGGAGATTGAGACCATCCTGGATAACATGGTGAAACCCCATCCCTACTAAAAATACAAAAAATTAACTGAACATGGTGGCACGTGCCTGTAGTCCAAGCTACTCAGGAGGCTGAGGCAGGAGAATCACTTGAGCCTGGGAGGCAGAGGTTGCAGTGAGCTGAGATCGTGCCACTGCACTCCAGCCTGGGTGACAGAAGGAGACTCCATCTCAAAAAAAAAAAAAAAAAGATATAAAAATGAGGTCATGTAAATTAGTTCAGCCATTGTGGAAGACAGTGTAGCGATTCCTCAAGGATCTAGAACCAGAAATACCATTTGACCCAGCAATCCCATTACTGGGCATATACCCAAAGCCTTATAAATCATTCTACTATAAAAACACATGCACACATATGTTTATTGCAGCACTATTCACAATAGTAAAGACTTGGAACCAACCCAAAGGCCCATCAGTGATAGACTGGATAAAGAAAACGTGGCACATATACACCATGGAATACCACGCAGCCATAAAAAAGGATGAGTTCATGTTATTTGCAAGGACATGGATGAAGCTGGAAACCATCATTCTCAGCAAACTAGCACAAGAACAGAAGACCAAACACCGCATGTTCTCACTCATAAGTGGGAGGTGAACAATGAGAACACATGGACACTGCAGGTGGGGGGGCATCACACACTGGGGCCTGTTAGGGGGTGGGGGGCTGGGGGAGGGATAGCATTAGGAGAAATACCTAACGTAGATGACGGGTTGACGGGTGCAGCAAACCACCATGGCACATGTATACCTATGTAACAAACCTGCACGTTCTGCACATGTACCCCAGAACTTAAAAGTATAAAAAAAAGTATTTAAAAAATCTTAATGGCAAACTGAAAACTGTATAACTAAATCATATAAATGTTAAAAGTGATGAAATTCAGTTGTAGAAACGCAACAAAGCAAAAATGCTAATAGAAACAAAATAGGTTTCAGTTACTCATTTTAGAGTAAAATAGGTTTTAATAACTGGACTTCCTTATTATCCAATATTATTTAAATTGTAATTCATATTTTAAGTTCATAGAGAATCAAAAAGCAGAGGTAGATTTACTTTCTATACATATGGAACATTTTAGAACAAATGATAGGATAACCCAATTCTTACATCTACTGATGAAAAACTTTCTTTCAAAAATAATATTCTTGCCCTTCTAAGAAGCAGTTCTATCCTGAGGTATGATTGTATAGGCATTTTTAAGACCTGGCACAGGTCTCTGGCACAAATTTACTGTAAAACGTGGACAATCAACATTACCTCACCAGGTCTGTTACCCTTGCTGATAATGAAGAGGCTGGAGTCAATCATCTCAAAGCACTGAAATTCTGAGATGTACGTGAGACAGACAGCATACGGAAATCACATGGGCTTTATAGGATGTCTATTACAAGATGGAGTAATGAGGACCAGCTTTTTCCTCCAAGGATGAGACAGAGACAAAATATATGAAACAACAGCATTCCAGACACTGGGCATCTGGCAATAAAGGACTGCAATCCCTGAGAGATGGGAAATAAATGAGGTGATCTCAATGATTACAATTCCGTTTAGAGAGACTCCAGGCACTAGGTCTTCTCTCCCTGAGTTGAGAAGATTGAGCTAGGAGTTTGGGAAGTCCAATGTGGCTAGAGTTCATAGAGCAAATTTCTGGAAAGGAGAGAACTACACAGAGAGACAGAGAGCTTGGGAGATCTGCAGATGGTCGCCTCAAGTCTTCAGCTGAATTCTGATCTGTGCGACAGAGACCATCTGAGGCCTGGAAAAGAACCACTCAAAACAATGAGAGGAAACAATCTCCAGAGGTCACACAGGGCCTATAAAACCACAGTTAACTTAGAAGAATTTTGCAGCCAGGTGTGGTGGCTTATGTCTGTCATCCTAAAACTCTGGGAGGCTGAGGTGGCCGGATTGCTTGAGGCCAGGACTTCAAGCCTGGCCTGGGCAACATGGCAAAACCCATCTCTACAAAAAATACAAAAATTAGCCAGGTGTGGTGGTGCCCACCTGTGGTCCTAGTTACTCAGGAGGCTGAGGTGGGAAGGTTGTTTGAGCCCAGGAGGTCAAGGCTGCAGCGAGCCGTGACTATACCTTGGCACTCCAGCCTGGGCAACAGAGCAAGATCCTGTCTCAAAAAAAAAAAAAAAAAAAAAGAGAGAGAGAAAAAAGAAAAGAAGAGGTTTTGTGCTTCAAGTAGTGAAAAAGAAGAGTTTTTTGCTTCACTAGTGGAGAAAAGTAAGCTGTAGGCTAAATGCTACTCTAATCCTGCCTAACAAAGTATAAGACCTGAAAAAATGGATCCCAGAACAAAGCTCAAAAATATTTATAGGAATAAAATAATGTTCAGTATCCAATAAAGTGAAATCTATAATGTCTGGCATCCAATTAAAAATTATCAGACATGAAAAGACACAGGATGGAATATACACAGGATGAATATATAATACTGGAAGAAAAAAAATCAATCAAAACCAACCTAGGAATCACAGAAATAATAGTCCTAGTAAACAAGGATAGTAAGACAATATAAACATATTATCTGTTGACAAAGCTAGAGGAAAGATTAAGTATGTTAAGAAAGACATGGTAGATACTAAAAAGACCCAAACTCTTTCTTCTTTTTTTTTGAGACAGGGTCTTGCTCTGTCACCCAGACTGGAGTGCACTTGTGTGATCATGGCTCCTTGCAACCTCTAACTCCTGGGCTCAAGCAATCCTCCTGCCTCAGCCTCCCAAGTAGCTGGGACTAAAGGCAATGCACAACCATGTCTGGCTAATTTTAAATTTTTTGTAGAGATAGGGTCTCCTTATGTGGTCCAGGGTGGAAAAAACCCAAATTCTAATCAAACTTCTAGAGACAGAAACTACATGTCCGAGATGAAAAATATACTGGGTGGGATTAACATCAGATTATATCTTGCAACACTCAAAGACAAAGCAATAGATACTATCCAAAATCAAACACAAAGAGAAAATAAAAACTGGAGAAAGAAAGGAAGGAAGGAAGGAAGGAAGGAAGAATAGAGCATCAGTGAGCTGCAAAACAATGTCAGTATCCTAATGCATGTGTAATGAAAGTCGCCAAAGGGCCTGTAGAGTCAGAGAAATTTAAAAAAATAATAGTGGCTGGGTATGGTGGCTCACACCTGTAATCCCGGCACTTTGGGAGGCTGAAGCGCGCAGATAAGTTGAGCTCAGGGGTTTGAGACCAGCCTCGGCAACATGGCAAAACCCCGTCTCTACTAAAAATACAGAAATTAGCCGAGAGTGGTGGCGGGCACCTGCAGTCCCAACTACTGGGGAGGCTGAAGCACGAGAATTGCCTGAACTCAGGATGCAGAGATTGCAGTGAGCCAAGATCACACCACTGCACTTCAGCCTGGGCAAAACTCTGTCCCCGCCACACCCCCCGAAAAAAAAAGAGAGAGAAAGAAATAATAGCAAAAAAAAATTTCCAACTGTGATGAAAACTATTTGATTCAAGAAGCTCAACAAACTCCAAACAAAAGAAACATGACATGAACTATACTATACCTAGGCATATCATAATCAAATTGTTTAAAACCAGTGATAAAGAGAAATCTTAAAAGCAGCTTGAGATAAAAAGACACATTATATACAGAGGAAGATAAAAACGACAGCAGATTTCTCAACAGAAAACTATGGAGCAATATCATTAAAAGACTGGTAGAGGCCACGCACAGTGGCTCACGCCCGCAATCTCAACACTTTAGGAGGCCAAGGCAAAAGGATCACTTGAGCCCAGGAGTTCAAGACTGGCTTGGACAATATAGGGAGGCCCTGTCTCTGCAAAAAATTAAAAAATTAGCCGGGCATGGTGACATGTGCTTCTGGTCCCAGCTACTCGAGAGGCTGAGGTGGGAGGATTGCTTGGGTCCAGGAAGTCAAGGCTTCAGTGAGCTGTGATCACACCACTACACTCTAGCCTGGGTGACACAGTGAGACCCTGTCTCAAAAAACAAAAAAGTCTCTTGGAAAAAAAAAAACTTATTAATCTAGAATTGGATTCCCACAAAAATATCTTTCTATATTTATTTATTTATTTATTTATTTTTTGAGACAGAGTTTTGCTCTGTTGCTTGCCCAGGCTGGAGTGCTGTGGCACGATCTCAGCTCACTGCAACCTCTGCCTCCTGAGTTCAAGTGATTCTTGTGTCTGAGCCTCTCTAGCAGTTGAGATTACAGGTGCATGCCACCATACCAGCTATTTTTTGTATTTTTAGTAGATCCAGGGTTTCACCATGTTAACCAGGCTGGTCTTGAACTCCTGGCCTCAAGTGATCCTCCAGCCTCAGCCTCCCAAAGTGCTGGGATTACAGGTGTGAGCCACCACGCCTGGCCCAAAAATATCTTTCAAAAATGAAGGTGAAATAAAATATTCATCAGTCATATAAAGGTTTGGCAGTCAGACATACCTAGGTTTAAATCTTGCTCTGTCTCTTACTAGCTGGGTAAGTAATATCAAGTTATTATTTTTATTAATATCAATTTTAATTACCAATTATTAAGTGCTTATTATAAATAGGCACATGTATTATGCCAAGTGCTTTATGTATACAGAACCTCATTTAATTCTCACAACTCAGAAAGATAGTTATTATTATCCCTGTTTTATAAAAATGCTGGAATTTAAATATAGATTGACTGAACCCAAATCTCTTGCTCTTTACCATTGTCTCACACTACTGGGGCCTCAGTCTCTTCTGTGTGTAAAATAAAAAGCATAGTAAGTACTTCCCAGAGTTACTGTGAGGACTAAATGAAACGATACATGTGTATCACCCAGTACAATGCCTGACACACAGCAGTCACTTAAAGAGTGCTATTGCTATTATACAGTCATACTTACCATACATCTCATCTTCCAACCCATGAACAAAAGCTCCACAAGCTCCTGACTCAATCAAGTTCACAGCCCCGGTATCTACTTCTTCCTTGGGAGCATCATCTTCCCACTTTCTGCCACTGGAAAACTCCCCTGAACTGTAAAGTTCCTTGGCACGCTCATGTGCAGTACGTTTCCTCTGCAGAGGACAACAACAATTACCAATTGTAGGAGGTTCATGAAGGAACACTAAGATGAACCCTGAGAACATGGGAAGGCAGAAAATAAAACTGCTCTTTGAGAGTTACGTTTGTAAAAATTATCAGTAGTTCATACAAGAGAAATGCAAATTCAACTTAAAATGAAACCAAAGCCTTGCTGGTCTATAATAGCTGAAAGTACCTAATTAAAGAGGATAAAGATAGCTGAAGAATGTGTTAAGAAAGTTGGTTATGTTTGCTGTGGCAGCAACATAGGAAAAGAGAGAGCCAGAGAGGCAAATAATGGCAGTGCCCCTCCAAAAAACCATCTTGGGTAGACAATACATTGACTCTAAGAAAACAATTATCGGGCAGGGAGCAGGTGGCTCACACCTGTAATCCCAGCACTTTGGGAGGCCAAGGCAGGCTGATCATGAGGTCAGGAGATTGAGACCATCCTGGCCAACATGTTGAAACTCCATCTTTACTCTAAGTACAAAAATTAGCTGGGCGTGGTGGCACGTGCCTGTAGTCCCAGCTACTCAGGAGGTGGAGGTTGCAGTGAGCCGAGATCATGCCACTGCACTCCAGCCTGGCGACAGAGTGAGACTCTGCCTCAAAAAAAAAAATTATCTTCAGTCCCAGTAAAAGTATTTTTCTATTTGGCAACATTGCGTTCTATTTCAGCTACAGTACAGTCACTAAATAATCTAGTAAACTCACTTTACACAGAGATTGCCTAAGGTGGAATATACCGGTTAGTGTATCCAGTCCACTTGACAGTTATGGTTCTCATCACAAATGAATGACCTGGCACTCTGCTTTATACATCAGCCTCTCATGAAACCCCATCTCTAAAAAACTACAAAAAATTAGCCGGGTGTGGTGGTACACACCTGTAGTCCCAGCTACTCAGGAGGCCGACGTGAGAGGATCACTTGAGCCCAGGAGGCAGAGGTTGCAGTGAACCAAGATCGCACCACTGCACTCCAGCCTGGGCGACAGAGCGAGACCCTGTCTCAAACAAAACAAAACAAAACAAAACAAAACAAACAAACAAACAAAAAAACCACGCACCAGAAAAAGAGCTGAGAGACATATACCAAAATGACCAAAGTCATTATATTAGGGTAGCAGGCATATGGGTAAATTGTTTTCCTTTCCCTTATCAAAAATTCTACAACTCTATAATATCACTTTTATAATTTCAAAATTGAGGTACTAACAATGAATGTACATATTATTTTCTCAGACTCAAATTTGGTTCTGCAAACCACGTTAGTGAACCATCACAATCAAAGCTTAAGGGCATTTCATAAGAGGCATTTGGGGCCGGGCACAATGGCTCACATCTGTAATCCCAGCACTTTGGGAGGCAGAGGCAAGAAGACTGCCTGGGCTCAGGAGTTCAAGACCAACATGAGGAACAGAGCAAGACCTCATCTCTACTAAAGATAAAAAAAATTAGCTGGGCATGGTGAGGTATGCTTGTAGTCCCAGCTACTCAGGAGGGTGAGGTGGGAGGAATGCTTGAGCCCAGGAGATCAAAGTTGCATTGAGTAATGATTGTGCCACTGCGTTCCAGCCTGGGCAACAGAGTGAGACCCAGTTTCAAAAAAAAAAGAAGAAAAAATGGCGTGGGGTGGGGGGTATTTTGTTACTGTTTGGAGAAAGGCTTTACTCAGTCTTCCATGGTAACTGCTGCTGAAAAGGAGTCCTAAAATGTCATACCATCTCACAAAATGAGAATGGGCCTTTGTAGTTCCTAACAAATAGAAAATTAATCTTTTGGGGTTTTCTGGGGGTTTTTTGTTGTTGTTTTTTGGGTTTTGTTTTTTGAGACAGAGTCCCACTCTGTTGCCTAGGCTGGAGTGCAGTGGTGCGATCTCGGCTCACTGCAACCTCTGGTCTCCAGGGTTCAAGTGATTCTCTGCCTCAGTCACCCAAGTAGCTGGGACTACAGGCACATGCCACCACACCTAGCTAATTTTTGTTTTTTAGTTGAGACGGAGTTCATCATGTTGGCCGGACTGGTCTCAAACTCCCGGCCGCAAGTGATCTACCTGCCTCAGCCTCCCAAAGTGCTGGGATTACAGGTGTGAGCCACTGCACCTGGCTTAGAAAATTAATCTTGCCTCTTTTTTGTAAAGCATAACCTGTGCAAAGTATTTCATTACAATAATACGAAATTTAATGAAGTCACTTGTTATTTGCTTCAATTTACTAAGATTTTAAATTAAAATGTAATACAGTTCTCATACGTTAATTTAACAAATGCTGCTAAGTTAAATCAACACAACTCACAATACTGCCCCCCTACATTGGTTACAGAAACCCAGTTTAAACAACGAAGAATAAAAGGTACCCTCAGATCTGACATCAGCTTCTTGTCAAGGGTCTGCTCCAAGAAATGAGAACTGACTTGCTCCATAGAGCCCTATAAAAAGAAAAATCCAGAGCATATAAAACAACTTTTATGATTTGAACATTATCTTAAAATTCAGTCTATAGCCAATTTAAGTGCATAAAGATAATATTATTCATGACAGTAAAGATGCTATGGGTTCTGAATCAGCAGGAAAATAAAAATATTAGCAGCAGCTAACACCTAAATAGAGCTTACTATGTGTCACCTACTGTGCTTTCTTTCTTTTTTTTTTTCTTCCTGAGATGGAGTTTTGCTCTTGTCACCCAGGCTGGAGTGCAGTGGCATGATCTCAGCTCATTGCAACCTCCGCCACCCAGGTTCAAGCAATTCTCCTGCCTCAGCCTCCTGAGTAGCTGGATTACAGGTGCCCGCCACCATGTCCAGCTAATTTTTTTGTATTTTTAGTAGAGACGGGGTTTCACCACGTTGAGCAGGCTAGTCTCAAACTCCTGACCTCAGGTGATCTGCCTGCCTCGGCCTCCCAAAGTGCTGGGATTACAGGCGTGAGCCACCACGCCCGGCCACTATGTGTCATGTACTATTCTAAGGGCTTTAGACGTATATTAACTCATTTAAATCCTCACTATAACCCTGAGAAGTAAATACTATATTAGTCCCATTTTATATATGGAGAAAAGACACAAAAAGATTAAATAACATATTGACGGTCACAAAGAATAAATTCCAGAGCTAGGAGATAAATCCAGCCTCCAAAATCCTTTCCCTTAACGACTACTCTCCACTCCTTTTCATTCTTCTTTCCATTCATCTGTTCATTCATTCATGCATTCAATTAAACAAATATTTAGCAACCATTCAATTATATGTCTACAGTTACCAGGAACAAGAATACAAAAATAAAAAGACAACAGCTGTACACTCAACAATCTCACAGACTAGTAAGGGAAACTGACAAGGTATGCAATGCTGTAATACACATCTATGAATGATGACACGGGAATGGAGAGAACAAGCAGTATTAAGGTACAGGCAGGGAGAGGTATACTTGGAGAAATGAAAATCACAGTGCAAATGCCAAGTGGGAAATATTAAGTGGTTTTACGAATGGAACGTAAGATAGGGCTCCTGAAAATGAGGCAGTAGAGATAGGATAATAAAGAGCCTTATTTGCCATAGTAAGGGGTTTGCCTTATAAATAATTGTTACATAATCCCTGTTAAACATCTAATGAGCTTAACAATGTATAAAATATTTTACTTATATTTTTCCAATTTATTCTTCCCAATAATCCCATATACCTCTTATCCCCATTTTCTAGATGACAAACGAGGCTGAGATTAGGCAACTTACTCATTTTAAGTAAGGGAGAACATAGATTTATATTTCATAAAGCCCATCTTGCAACAGTATGACTAATGGACCATAAGGAATCAAAATGAAAGCAAAAAGACTAGTTTCAGAGGCTGTTGGAGCAGGTCCTAGACGTTAAGAAATTTATCTGAGATCTTCTCTAATTCCTAAGTTAATAAATGCGGAAATGCTTATACAGGCTCAGATCTTTTCTCTAACCAAATTTTTCATAGAAAATTACATGTTCCTGGGGAATGTCCTTACTCAAGTTAACACCTTTCCTATGATTCCACAAAAACAACTGCTGTACTATTTTGACTAAAGTAGTTTCAAAACCACTTTTTCTTTTGTTACACAGATCTGAGTCAATGTCATATCTAACATCCATTTTTTAAATCCCAACAACAATTTTATAAATAAGAACTATAAACGCTTAAGACCTCCTAAATCTCTCTCTACTTTTACCACCAGCATTAGCTGTTGGCTTTTTTCTACTAGAATAAAAGTTTTCATGACTTCACAGTAAGTTGCTTCATCCATAATTCCCAGTGCCCTCCTCCAATGCCCTCAGCTGCACGCTCAACCAACACAGCAGCACAGAGGGAGTACTATGCAAATTTGTGCCCCCCAAAATTAAATATCATTACTTGAAATAAATTTTCAATGTCACCTAAGAATAGGTGAAGCTTTCCATTTTAAGTCCACAGACACAGAGTCCTATAGCATAGTAATCCACTTGAAAAATGGTGAGATGTCTATTACTGCAGGACCAGTGGAAATGGAGAAGGGATGGATTTAGGGGATGTCAAGAAGGAAGAACTGATATGAGTTGTGACTCAATGGATGTAAGACATAGAAAAACTATTCCTAAATTCCTCTGGTTCATGACTTAGCAGATGATAGTATCACTTACGAAAACATAGAGAAACAGATTTGGACCAAAAAGATAATGAGTTCATTATAAAGTGCACCTCACCAATGAGAAAAAAAGCTACATTCTGGTATACTTTAACCAAGACAAATATGTTTAGATTAAGATGGAATCTCTCCAACTGTACTACTAGCACTACTTAACAACCTAAATTTAGGTAGTTAATGCTATGAAAACCTTACTTAACACTGAGAAAACCATTTCACTTGAGAGCCTTATTAAATGTATGTGAAATTTAGATACAAGATATTTAACAATTATCACACCTGCTTGAAGAGCAAAAACTGCTCAACTGGTATAAATAACATAAGTCTATGCAACTGGGTGATAAGTACATCAGACATAAAACTGCCACTAACTAGGAATATCTGCATTTACCCTGGGAAAGACCAGTCATGGGCAGACTTACAGGCATAAAAGTCTATAACCTAACAGTCTGAAAATGTTGTAATTTTCAAGGTCAATGACTTCTTAAGGCTTATAAAAGTAGTGATTGTATTCTAAATAGTCCCATGAATCTGCTTACTGGGACCTCAAGTTTCTTTGCCCCACAAAGAGGGCAGTTATAAATAAGTAAAAGCTAACCTCTTTTACATGGTTTTGAATTTTCTGATATAACACATATCAGAAAATTTTTCATACGCTATAAGCCAAAGGGATTGGAAACTATTCACTTTTTAAGCAAGATAGACTCGAGGCTACAAAGCTAAGTTGTTGCAGAACCTGGCTTCTGTTTTCCTCTCCAACTTACCTCATTACAGATCCCCTATATTGAACATTACCCCCCAACTAGAAAGCACTAGACTGCTTGTAGTTTAGTATGATATTGCAGCTTAGTATATTGCTATGCATGATAATGTACTGCTTTTATATCCCTGCTCATATTTTCTCTTTCTCTGCATTGCTACCTAGTTACTCATCCTTCAAAACTCAGTTCAGAGATCAGCTCCTCCAAGAAGGCTTCTGTGGTTGTGGTTGGTGCTCTTTCCTACCAGTACCAGGTATTGTTATTCACTGATTAGCTATCCCTGGCTACCTGACTGTCAACTTCGTTGCAGACAGAAACTGTCCTCGGTGTTTGTCGATTTGCTGAACAGGTGATCTAAAGATTATACAGGTTGAACATCCCAATTCCAAAAATCTGAAATCCAAAATGCTCCAAAATCCAAAACTTTTTGAGTACCAACATGATGCTCAAAGGAAATGTTCACTGGAGCACTTCAGATTTTGGATTTTGGAGCATATTTCAGATTTGGGATGCCCAACAAGTAAGTCTAATACAAATAAAATATTCCAAAATCCAAAAACAAAACAAAACAAAACAAAATCCAAAACACTTCTGGTCTCAAGCATTTTGGATAGGGGATACTCAATCTGTATGCAGATTTGTTTAAAAAAAATGGCTCACCAGAGTTACCTGGCACACATCACCCACAACAAAAAGAGACCAAAATAACAAATAACTATATTTCAACTAAAATGACTGTAGATATATGCTGCAGAGCACCAGAGAAAGGGCAAAATCCCTGTGGAACATGGAAGCCTCAGGATAGCACCACAGGGTGAGGCTTCCTACCTGCCACATTGTCTCCCTTGCCAAAATCAGCTTAAAATCAGAGGAACTTCTTACAGGGAAAGAGTAAGCTGGAGATACCTATCAGTGGTCCCCACTGCTGCCACAGGCACCAGCAATTCTTGATAAAGGACAGTCCTTAAGTCCTCAGTGGCCACAAATCCAGTCTGGAGAGTAGCCAAGAGATCATTCAGCTGTATTGCCTCAGAGTGGGAGCCCACCTTGTCCTAAGCTGCTGTAGCATGGCACCAAGTTGAAGCTAGACTCACTACTAGTGTGCATCCTGCCCTGGGGACCAGTAGCAACTGACTCTCTTCATCCCTGAGAACCAGCCATCATTCTACCGTGATCACACGATGGCCTGCAGCACCATAACCCCATCCACATAGAGTCTAGGTCAAACAGAGTGACGATGATTTCAGCATCAGACCCCACACAGCGCTACCAACCACCCAGAAAACAGGCAGACCTGCACAGCAAGGAAGCCATCAAATAGATAGCTGGCAGCGCTTTACCCAACACCCCTGTTCCATACAACCATCTGGGCTGCCAAGTATGCATGCGCCAGTACTCAGCCAAAAAGCCAATCCTGCGGCAGCCCTACTTCCTCACAACCCATCACAGAACCACCTGCCCACGCCCTGCCTGATAGCTGGCAATTCAGTGGTCCTGTCCCCTAAAACAGGCCACAATAGAGTCCCACAGTCCCACAGCACACAGTCCAACTGGTCCTGTGGTAGCCCTGGCCCCCTACCATAGACTGCTGCCAAACTGCCCAGCCCCACTGCACAAAAGCATTTGAGCCTAGCCCAAAGCAACAGCCAACCAGGCAGTAGCCCCATCTCCCTACGTAGCCACAGAGCTGCCCAGCAGGCCGCTGCAGCAAAGGCCTGAGCCCAGCACGACAGCCACCACAGCAGTAACTACCGCCTCCCTGGAAAACCAGATAGACAGCCTGGCAGCCATTTTAGCCTGTACATGTCTTGGCCAAAAATCAGCTCGGTACCCTCATCTTATAGCATTGCCATCACAAACTCCCACAGCCTAGGCAACTGAGGCAATTGCAAACATCAATGACTAGGATTATAGCTGAAGATTACAGCTGAAGCTGACAAGGATTATTACACCACCCATTGAGTCCACCCAGAACCAAAGGCAACACACCATACCCAGCTAATACCCTAAAACCATCTACAGAAAAAGACTGTTACTATATACTAGCTACTCAATAAAATTGAAAAGAGCAACTACGCTACTAAATGCACACATATCAACATCCAGTATCTTGCACACGATAAATGAAAATCAAGGAAACATGACACCCTCAAAGGAATACGGTTAAGTCTCCTGGCTGGGCGCAGTGGCTCACATCTGTAATCCCAGCACTTTGGGAGGCCAAGACAGCCAGATAGCATGAGCTCAGGAGTTCAAGACCATTCTGGGCAACATGGCAAAACCCGTCTCTACAAAATATAAAAAAATTAGTCGGGTGTGGTGGCATGCGCCTGTAGTCCTAGCTACTCAGCAGGCTGAGGTGGGAGGATCACTTAAACCCAGGAGGAGAAGGTTGCAATGAGCTGAGATCATGCCACTGCCCTTCAGCCTGGGTGACAGAGCAAGACCCTGTCTCAAAAAAAAAAAAAAGGAAAAAAGTCTCCAATGACAGACCCCAAAGAAAAGGACACTTACAAAATGCCTGAAAAGGAATTCAAAATAGTGATCTAAAGGAAACTCAGTAAGATACAAGAGAATACAGACAAACAATTAAATGAAATCAGGAAAACAATTCATGATCCGAATGAGCAATTCAACAGAAATCAATATCATAAAAAAGAACCAAACAGAAATCTTGGAACTGAAGAATTCAATGAAAAAAATAAAAATAGTATACAATTGAGAGCTTCAACAATAGACTAGGATCAAGCAGAAGAAAGAATTTCTGACCTTGAAGACAGGTCTTTTGAAATAACCCATTAAGAGGGAAAAAAAAAACAAATAAGAATAAAAAAGAAAGCCTTGGAACATATGGGACATCAATAGGCAAACAAATACTTGCATTGAAGATTGCCTGATGGAGAAGAGATAGAGAAAGGCGCAGAAAACCTATTTGATGAAATGATAGCTGAAAACTTGCCAAGTAGTGGGAGAAATACGGACATCCAGATTCAGGAAGTTCAAAGGTTCGCAATTACATTCAACCCAAAAAGATCCTCTCCAAGGTGCATTATAATCAAACTATCGAAAGTCAAAGAGTAAGACTTTCAAAGCTGCAAGAGAAAATTGTCAAGAGAATCTCCATTACTATCAATAGATTTCTCAGTAGAAACCTTGTAGACCAGCAGAGAATGGGATAGAATTAATATATTCAAGGTATTGAATGCTACAACTAGAAACAAAAGGACAATAATCACTATCATAACAACACACAAAAGTGTAAAACTCACCAGTAAAGGTAAACTCATAAATCAAACAGATCAAACCCCAGTGATACAATATGTCATATAAAATATTCAATCTGCTAGTATGAAGGTTAAATTTAAAATGGTCAAAAACTACAACAGCTACAAATAGTAGCTAAGGAACACATAACAGATGAAGAAGAAAATTAAGGCAACAAAAATATAAATTGAAGGGGGAGGGAAAAAACCTAGGGTCCTTTTATGTAACCAAAGTTGAGTTGCTATCAGCTTAAAACATTCTATTGTAACTGCAAGACTTTTTTTTTCCCCTTTGAGACAGTCTTACTCTGATGCCCACGCTAGAGCATAGTGGCCTGATCATGGCTCACTGCAGCCTCAATCTTCCAGGCTCAAGTGGTCCTCCCACCTCAGCCTCCTGGGTAGCTGAGACTACAGGTGTGTGCCACCATGCCCGGCTGATTTCTTTTTTCTTTATTTAGTAGAAACGAGGTCTCACTATGTTGCCCAGGCTGGTCTCAAACTCATGAGCTCAAGCGATCTGCCTGCCTCAGCCTCCCAAAGTGCTGGGATAATAGGCAAGAGCCACCACACCAGCCTAACTGAAGACTCTATGTAGAAAAAAGTTACAGCAGATACACAAACAAGAAAGAGAATGAAAACAAAGCTTGGCCCCACAGAAAACCACTAAATCAGAGGTAAACAACAAGAAAGGAAGACAAGAACAAAGGATCTCCAAAACCACCAAAAAGTAATTAACAAAATGGCAGGAATAAGACCTTATCTATCAATAACAATCCTGAATATAGCTGGACACGGTGGCTCATGCCTGTAATCCCAGCACCTTGGGAGGCCAAGGCAAGCGAATCACTTGAGGCCAGGAGTTTGAGACCAGCATGGCCGACATGGCAAAACCCGTCTCTAATAAAAATGCAAAAAAATTAGTTGGGCATGGTGGCACATGCCTGTAATCCCGGTACTGGGGAGGCTGGGGCACGAGAATCACTTGAACCCAGGAGGTGAAGGTTGCAGTGAGTTGAGATCACACCAGTGCATTCCAGCCTAGGTGACGGAGTGAGACCCTGTCTCAAAGAAACAAAAAAAAAAAAAAAAAAAAAAAGAAGAAGAAGAAGAAGAAGTAGAAAAAAATCTTGAATATAAATGGATTAAGTTCTTCAATTAAAAGGTACACTACAGCCTGGGCAACAGAGAGACACCCTGTCTCAAAGAAAGAAAGAAAAAAAAGGTATACATTGGTTGAATAGATTAAAACACAAAATCTAAGTATACATTGCCTAGAAGAAACACGCTTCACAAGCAAGAATCAAAACATATACCAAAACCTATGGTATGCAACAAAAGCAGTTCTAAGAGATAAGTATACAGCAATAAATGGCTACATCAAAAAAGAAGAACAATCTGGTTTTTAATTTTTTTTAGGGACAGTTTCGCTGTTGTCCAGGCTGGAGTCCCCAGGAGTTTGAGGTTGCTGTGAGCTATGACTGTGCAATCGTGGAACCGCACTCCAGCCTAGGCAACAGAGCAAGACCCTGACTTAAAGAAAATAAAAAAAGAATAAAATCTTGTAATTTGCCACATCGATTAACCTGGAGGACACCATGTAAAGTGAAATAAGCCAGACATGGAAAGACAAATACTGCATGATCTAAGACTTAAACATAAGACCTAAAACCATAAAAACCCTAGAAGAAAACCTAGGCAATACCATTCAGGACATAGGCATGGGCAAAGACTTCATGACTAAAACACCAAAAGCAATGGCAACGAAGCCAAAATTGAGAAATAGGTTCTAATTAAACTAAAGAGCTTCTGCACAGCAAAAGAAACTATCATCAGAGTGAACAGGCAACCTACAGAATGGGAGAAAGTTTTTGCAATCTATCCATCTGACAAAGAGCTAATATCCAGAATCTAAAAAGAACTTAAACAAATTTACAAAAAAAAAAAAAAAACAACAAAACCCCATCAAAAAGTGGGTGAAGGATATGAACAGACACTTCTTAAAAGAAGACATTTATGCGACCGACAAACATATGAAAGAAAGCTCATCATCACTGGTCATTAGAGAAATGCAAATCAAAACCACAATGAGATACCATCTCACACCAGTTAGAATGGCAATCATTAAAAAGACAGAAAACCACAGGTGCTGGAGAGGATGTGGAGAAATAGGAACACTTTTACACTGTTGGTGGGAGTGTAAATTAGTTCAGCCATTGTGGAAGACAGCATGGCGATTCCTCAAGGATCTAGAACCAGAAATACCATTTGACCCAGGAATCCCATTACTGGGTATATACCCAAAGGATTATAAATCATTCTACTATAAAAACACATGCACACGTATGTTTATTGCAGCACTGTTCACAACAGCAAAGACTTGGAACCAACCCAAAGGCCCATCAATGATAGACTGGACAAAGAAAATGTGGCGCATATACACCATGGAATACCATGCAGCCATAAAAAAGGATGAGTTCATGTTCTGTGCAGGGACATGGATGAAGCTGGAAACCATCACTCTCAGCAAACTAACACAAGAACAGAAAGCCAAATACCATATGTTCTCACTTATAAGTGAGAGTTGAACAATGTGA